>NC_000021.9:35504525-35814479 GCF_000001405.40 Homo sapiens | reverse complement strand
TTTCCTCTTTTTTTTTTTCTTTTGGATTTCCTCTTTCCTCTCTTCTCTGGTTTTGGTTTCAGAATTGGGCAAATTATGTAAACTGTGCTGGTAGGCTTTCTATATTTTCTGTGCTCTGAGGTGATTTATATAACATAAAAATAATCTATTACTTTTTTAAAAGAGCTTACCTAAAAACATGTTATGGTATGTAGCCTCTTGGAGATGAATTTTGGGTAACTTTTGAAAAATTTTCCATAGTTTTTGGCTTGTCCACATGAGATGCTTTTGCTGTTGTTTTGATAATGAACATTTTCTTGGAGGAATCTGTCATTTTGTGAATATATTATTAGCATAGATCTATAAAAATATGTTTTATAACTTATAATCTTTTTATTTGTGATCATTTCTACTTCATTTACATAGGTATATTTTTATTTTCTGATTTTATTTTCTTAAGTGCTAGAAATGTGTGTGTCTTTATGTACATGTTTTCCAAAGAATCAGCTCCAGGACTTATCAATTAATTATATAATTTGTTGAATGACAATGGTTTTGTAAAATATTTTCTGCCTTCTTTAGATTTGTTTCCTTTTTGGATTGTGGGCTTAGTTCATTTTTTTTGTTTCCTTTTTAATACTAAGAGAATTAAAATGTAAACTTACCTATCTCTAGAGTTTTGATTATATATTTTAAAATTTTACACATTTAAAAATACTTTGTTTATTGGCTTGTTTTAATTTTTAAATCAAAGGTTATTTAGGCATGTGTATTATTTTCTATATAATGGTTTCTCTCCTTTAAATATTATTTATCTGAAATAATTTTTGCTTCATATATTTGATATGCTATTCAGGAAAGGTTTATTATTATGTATGCATTTTAAATTCTATCTTTATTGATATAAATTTTCAGTCCCTATACTGTTCAGTATTCTACCTGAAATTCCACTTTGTCAGAAATAAATATTGCTACACTTTCCTATTTTTAAATCCACTTAAAAATTTGTTTAACAAATCTTTGTTCATTTAAAAAAAGTTTTCCTGGTCATTTTATTTTCAAAATATCTCTTGAGGACAAAATATATTTGATTTAAAAAATTCAATCTGATCATCTTTTAATGTTTTTATTTATTTTTGCGAGAAAGTTTCTACTTTTAAAAAATGTTTTATTCCTCTTTCTAATGTTTTAGTTTTTAAAAAATGTGTACTTACTTATTTTTAACCTTTACACTCTCCTGAGATTGAGTCAATGTACTTTAGTTTTAACTTTACTAATGGCTCTTTAAATTTATAAAAACTTTTAAAATATGTATTCCTATAATAATCAAAATGAAGAATGAGATAATTTTTAAAAGTTTTCTATATCAAGCAAGCGGCTTAATGTGTTTTAACTCTATTTTCCTATTTCTAAGATTTTTTTTACGTAATGTTTTATTTTTAATTTTTGTGGATATATAGGTGTGTATATTTATGGAGTACGTGAGCTGTTTTGACATAGTCATACAATTATTTCTAAGATTTTAAAAATATAAACTAGGTTTCAGGATTCAGATTATTGCTATTAAATAATTTTTTTAATACATTGTTTTGGGAAGTGTTTTACATTTATATTTAATATGGTCAGCATTTTTATAACATTTATTTAGACCTTGTTTAATAAATTTTAATGTTCGTCACCAGTCCTTTTATATCACGAAGGCCTATTGTTTTTGAGTCATCTTTTGACCATTTGGTGTATCTCTCTCTCTTTTTTTTTTCTTCGAGATGGAATCTCGTGCTGTCGCCCAGGCTGGAGTGCAATGGCACGATCTCGGCTCACTGCAACCTCTGTCTCCCAGATTCAAGTGATTCTCTCACCTCAGCCTCCTGAGTAGCTGGGATTACAGGCACGTGCCACCATGCCCGGCTAATTTTTGTATTTTTAGTAGAGATGGGGTTTCACCATGTTGGTCAGGCTGGACTCCAACTCCTGACCTCGTGATCCACCCACTTCGGCCTCCCAAAGTGCTGGGATTACAGGCGTGAGCTACCACACTCGGCCATCTCTTAATAATCTTAAATTTAAATTTAGCCAAAATTGTATTGCATTTTCCCTTAGTTTTTAGTGTTATAGAAGGAACAACTGAAGGTGTTTCCTTTTTGTTCTGTTGTAGATGGCTTCTTTTTTCCTCTGGTTGAATACTTATATGCCTTTTGAATCCATTCATATGACTTAAGAGTTGTTAGAACACCTTTCACTGGGGGCTTCTCTCATCAGTTTAGGTTGGAACATGGTAAATACAAATTTTCCTCTGCATATTGGTTATTTTTTTAACTCTTTAAAGTTTTCATGAATGATTTAATTTAATTTTTTTAGTTTTTGAGATGGAGTCTCGTTCTGTCCCCCAGGCTGGAGTGCAGTGGTGCAATCTGGGCTCAGGGAAACCTCTGCCTCCCAGGTTCAAGTGATTCTCCTCCCTCAGCCCCTCGAGTAGCTGGGATTACAGGCATGCACCACCATGCCTGGCTAATTTTTGTATTTTTAGTAGAGATGGGCTTTCACCATGTTGGCCAGGCCTGTCTTGAACTCCTGACCTCAGGTGATCTGCCCGCCTTGGCCTCCCAGGGTGCTGGGATTACAGGTGTGAGCCACGGTGCCTGACCTCATGAATGCTTTTAAATCAAAGCTCTCTTTTCAGCCTCTCTTGTTTCCTCCTCAAGAATTCACAGTATTTAAGTCATTCTGGGTTATCTGTTATTTTCTTGGTCTTCATTTTTACCTCCATATCTCCTCCCATTCATCCCGAGCACCTAACTTTTCCTACAAATTTCAGGTTTGTCTTCTGTATAATCAAATCTGTTTCCTTTTTCCTTAACCAGCCATAAAGCAGAGATATACTTTACGATGACAAATGTTTTCTTGCCATTCTTCCTGGTCTCACCAGCAACCCTTTAAATTTCAACCACTTAATTTACATGTGACCCCTGATTCTCCCTTTGCCATTTGCTTTCCTGACCCTGAACTGGTGGCACGCATGACAAAGCCTGCCCCCTGCCCCTGCATCACCTCTCCACCTCCTGAGGCTCTTTGCTCACTCAAGAGCTTGGAGCCGCCCACCAACCCTGCAACGCCCTCCTTGGTCACCCCTCTCTCCCAGTCACTATGTCATTTAGTTAGTTTCCTCTTTGAGATAAAAGTAGAAAGTCCGGCTCGGAAGGGACTCTTAACTATCGACAAACCCACACCCACACCCTATGGGAATGGCTGAGCTGTTTTTCTGTGCATACAGACCTGCGATTCTGAGCATGGTGATGGACGAAAATCAGAGCTCCAGAGGGGCGCTGTTGGATTTATCTTTGTAATTAGTGGCATCTCCTTCCACATTCTGGTAAAAGTTTGCCTGCCAGTCATAGTTTCACTGTTCTTATAGGGTTCCCCCTTTTTCTATATCTTCTTTTCTGTATCTTTTTTTCCCCTTAGTGGAAACTAGGGAGAGACCACATTTTAAAATGAGACCAATATGCACGGGATTTTAATTCAAAATGGGTTCTTCTTCCCTAGCCATTATTCTTTGGTGGTGGATCTCAGTTTTCCCGAATTATCTTTAAAATGTCTATAATACCACATGCATATAATAACAAAGGAGAGATGACATTCCTAGATCAAATCAGCCTGAAGGGTTTGTTTTCTCCTTAAGTCATGCTGTGGGAGAAAAATATGATGTGGGTGGTGACGCTTTGTAGTGGAATTAAGCCTGGTTTGAATTCGGAAATCTAGACTTGACCTCTACTGCCCCATGTGACTGTGGGTTTCTGGTTCCTGACCCATAAATGGAAAAGGCAGGGCTGAAAGCTCTCACAGTCTCATTGACTCTGGCCTGCTACATATTTCGTAATCATCGTATTCAACATTGGATGCCATTTTGTCTTTCTGTTGCTCAGCAAAGCTTGGGGCAGGAAGATGGTATTGTTCTGTGGCGGGAGTGTGGAATGGTGTGTTAGAGTTGGCAGGAGGTGACTTGACTTTTTGGTGCCGGATGTTTCAGTGTGTCTTTATTCCTTGGATACTCCATGGGGTGAACCAGGGGAGGAGTTGCATGCCAAAGAAGGTTTTTCTTTAAGGAAATTAAGGTCGAACAGCGGATGGGTTGAGACACTAATGGTCCCTGATAAGGGGTAATCAGATCACTTGAAAGGCAGGGTTTAGCAATAAAGTACCAGGCTCCCTTCAAACGGGAGTTCCGAAGTGAATGTTTGGAATGAATTCTTTTCTCTGTAAATTTTTAATCAGCTCAAAAATTCTCAAGGAACAATTTAGTCCTTCCTCTCCTCTGTTCTTACTTAGCTTCTTTTGATCTTGACCTTAAGTGGACATGTGAATATGTATACATAGGAAACAATTGCTTGTCAGCCAGGGGTTTTTGCCCATATCACAAGACTTTCAAAATCTTTTTTTCAATGACTTTGAGAATCTGAAATGCCATTTATTTTAGTAGGCTTTTCATAGCCATACATGTACGTTTTTTGGAATTGATCCATTGAATTTGAAATATCAAGTTCCAATGTTCTTATCATGGATTCCTTTAAAATACAGTTATCTGGTCTTACAGATTTGATTCTACAGATAATAGAGGGACTATTTCTGAACGCTGCAGGGAAGATGAACTCTTGCATTTTAGTGTTATTTCACGGAGATTCTTTCTTTGGATTTTAAGTCAATGGGACCTCACATCTGTCCAGAGACTGGGCTGGAGCTTTTTTTACAGGCACTTAAGCCCTTCCTTCACACCTCACTGCATTTTGTCCTTCTGGTCTCAAGTTACAAGGGCCTAGATTTTAGGATCTTTTCTCTCCCTGGATATTTTATCAGCTTCGTATCTGGGCCAATATTGTTTCTTGCCAGCTGAAGGAAGATGCAAAACCTGGGTTCTCTGAAGCAGACATAGAGATGGAGTTTGGTGTGCAGCATATCAGTAGGAAACAATGTCTAATGAAGAAAGTAGGGCAGGGAGAGTAGGCTAAGGAGGGAGATGCCCACCCATAATACAGGCCTGACAACACCTCTGCCAGCCTAGAAGTGGGGAGCTCTACAGCGAGCATGACCCTTCAGCACTGAAATTCTGAAGTAGCTGGTCCTCTTGTTCAGTCACTCGGTGTAGACTGCACCAGAAGACCATGACATTGGGCGAGGTCTTTCTATAGCTCAGGCAACACTAAAGGAGTTGACAGCTTGGGCAGCAAGCTCTTCTTTTTTTTTTTTAACTTTTATTTTAGGTGCAGGGTCCATGTGAAGGTTATATAGGTAAACTCATGTCATCGGGGTTTATTGTACAGGTTATTTCATCACCCAGGTATTAAACCTAGTACCCAGTAGTTATCTTTTCTGCTTCTCTCCCTCCTCCCACCCTCCACCTTCAAGTAGACTCCAGTGTCTGTTGTTCCCTTCTTTGTGTCCATGTGTTCTCTTCATTTAGCTCCCACTTATAAGTGAGACCATGGGGTATTGGGTTTTCTGTTCCTGTTTAGTTTGCTAAGGATAATGGCCTCCAGCTCCATCCATGTTCCTACAAAAGACATGATTTAGTTCTTTTGTTATGCCTGCACAGTATTCCATGGTGTATATGTACCATATGTTCTTTATCCAATCTGTCATTGATGGGCATTTAGGTTGATTCCATGTCTTTGCTGCTGTGAATGGTGCCACAGTGAACATTCACATGCATGTGTGTTTATGGTAGAATGATTTATATTCCTTTGGGTATATTCCCAGTAATAGGATTGCTGAGTCAAATGGTAGTTCTGTTTTTAGCTCTTCAAGGAATCGCCATACTGCTTTCCACAATGGTTGAACTAATTTATACTCCCACAAACAGTGTATATGTGTTCTTTTTTCTCCACAACCTCCCTGCATCTGTTATTTTTCACTTTTTAATGATGGCCATCCTGACTGATGTGAGATGGTATCTCATTGTGGTTTTGATTGCAAGCCCTTCTTTGAAGGAGGATCTGGATAGGCAGCACATCTCTATGTCCACTATATCCTCTGGATTTCATATCCTTTTGTGGAATTAAATTACATAATACTTCTAAAGGTCTATAGTATGAAGTATGCCACTGAAATTGCTTAGAATAGGCTTTCCAATGTTATGGATCCCTTATGTTACATATTCATGTGGAACATGCTTTTGAACAACTCTGACCACTTGATTCCTCTAATGTCATTGCTGCATTCAGGATACCTTGGTGACTTACCCTAAATGAATCAGTGCCACGCAGTGACCACTTCCCAGCTGTGTCACCTTGCACAAGTCACTTAACCTCCTTGGGCTCCAGTCTCGTCATTTATAATGTGGGTGAGACTGATAACCCCCATATTTCATAGCATTATTGTAAGAATTACTGACGAGAACATACACAAGGTATCCTAATATGCCACTGATATAGTTTGCATGTCTGTCCCCTCTAAATCTCATGTGATCCCTAATGTTAGATGTGGGGCCTGGTGGGAGGGGTTTGGGGCATGCGGATCTCTCATGAATAACTTAGTGGTGTCCTCGTGGTAATCAGTGAGTCTCGCTCCATTAGTTCATGTGAGAACTGATGGCTTAAAGGAGTGCGGGACCTCCCCCTTCCCCCTCTTGCTGGCTCACTCACCATGTGACACACCTGCTCCCCCTTTGCCTTCCACTATGATTGGAAGCTTCCTGAGGCCCCATTAGAAGCTAATGCCAGCACCATGCTTCCTGTACCGTTTGCAGAACCATGAGCCAAAATAAAATATCTATGCTTTATAAATTACCCAGCCTCGGGCATTCCTTTATAGTAATGCAAAACTGACTAACAGCCACATACTAGGGGTTTGCTAAATGGAAACTAGACATTTAAAAGAACGCTTATGTCTTCCACAAACATTCTGGAGCATACATCATGGCTTGGCCATGGAGTGATGCACTTGTTTCCATTATCTCATTGAGTCTTCACAAGGTTACTTGGCTAGGGCTATGGTAACAAAGTACCACAAACTAAATGGCTTAGAACAACAGAGTGTATTGTTTGACAGTTCTGGAGGCTAGTAAAAAATCCAGAGGAAGTAAAAAGGCAAAGTGTTGGGAGGGTCCTGTCTGTTCTCTCTGAAGCCTGTAGGGGAAAAATCTTTCCTTGCCTCTTCCAGCTTTTCTGGTAGTTCCAGACAGTCCTTGGTTTGTGGCAGCAGAATTCCAATCTCTGCCTCCATCTTCACTTTGTGTTTTCTGTATGCATATTTGTTTTGGGGCCCAAATTTTCCCCTTATTTTTATAAGGACACCAGTCATATTGGATTAGAGCTCACCTCAATGACCTTGTCTTTACTCGATTAATTCTGTAAAGATTCCGTCTTCAAATAACGTCACGTTAATAGGTACTACAAGTTTGAACTCCAACGCATTTTTTGAGGAGACAGAATTCACCATAACACTCACTCAGTAGGTATTATGATCCATATTTCATTAGGTGAGTGAACTAAAACACAGAGAAACCAAAGCAAGGACTTGAACCCAAACCTCTGAGGCTCTCCAACTCATGGCATGCCCTTTCCACCAACATCTGGCTGCCTCCATGTATAAAACCTCTCAGTGGGCCGGGCATGGTGGCTCATGCCTATAATCCCAGCACTTTGGGAGGCTGAGGCGGGTGGATCACCTGAGGTTGGGAGTTAAAGACCAGCCTGACCAACATGGAGAAACCCTGTCTCTACTAAAAATATAAAATTAGCCGGGCGTGGTGGCACATGCCTGTAATCCCAGCTACTTGGGAGGCTGAGGCAGGGGAATCACTTGAACCTAGAAGGCGGAGGTTGCGGTGAGCTGAGATTGCGCCATTGCACTCCAGCCTGGGCAACAAGACCGAAATTTCATCTCAAAAACCAAACCAAACAAACAAACAAACAAAACAACAACAACAACAAAAAGTTTCTTAGTGAACTGGCAGAGTTTCAAAGTTTAGGGATAATTGGAGCCTCAAGTTGCTGCAATAGAATTAATTCTTATTGGGCAAAATGGACTAAATCTGCAAGTATAATAGTTTGTGGGCCATTTTGCTCAAGAAAACGGCCATGAGTGGTGCCTACATGTGTCTGTGCTTGGCAAGGGTTTCAAATCTGGTTTTACCATCTCTGCCTTTTACTTGGAATTTCTGGTTCTGTTTTTAACCACCAAGGCCTCAGTTTCTTCCCATGAAAAGGAAGCTGGCAATTCCTGTTCCATAAACTATGAGATGAGATTGATTAAAAAACATTTTTGTCTTTAGTTGATAGTTCAACAACTTCAGTAACATATGCTGTATTAATCTAGTCCTGATAATAATAATGGTACCAGTCTTTATTGATCATCTCCTCTCTGCCAGGCATTTAGGACCTGTTAATGGCATTATGGGAGTTTCCGTGTAGAGTGGCTCTGGGAGGGGACCTCTGGTTCTGGCTTTGCAGGTCATCTATGTCTTTCTCTACTCTCCAAGTGTACCCTTTCCATTAAGTTGATAATGATCAGTCATCTTGCAAGTATGAAGACATCATTTCATCCTTTCAATTTCTATTGAAAAAACCCAACAAATAGAACAAGGCTGCTGTACAGAGTAGGGGTCAATATATTAGGGCCCATGGGCCATATCCAGTGCACCATCTACTTTTGGAAATAAAGTTTTATTGGAGCACAGCCATGCCAGTTTATTTATGCCTTTTATATGGCTGCTTTTGTATTACAATGAGCAGAAGTGAGTAGTGAAACAGAGACTCTCTGACGCCACAAAACTTAAAACATTTACTGTCCCGCTTTTTACAAAGTTTGCTGACCTCTGGTCTAGAGGACTTACAGGGATCATCAGCACCATCGATAATGGACCATTTGAAGATGTGAGACCCTTGAGGTGAAGAATCTAAGACCAAACATTCACCCAAAATAGCAGCTGATAGGCAGATGCAGAGAGAGTGTTGCTTTACACATCGTAAAACTCAATATGGAGAGTGATGATGTTGATATGGTACTGGATGGCAAAAGTCGAATCCAGGATCAACACTTCACTATTAAAAAGCATGGGATGCTTTTCCATGCTCTTGCCTGATTGCTCTGGCTAGGATTTCCAGTACTATGTTGAAGAGGAGTGGTGAGAGTGGGCATCCTTCTCTTGTTCTAGTTCTCGGAGGGAATGCTTTCAACTTTTCCCCATCCAGTACTATGTTGACTGTGGGTTTAGCATAGATGGCTTTTATTGCATTGAGGTATGTCCCTTGTATGCTGATTTTGCTGAGAGTTTTATCATAAAGGGATGCTGGCTTTTGTCGAATGCTTTTTCTGCATCTATTGAGATGATCACATGGTTTTTGTTTTTAATTTTGTTCATGTGGTGTATCACATTTATTGACTTGCATATGTTAAACCATCCCCGCATCCCTGGTATAAAACTCACTTGATCATTGTGGATTATCTTTTCGATAGGTTGTTGGATTCGGTTAGCTAGTATTTTGGTAAGGGTTTTAGCATCTACGTTTGATATGGTTTGGCTGTGTCCCCACCCAAATCTCAACTTGAATTATATCTCCCAGAATTCTCTCATGTTGTGGGAGGGACCCAGGGGGAGGTAATTGAATCATGGGGGCTGGTCTTTCCTGTGCTATTCTTGTGATAGTGAATAAGTCTCAAGAGATCTGATGGGTTTATCAGGGGTTTCCGCTTTTGCTTCTTCCTCATTTTCTCTTGCTGCTGCCATGGTAAGAACTGCCTTTTGCCTCCTACCATGATTCTGAGGGCTCTCCAGCCATGTGGAACTGTAAGTCCAATTAAACCTCTTTTTCTTCCCAGTCTCAGGTATGTCTTTATCAGCAGTGTGAAAACAGACTAATACAATATACATCAGGGATATTGGTCTCTAGGTTTCTTTTTTGATTATGTCCTTTCCTGGTTTTGATATGAGGGTGATGCTAGCTTCATAGAATGAATTTAGGAGGATTCCTTCTTTCTCTACCTTGTGGAATAGTGTCAAAAGGATTGGTACCAATTCTTCTTTGAATGTCTGGTAGAATTCTACTGTGAATACATCTGGCCCTGGGCTTTCTTTGTTGGTAATTTTTAAATTACCATTTCAATCTCACTGCTTGTTATTAGTCTGTTTGGGGTATCTAATTCTTCCTGATTTAGGCTAGGAGGGTTGTATTTTTCCAGGAATTTGTCCATCTCTTTTAGGTTTGCTAGTTTATGTCCGTAAAGGTGTTCATAGTAGCCTTGAAAGATCTTTTGTATTTCCATGGTGTTAGTTGTAATATCTCCTGTTTCATTTCTTAATGAGGTTATTTGGATTTTCTCTCTTCTTTTCTTGGTTAATCTTCCTAATGGCCTATCAATTTTATTTATCTTTTCAAATAACCAGCATTTTTGTTTTATTTATCTTTTTTGGTTTCAATTTCATTTAATTCTGCTCTGATCTTAATTATTTCCTTTCTTCTGCTGGGTTTGGGTTTGGTTTGTTCTTGTTTCTCTAGTTCCTTGACTTGTGACCTTAGAATGTCAGTTTGTGCTCTTTCAGTTTTTTTGATGTAGACGTTTAGGGCTATGAACTTTCCTCTTAGCATTGCCTTTGCTGTATCTCAGAGGTTTTGATAGGTTGTGTCATTATTGTCATTCAGTTCAAAGAATTTTTATTTTTCCATCTTGATTTCATTTTTGACCCAATGATCATTCAGGAGCAGATTATGTAATTTCCATGTATTTGCGTAGTTTTGAACGTTCATTTTGGAGTTGATTTCCAGTTTTATTCCACTGTGGTCTCAGAGAGTGCTTGATGTAATTTCAGTTTTCTTAAATTTATTAAGGCTCATTTTGTGGCCTATCATATGGTCTATTTTGGAGAAAGTTCCATGTGCTGTTGAATAGAATGTGTATTTTGTTGTTGGATGAAATGTTCTGTATATATCTGTTAAGTTTATTTGTTCCAAGGTATAGTTTAAATTCATTGTTTCTTCGTTGACTTTCTATCTTGATGACCTGTCTGTTGCTCTCAGTGGAGTAATTGAAGTCTCCTACTATTATTGTGTTGCTGTCTGTCTCATTTCTTAGGTCTATTAGTAATTTTTTAAATAAATTCGGGAGCTCCAGTGTTAGGTCCACATATGTTTAGGGTTGTGATATTTTCCTGTTGGACCAGGCCTTTTGACATTATATAGTGCCCCTCTTTGTCTGTTTTAACTGCTGTTGCTTTAAAGTTTGTTTTGTCTGAAATAAGAATACCTACCCCTGCTCGCTTTTGGTGTCCATTTGCATGAAATGCCTTTTTCCACCCCTTTACTTTAAGTTTATGTGAGTCCTTATGTGTTAGGTGAGTCTCCTGAAGGCAGCAGATAGTTGGTTGGTGAGTTCTTTTCCATTCTGCAGTTCTGTATCTTTAAAGTGGAACATTTAGGTCATTTACTTTCAGTGCTGATATTGAGATGTGAGGCACCATTGCATTCATCATGCTATTTGTTGCCTGTGTACCTTGATTTTTGTTTTTGTTATTTAAATTGTAGTTTTGTTTTGTAGGTCCTATGTGATTTATGTTTTAAAGAGGTTCTGTTTTGATGTGTTTCCAGGATTTGCTTCAAGATTTAGAGCTCCTTTTTGCAGTTCTTGTAGTGGTGGCTTGATAGTGTCAAATTCTCCCAGTATTTGTTTGTCTGAAAAAGACTGTATCTTTCCTTCATATATGATGCTTAGTTTTGCTGGATACAAAATTCTTGACTGATAATTGTTTTGTTTGAGGAGGCTGAAGATAGGACCCCAATCCCTTCTAGATTGTAGGGCTTCTGCTGAGAAATCTGCTGTTAATCTGATAGGTTTTCCTTTATAAGTTACCTGGTTCTTTTGTCTCACAGCTCTTAAGATTCTTTCCTTAATCTTAACTTTAGATAACTTGATAACAATGTGCCTTGGCGATGATCTTTTTGTGACAAATTTCCCAGGTGTTCTTTGTGCTTCTTGTATTTGGATGTCTAGGTCTCTAGCAAGGCCAGGAAAGTTTTCCTCAATTATTCCCCCAAATATGTTTTCCAAACTTTTAGATTTCTCTTCTTCCTCAGGAACATTGATTATTTTTGGTTTGGTTGTTTAACATAATCCCAGACTTCTTGGAGGCTTTGTTCATATTTTCTTATTCTTTTTTCTTTGTCTTTGTTTGGATTGGGTTAATTCAAAGACCTTGGCTTCAAGCGCTGCATTTCTTTCTTCTACTTGTTCAATTCTATTGCTGAGGCTTTCCAGAGCATTTTGCATTTCTGTAAGTGTGTCCAATGTTTCCTGAAGTTTTGATTGTTTTTTCTTTATGTTATCTATTTCCTTGAATATTTCTGTCTTCACTTCTTGTATCACTTTTTGGATTTCCTTGCACTGGGCTTCTCCTTTCTCTGGTGCCTATCTGATTAGCTTAATAACTAACCTGAATTCTTTTTCAAGTAAATCAGGGATATCTTCTTGGTTTGGATCCATTGCTGGTGTTTTGGGTGTGTTAAAGAGCCTTGTTTTGTCATATTACCAGAGTTAGTTTTCTGGTTCCTTCTCATTTGGGTAGGCTCTGTCAGAGGGAAGGTCTAGGGCTGAAGGCTGTTGTTCAGATTATTTTGTCCCATTGGGTGTTCCCTTGATGTAGTACTTTCCCCATTTTCCTGTGGATGTGGCTTCCTGTGAACCGAGCTACAGTGATTATCATCTCTCTTCTGGGTCTAGCCACCCATCATGTTTACCTGGCTTCGGGTTGGTACTGGGGGTTGTCTGCACAGAGTCCTGTAATGTGAACCATCTGTGGGTCTCAGTCGTGTATACCAGCACCTGTTCCAGTGGAGGTGGCAGGGGGGCGAAATGGGCTCAATGAGGGTTCTTAGCTTTGGTGGTTTAATGCTCTGTTTTTGTGCTGGTTGGCCACCTGCTGAGAGGTGGTGCTTTCTAGAGAGCATCAGCTGTGGTAGTGTGGAGAGGAAACAGTGGTAGGTGGGGCCCTAGAACTCCCCAGAGTACATACCCTTTGTCTTCAGCTACCAGGGTGGGTAGAAGGCCCATCAGGTGGGGGCAGGGCTAGGCGTGTCTGAGCTCAGACTCTACTTGGGAGGGTCTTGCTGCAGCTGCTGTAGGGGATGGGGGTGAGGTTCCCAGGTCAATGGAGTTGTGTACCTATAAGGATTATGGCTGCTACTGCTGAGTCATGCAGGTTGTCAGGGAAGTCGGGGAAAGCCGGCAGTCACAGGCCTCACCCAGCTCCCATGCAAACCGCAGGAGTGGTCTCACTCCCACTGTGCCCCCACTAACAGGCCTGAGTCTGTTTCCAGGCAGTGGGTGAGCGGGGCTTGAGAACTTGCCCCAGGCTACCTGCCTCCCAGCTGTGAAAGAAAAGGGCATGGTTCTTCCCCTCTCTGTAAAGTCTGCAATGCTGGATTCACGCCCTCCCCCAAGTTCTGGCCAGGAGGCTTCTTGTCTGGTTCAAATTGTTACAAAGTTCAGCTGAAGACTTCCTTCTCCCTGTGGCATTTTCTTCTGTGCCTCTGGCCGTCTTCCCAAAGGATCTCTGTGGTGCCAGGCAGGAATGGCCTGCTTGGGGACCCAGCGAGCTCCCAAGGCCTTTCTTGCTGCTTCCTCTACCCCTGTATTTTGCTTGGCTCTCTAAATTGACTCAGCTCCAGGTAAGGTTGGAAACTTGTCCTGCAAACTAAACCTTCAGTTTCGCCCGTGGGGATGTGTGCTCAGGAGTGGAGGATCTCCCTTTCCCACTTCTGCAGTTTGAGCAATCACAGTATTTGGAGTGTCTCCCGGGTCCTGCAGGAGCAGTCCACTTCCTTCAGAGGGTCTGTGGGCCCTCTTGGGGTTCCTGGTTTGTTCTTGCAGTCGTTCTGGAGCCAAAATTCATGATGCAAGCCTGTGCACACTGCTCTGTCCATCTGAATTGGAGCTGCAATCTAGTCTTGCCTCTCGTCTGCCATAATGATCATCTCCCCAGAGGTTTTGATAAGTTGTATCACTGTAATCATTTATTTCAAAGAATTTTTCTATTTCCATCCTAATTTCATTGTTAACCCAAAGATCATTCAAGAGCAGATTATATTCAATTTCCATGTATTTGTAGAATGTTGACACTTCCTTTTGGAGTTGATTTTCAGTTTTATTCTGCTAAGTGATCCTTCTGCCTCAGCCTCACAAAGTGCTAAGATTACAGGTGTGAGCCACTGCAACTGGCTCAGTAATATATTTTTTAAATAAAAAATACAAACATCCATGATGAGCAAAATATTAAAATTTTAAATAAAGACAGGATCTGACAGGGTGGGGGAGGGGAGTTGTGTAAGTGCAAAGTGGATCCTAAAAAGTAGTTACATTACTATTGGGATAATGTCACATCATAATTGAATAATAAAGTCATACTTCCCAACCATTTTAACATAATAGGATATTTGTAACTTTAAAATATGCAGCAGAGAAGGGACGAAGAGCCTAGTGAACTTGTAGAAAGAGAGGAGAGAAGTTTAAGCGCTACAATGTGAAACACTGTCTCAAGGTGCTAGAGCTTTCTAATAACTTGGCATCACATTCAGAAGGGTTAATTTTAAGAGATATTTATCCCAATGATTGCTGATTATAATGCTCGAATAGATCCTGTACTTTGTGCTAAGACTACATTAATTAGAGTTTTTCTGAGGCTGTGTGATGGGCTGGAACCATTGTGCTACTGGGACTCTGCCGCTTACCAGCTGGGAGCTGTTGGGAAGGTAATTGACCTTTCTGGATCCTAATTTCATAATCTTTAAAATAAGGATAATGCCTGCTTTGTCGACTTCATGGAGTTCTTGTGGGGCCCGAATGAGATAATGGTGCTGAAAGTGCTTTGTAAAATTGTGCTGATCTGTGAAGTTAACAATTGTTATTTCATGGTGGGTTCATTTTTTGAAGTCAGAAAAGGGAGCCAAAACTAATATCCACCCTACATACTGTGTCATGCAGGACTTTTCTGTGTGTAGTTATGTTTGGACGGGACATGATTTGACTCATAGTCTCTCTGAATCCATGTGTTATTGAATTAGAGACACAATAGCCAACAAGTCGATGCAGCCATGGGTAAAGATTATGACACCAAGAACTGGCAGGGGATTGCAGATTTCAGGTGTTTTGTAAAGGAAGGTATCTCCAAATGTGCATGAAGCTTTTGGGTATGGCTCAAGGTTGAAATAAGGGACAAGAGTCAGGTTTGTAGGTTGGATGACTGAGAGATGAAAATATTCTTGGTTCAGTCAGATTCTTCGTTGAAATTAAACTGGTTTTGGGTGCCTCAGAAGTGGTGGAATTCCTGGTCAGAGATGGACATACCAAAGAAGATGGGCTGTCATTTAGTCATCATCTCAGTAGTCTGGTCATTCACCTGTATGGGCAAAAATATCCCAATATACTACCTTTTCTATGAGACAGGGTCCTGCTCTGTCACCCAGGCTGGAGTGCAGTGGCACAATCTCGGCTCACTGCAACCTCTGCCTCTTGGTCTCACACGATCCTCCCACCTTAGCTTTCCGAGTTGCTGGGACTACAGGTGGGCCCACTATGCCTGACTAATTTTTGTATTTTTTGTAGAGATGGGGTTTTGCCGTGTTGTCCAGGCTAGTCTCGAACTCCTGAACTCAAGCAATCCACCCACCTTGGGCTCCGAAAATGTTGGGATTAAAGGCGTCAGCCATCATGCCTGGTCCATGTGCCATCTTTTTTTTTTTTTTTTTTTTTTAGTTGGAGTCTTACTCTGTTGCCCAGGCTGGAGTGCAGTGGCACAATCTTGGCTCACTGCAAGCTCTGCCTCCTGGGTAGGGTTCCTGCCATTCTCCTGCCTCAGCCTCCCGAGTAGCTGTGACTACAGGTGCCCAGCACCATGCCTGGCTAATTTTTTTTGTATTTTTGTAGAGACGGGGTTTCACTGTGTTAGCTAGGATGGTCTCTATCTCCTGACCTCGTGATCCTTGGCCTCCCAAAGTGCTGGGCTTACAGGCGTGAGCCACTGCACCCGGCCCCATATGCCATCTTTTAAGGACAGTAAAAGCGTATATAATGTGTTTTGAAAAAGATGTATATTTTCCCGAATATGTAAAAGTAACTTAAATAATTATAAATAAATATATTTATGTCGAAACAAAATATGGAAAAAGCGACTTACACATTTTGAGACCTTGAAACTTTGGAAAAAACTCTGCTTGATGAAAGAACAAGGAAACAGGCCATTTGTTAAAGAAACAATATTGAAAGCTCTTTAAGCAGCACCTCTTTGACCTTGTTAGGTTTGAACCATCCACCTCAATCTAACATTGGTATTTGGCTGCTGGAAATGCTTGGCAGGTAGAGTGTTTTGGTTTCATTTGATATTCTAGAATACTATGCGGCTTTTTCCCCTGAACTATAGAGCTTTAGATTTGGTGGGCCCCACCCAAATTTCAACACCAACCAAGCTTTTGTATTAAGTTTAGAGTGGGAGATTGTTTGGACAAATAATTCATACCCTTTGATGGGAAGGGAAGAGCTGTTTCAGGAAAAAGATTGTGTGTGTGCCAGGTATAGGGGCCCTAGACCTCAATTCGCCAGTGCATTAACCTGTCCATTAAAGGGATTGCATTTTTATTAGATCCTGTCAAGCTGTTGATTGAAAAAATAAAAGTGGCCTTTGAATTTTTTACCAGCTATGACAGGATAAAGAAGGCACAACCAAAGAAAGGGCTGGAAACTGTGAACAATTAATGTTAGCATTCTTCTCCCAGCTCATTCTGCAAGAACAACCACCCATTTCCTCAATTAATCTGGCCAGGACTAGCCCGGTGCATTACATAAGGTGGGCTGTGCCTCCCTGTTAAGATAGAAGGGCCTTAAAATGCTTATTTTCTGAATTTCTATTCTACTCTCCTTGCAAGTCTCCCCCAAGGAAGGCACAGGTAGCAGCAGCAGTGTGGTGGAAGGGGAGGGCAGTGATAAGTTTAGGAAGGTGAAGTGGTATAACTTTAAAAGGGTAGGACTTAGCAAGGGCCTCAGGAATTTAGGGCGAAAGAAGACACCAATTAGGTGGTTGTGGAGGAGTTCTGAAAAGGGCGAATAGCCATGGAAATGGGAAAGGGTCAGAAATTAGCACAAACATCACGTAGTTCATCACCTAAATATGACAAGCCCCTGTTGCATTTTTAAGCCAGAAGCGCCACTGATCCTCTCCAAGAGTCATTGTACTCCTAAGAATAAAGGGCCATGCAAGAAGTCTTCCCTACAGTATTTTGTGGGTTCCCAGCACTCATTCCTTGCACTGATTAGATTTATACACTACATGTAAAGTTCTAATTTCTAACTTTCCATATTTCTCAAGGCAGCAACTTGTGTGTGCATTGCTTGGAGGAAATTTTTTGCAATAATCAGTTATAGCAGCTTTTTATAAACAGGAGGAGCAATCTATTGTAAACTTGGCTGCTTTCCAGGTTTTTAACAATCAGTTCTTTTTCTGTTATGTCAGTGTGGAGCTTATTCTGACTGAGGGTGGGGTAACGTGAATCAATATTGTTTTAACAAAAACCAAATAATTTATTACAAGCATGTCTTAATCACAAGGATAAAATTTATAGGCAAAACGGTTCTCTTCTGTCACAATGGTTTTATTTTGATTTGTGGTTTGTATAAATGGAATGATTAAATTGAAACTGAACTGGAAATTGTGATTTAAATTCTGTCAACCTGGTCTGTCTGTAAAAAGTGGTTCTTATTCCAAATAAAATGTTCTTCAGATCTGAGAATGAAACAAACACCATTTTAAATGTTTCTTAAAACCCAACAGTCAAGTTGTCTGGGATCTGCTTTTATTCCAATTTCTTCTGTTATTAATGAAAAATTTCAGGGTGCTTAATAAGAATCAAGTCACCAGTTAGATCATTTGTTACAAAGGAGGGCGGGGGACCTCCTGCCAGGATGTGGAAGGTCCTGGCCAGTGCTCTTGCTGCAACAATTGGGAGAAAATAGATACAATTTAAATTTACAAAAAGCATATTTTTGTAGGCACAGAGATCTAAGAAAGCAAGGAGGGAATCCTTTTAGGATGAACTGGCCATTACCATCTACTCTCCACCCCTCTGGGGTCACTGACCAATTTCTGGGTATGGAATGAGAAACAAACGGTTGGATAGTCTCCCCATCAAGACATTTTTGGCTGCACTAGTGGGAAGATAGAGAGCTAAGGTCAACATCTCTGAAGGGCAAAGCTGAAACTCCCGGGATCCTTTATGGCTGAAGAGCCAAAGACCCCACCAGCATCACCACGAACGCTAGGATTCCCATATCATAGAAATGGAGGAAAAGCAGAGGTACGATGAGTCTTACAAAAACCAAAACCTAACCCATTTTCAGCTTAACCCACGATTGGATTGAAATGATCAGTCCTTTACAATATCCACTTAATAGAGGAAAGAAAATTCTCCTTAGTGGATGATAAAGTCACCTGGAGTGTTTGCAGTTTTTAATGTCTGGAATACAATGGAAAATTATCAGACATGCAAAAGTCTTGATTTTTGTGATAGAGCCTTGCTCTGTTGCCCAGGCTGGAGTGTAGTAGAGTGATCGTAGCTCATCACAGCCTTGACCTTCTAGGCTCAAGTGATCTGCTTCAGCCTCCCAAGTTTGACTTTTGCATGTTTTATAATTTGGCTGCAAGAGAAAAACAGATAAAAAGACCCACAGATGATCAAATATTAAAATTAGCAGAACCATCCTGGGCAACACAGTGAGACCCCATCTCCACAAAAAAATTAAAAAATTAGCGGGGCATGGTGATGTGTGCCTATAGTCCCAGCTATGTGGGAGGCTGAGGCAGTAGGGTCACTTGAGCCCAGGAGATTGAGGTTGTAGTGAGCTGTGATCACATGAGTGCAGTCCATCCTGAGTGACAGAACAAGACCCTGTTTCATAAAAATAAAATAAAAATAAAAATAGTAGATAAGGACTTAAAGCTAACTATGATTAATATGCTCAAAAATAGAGAAAATGGACAAAACAGATAAAAGGATAGACTTTTGCCACATACTAAAAATCTATAAGAAATCAAATGGATATTCTATAATGGGAAAAATACAATATCTGAAATTAGGAGTATATTGAGCTTAGCAGTTAACTGGACACAGCAGAACACAGGACCAATGAACACGTAGGGCCAGATTTAAAAAAAAATAGGTGTGTAAGACCCATGCCAAATATGCTGAAAAGGTCGAATATATACAAAATTGAATTCCCTGAGTGAATGGAGGAAGATAATGTAGCTGAAAAAATTTTTAGTGATAATGGCTGAGAATTTTACCAAACTGAACCCTTAGATTCAAGAAGCACTTGGAGGCCAGGTGCAGTGGCTCATCCCTGTAATCCTAGGACTTTGGGAGGCCAAGGCAGGTGGATTGCCTGAGCCCAGGAGTTCAAGACCAGCCTGGGCAATATAGTGAAACTCGTCTCTGCAAAAATACAGAAAATTAGCCAGGCGTGGTGGCACATCTGTAGTCCCTGCTATTCGGGGGGCTGAGGAGGGAAGATTGCTTGAGCCCAGGAGGTGGAGATTGTAGTCAGTCGAGATCACACCACTGCATTCCAGCCTGAGCGACAGAGATCCTGTCTCAAAAAAAAAGGAAGCACATGGGATTTTGAATGATAGAAATACAAACAAAAACATACCTAGAAACGTCATAGTAAAACTGCTGAAGGCCAAAGTAAAAAAAATCAAACCTTAAAAACAACTTGAGCTTCATCCATGTCCCTCCAAAGGACATGATCTCATTCTTTTTTATGGCTGCATAGTATTCCATGGCGTATATGTGCCACATTTTCTTTATCCAGTCTATCATTGATGGGCATTTGGGTTGGTTCCAGGTCTTTGCTATTGTAAATAGTGCTGCAATAAACATGCATGTGCATGTGTCTTTATAGTAGAATGATTTCTGATCCTTTGGGTATATACTCGGTAATAGGATTGCTGGGTCAAATGGTATTTCTCTTTCTAGATCCTTGAGGAATGGCCACACTGTCTTCCACAATGGTTGAACTAATTTACACTCCCTCCATCATTCTCAGCAAACTAACACAGGAACAGAAAACCAAACACCACATGTACTCACTCATAAGTGGGAGTTGAACAATAAGAACACATGGACACAGGGAGAGGAACATCACACACCGGGGCCTGTCACGGGGTCGGGGGAATGGAAGGGAGAGCATCAGGACAAATACCTAATTCATGCAGGGCTTAAAACCCACATGACGGGTTGATAGGTGCAGCAAACCACCATGGCACACGTATACTTATGTAACAAACCTGCATGTTCTGCACATGTATCCCAGAACTTAAAACAAAAAACACAAACAAACCAAAACAACTTCAGAAAAAGACACATTACCCTTCAAAAAGCCATGGCAAAACTGACAGCTGAATGCTCATGAGACACAGTGGCATCCAGAGGACAATAAAACATGTTTCAAGTGAAGAAAAAGAAAACCCACCACAGAAATAGAATGAAAAATATTTTCAATAGTGAAAGTGAAGGGAAGGTACTTTTAGAGAAATAACAATGGAGGGAATATGGCTAGCAGGTCTGTACTGAAAGAAAACATTTTTTTCTTCAGGCAGAAGGAAAACAATTCCAAATGGTCGCATGAAGAAATGAACATACTAGGATGAGTAAGCAAGAGGCTAAATAGAAGTAATTATTGATTGTACAAAGCAATAATTATAAAGTCTCATGAAGTTTAAAACTGATGCAATAAATTAGGTGTACAATAGCAGTAAAGCAAAAGAGATGGCGAGGTAAATGGAGTCAGACAGCTCTAAAGTTCTAGTAAAATTGGTGATAAAATGATACTGTGTATATGACTGTGATAAATCAAGAAAGCCTGTTGTGGCCTGGCACGGTGGCTCACACCTGTAATTCCAGCACTTTGGGAGGCCAAGGCGAGTAAATCACTTGAGGTCAGGAGTTCGAGACCAGCCTGGCCAATGTGGTGCAACCCTGTCTCTACTAAAAATATAAAAATTATCTGGGCATGGTGGTGGGCACCTGTAATCCCAGTTACTCAGGAGGCTGAGGCAGGAGAATCACTTGAACCCGGGAGGCAGAGGTTGCAGTGAGCCGAAATCGCACCATTGCACTCTAGCCTGGGCGACAATAGTGAAACTCCATCTCAAAAAAAAAAAAAAAAAAAAAAAAGTGTGTTGTAATCTTCAGGTTAACCATTAAAAAGGTAGTAAAAGAAGACATAACATGTTAATAGTAAGAAAATAAATAGAAAAATAAAAGTATTGATTATCAAAAAGTAAGGGAAGAACTCACATTCGACGTGTGCTTTTTGCCTATGTTCTAGGTGCTTTGAGCTGGGTGTTCCTGGTGATTCTTAACATTTTTTGATGCACCTCTTATTATTTCCATTTGATAAGTGAAACAACCGAGTTTGTTCAGCAGCGGGACATACTCTAATTTGCTTAAGTATACATGGAAGTTAGTATAGGATGTATTGGGTACTTCAGACTCTTGTAAGGGTGGAAAGTCTGTGATGACCTTCTGCCACCTTCACAGGGCAGAGATACCACAGCTTTTATCACTAATGTGGAGACCTTTTTGCTGATGTTCTCCAAAGCTGGAGCCTTCTATTTCCTCTCTCACAACAGAAAAAAATTGTAGGGCACTCATGCTTGTCCACATTGCTCTCAACTGCTTTAAAGTCTCTTGGGAGTGTGTCAGATCCACAAAGCTTGCATCACATATCAGCAACCTAGATGCAAGGAAGTCTTGGGAAATGAGGTTCTGGCTTATTTCTAGGGGAGAGAAGACCCATAAGGGAGAGATAGCCCTAAACACAGGCAGAGTGTTTAAGAAGTGTTGGTGTGTGTCTGCGTGTGTGTGTCCAAAGCATGACAGATGTTCACAGGATGTGAAGTGCCTGGATGCTGAGTGCCATCCTGGGGTCTCAGAGCCTTAAGTGATGGCCTAGGGGTTGGAGCCCAGGACTGTTGGCTCAGGAGTGTGCGAATTACTTTAAGCTCTCATTCATCTGACCCCTCTGGGTCTTTGTGAGACACACTATATATAATACTACTAGCAGGAGGACAGTACTTGCTGGTATTTTCAGGATTGACAGGCTAGGGCTTGAGCTAGACAGTGGGCTCAGAAGGCACCCAATCTGGCCATCTGTGGTGGGAAGGCCCTCAGCTTCTATTCCTGCTGAAACTTGTCATTTCAGGAGCAATGCCTTTAGAAGCTTCCACATCAATTCACTAACAGTTCCTCACCTCTCAGGTACCTTCTATTTTCTATCCAACTGGCTGTGTGTGAAAGGGATTCCAAAGACACAAAAAGGATTCTAGCTTTCTAAGAATTAACAATGAACCAAGGGTTAATGACATTTTTTATGGTTCAATAACAAAACACAATCTCATCCTAGACAGAATGACAAAGGAAATGTTGTAAGTAGTCAGCCATGGGTTCTGATTGTGTGTGTGATTATTTTAACCCACATCCCATAATTGTAAACGCGAATTTGATAAACCCATCTTTAATTCGTGTAGATAATAAGGAAGCATATTGAGGGGAGAGGTTTTAGAACAGATGGATTTCCTCCTGCCTTTTTTTTTTTTTTTTTGCATAAATAACGATCTGCATTTGCAGAGCACTCGGCTATTTTCAAGATGCTTTTCCATGGAGCCTCTAACTTGTTCCTCCCAGCACCTGCAGGTGGGCAGCGTAATTTCATTTGACATAGAACGAAAGCAACCGTAGGTATGAGAGAGCATTCTAATATTACGTAACAAGGGGACACTTTGCTTTCTCATCTTTATACGAAGTTTATTTTCTTTTTATTTTGGTCTATGTTTTTTTCTTGGGATTAGAGGGTATTATCAGTGAGCCATTGGTTATTTGCCAGCCTTTCAACAGACATATTTATTTTTATAATGAACAAATTTGCATATTCTATGTCAGACCAATATATTAGTGTTTTCTTCTTATTATTATTTTTTTGAGACGGAATCTCGCTCTATCGCCCAGGCTGGAGTGCAGTGGCGTGATCTCAGCTCACTGCAAGCTCCGCCTCCCAGGTTCGCCTCATTCTCCTGCCTCAGCCTCCCAGTTTTCTTATTCTTATCTCATTGCATAAGGGTCATCATGTGCTGCTTTTAATTGACATTGATATCAAACCCATAGCAGAGATTAATTAAAGAAACTTTCTGAGTTTAAATCATAAACCACTGGAGGTATAGTTACCATGAATACATGTTCTGGGTTTATTACATGGTTAGAGTGACTCTGATTTTTAATATAGTAAAGATATATGTTCTTGCTCTCAAAAACTGACTCAAAATAATGAAAAAAATGATAAACGTGAAAGCCGTTTCCTTTAAGGACGTTTTCAGTATGAAGTCTTGCTGCTCTCTACTTCCTTTTATTTGTTTGGTTTTGATTGGTTTAAGGCAAGAGAAAGAGGGACAGAAACATAAAACATGGTTGGAAAAGAGGGAAGAGTGAGAAGGATGACAATGAGAAGGGGCAAAAACAGTGTTGAAAAGGAACAGGAGATCCAGTAACTTCCCAGCTAAGCCTTGGCTTAGTTAATATTATATAGTATTGTTATATGTTTCCAGGGCACCAAAAGCATAGCTTGTTTTTAGTCAGTAAAGATATTCTGACAGGGTCCCTTGTATCTAGCGAAATAATTACCCAATGAAATCAAACACACGATTCAAGAGGCATAAGTAATGGCTTAAAAGAAATCACCCACAAAGATTTCATTGATGAAACTAGTTGGAAGACATTTTCATATTTTACATCATAGGGACCACATCACTTGGGCAATCCCAGCTGTACTCTCTGCTGAGTGAGATAATGTGTTTTCACACCTACATTCATGCGCACTTAGACCGGTAGGCTTCCTCAGGTGCCTCCCTTCAAGGGGACTTATTTGTCCTGCTCACATGGGTGGGTGTACTCAGGACCATTCAAGAACAGCGCCCGTGCCAGCCTCTGAACCTGACACCTATTAGCAGTGCAGACCTGAAATGATGTAGGTCAGAGGCCAGCAACTAGTGCCCGTGATTGATTTTGGATAGCTGAAAATATTTCCCTGCATTTGGAGTGATTCTAGAGTCTGGTCTCCTTTAAAAGGAGTAATGTTCGTATCAACTCGAAGAGTAGGCATTTGCAAACTATGGCCAGCAGATCAAACCCAGCCCTCTGCTTGTTTTTGTAGATAGTTTTGTAAACGATGTGGAACACAGTCACATGCACTGTTGTTTATGTGGTGTCTATGACTTTTCTCATGCTACAAGAGTGGAGTTGAGTAGTGTTCCTATTTCTCCACATCCTCTCCAGCACCTTGTTGTTTCCTGACTTTTTAATGATTGCCATTCTAACTGGTGTGAGATGGTATCTCATTGTGGTTTTGATTTGCATTTCTCTGATAGCCAGTGATGGTGAGCATTTTTTCATGTGTTTTTTGGCTGCATAAATGTCTTCTTTTGAGAAGTGTCTGTTCATGTCCTTCGCCCACTTTTTGATGGGGTTGTTTTTTTCTTGTAAATTTGTTTGAGTTCATTGTAGATTCTGGATATTAGCCCTTTGTCAGATGAGTAGGTTGCGAAAATTTTCTCCCATTTTGTAGGTTGCCTGTTCACTCTGATGGTACTTTCTTTTGCTGTGCAGAAGCTCTTTAGTTTAATTAGATCCCATTTGTCAATTTTGGCTTTTGTTGCCATTGCTTTTGGTGTTTTAGACATGAAGTCCTTGCCCATGCCTATGTCCTGAATGGTAATGCCTAGGTTTTCTTCTAGGGTTTTTATGGTTTTAGGTCTAACGTTTAAGTCTTTAATCCATCTTGAATTAATTTTTGTATAAGGTGTAAGGAAGGGATCCAGTTTCAGCTTTCTACATATTGCTAGCCAGTTTTCCCAGCACCATTTATTAAATAGGGAATCATTTCCCCATTTCTTGTTTTTGTCAGGTTTGTCAAAGATCAGATGGTTGTAGATATGCGACATTATTTCTGAGGGCTCTGTTCTGTTCCATTGGTCTATATCTCTGTTTTGGTACCAGTACCATGCTGTTTTGGTTACTGTAGCCTTGTAGTATAGTTTGAAGTTAGGTAGCATGATGTCTCCAGCTTTGTTCTTTTGGCTTAGGATTGACTTGGCAATGCGGGCTCTTTTTTGGTTCCATATGAACTTTAAAGTAGTTTTTTCCAATTCTGTGAAGAAAGTCATTGGTAGCTTGATGGGGATGGCATTGAATCTACAAATTACCTTGGGCAGTATGGCCATTTTCACGATATTGATTCTTCCTACCCATGAGCATGGAATGTTCTTCCATTTGTTTGTATCTTCTTTTATTTCATTGAGCAGTGGTTTGTAGTTCTCCTTGAAGAGGTCCTTCATATCCCTTGTAAGTTGGATTACTTGGTATTTCATTCTCTTTGAAGCAATTGTGAATGGGAGTTCACTCATGATTTGGCTCTCTGTTTGTCTGTTATTGGTGTATAAGAATGCTTGTGGGCCGGGCGCGGTGGCTCACGCTTGTAATCCCAGCACTTTGGGAGGCCGAGGCGGGCGGATCACGAGGTCAGGAGATCGAGACCATCCTGGCTAACACGGTGAAACCCCGTCTCTACTAAAAATACAAAAAAAATAGCCGGGCGTGATGGTGGGCGCCTGTAGTCCCAGCTACTCGGGAGGCTGAGGCAGGAGAATGGCGTGAACCCGGGAGGCGGAGCTTGCAGTGAGCCGAGATTGCGCCACTGCACTCCCGCCTGGGCCACAGAGCGAGACTCCGTCTCAAAAAAAAAAAAAAAAAAAAAAAAAAGAATGCTTGTGATTTTTGCACATTGATTTTGTATCCTGAGACTTTGCTGAAGTTGCCTATCAGCTTAAGGAGATTTTGGGCTGAGACGATGGGGTTTTCTAGATATACAATCATGTCATCTGCAAACAGGGACAATTTGACTTCCTCTTTTCCTAATTGAATACCCTTTATTTCCTTCTCCTGCCTGATTGCTCTGGCCAGAACTTCCAACACTATGTTGAATAGGAGTGGTGAGAGAGGGCATCCCTGTCTTGGGCCAGTTTTCAAAGGGAATGCTTCCAGTTTTTGCCCATTCAGTATGATATTGGCTGTGGTTTTGTGATAGATAGCTCTTATTATTTTGAGATACGTCCCATCAATACCTAATTTATTGAGAGTTTTTAGCATGAAGCGTTGTTGAATTTTGTCAAAGGCCTTTTCTGCATCTATTGAGATAATCATATGGTTTTTGTCATTGGTTCTGTTTATATGCTGGATTACCTTTATTGATTTGTGTATGTTGAACCAGCCTTGCATCCCAGGGATGAAGCCCACTTGATCACGGTGGATAAGCTTTTTGATGTGCTGCTGGATTCGGTTTGCCAGTATTTTAGTGAGGATTTTTGCATTCATGTTCATCAGGGATATTGGTCTAAAATTCTCTTTTTTTTGTTGTGTCTCTGCCAGGCTTTGATATCAGGATGATGCTGGCCTCATAAAACGAGTTAGGGAGAATTCCCTCTTTTTCTATCGATTGGAATAGTTTCAGAAGGAATGGTACCAGCTCTTCCTTGTACCTCTGGTAGAATTCGGCTCTGAATCCATCTGGTCCTGGACTTTTTTTGGTTGATAAGCTATTAATTATTGGCTCAACTTCAGAGCCTGTTATTGGTCTATTCAGAGATTCAACTTCTTCCTGGTTTAGTCTTGGGAGGGTGTATGTGTCGAGGAATTTATCCATTTCTTTTAGATTTTCTAGTTTATTTGCGTTGAGCTGTTTATAGTATTCTCTGATGGTAGTCTGTATTTCTGTGGGATCGGTGGTGATATCCCCTTTGTCATTTTTTATTGCATCTATTTGATTCTTCTCTCTTTTCTTCTTTATTAATCTTGCTAGCAGTCTATCCGTTTTGTTATCTTTTCAAAAAACCAGCTCCTGGATTCATTGATTTTTTTGAAGGGTTTTTTGTGTCTCTGTTTCCTTCAGTTATGCTCTGATCTTAGTTATTTCTTGCCTTCTGCTAGCTTTTGAATGTGTTTGCTCTTGCTTCTCTAATTCTTTTAATTGTGATGTTAGGGTGTCAATTTTTCATCTTTCCTGCTTTCTCTTGTGGGCATTTAGTGCTATAAATTTCCCTCTACACACTGCTTTGAATGTGTCCCAGAGATTCTGGTATGTTGTGTCTTTGTTCTCGTTGGTTTCAAAGAACACCTTTATTTCTGCCTTCATTTCGTTATGTACCCGGTAGTCATTCGGGAGCAGGTTGTTCAATTTTCATGTAGTTGAGTGGTTTTGAGGGAGTTTCTTAATCCTGAGTTCTAATTTGATTGCACTGTGGTCTGAGAGACAGTTTGTTATAATTACCCAGTCTCAGGTATGTCTTTATGAGCATCGTGAAAATGGACTAATGCAGCATCCTTGTCGGTAAAAGCAGAATGAGCCCATGTGTAACCCAGAGCCCTGGCTACTCAAAAGGGAGCTCAAGGTGGAATGAGGGCTTTGCTGACAACAGAGATGAGATGACAATCATTGTCTTTTTAAAAATTCACTGACTCTGCTGGCAAAATAAATAAATAAATAAATAAGCCAACTTTAATCAGAAGCAAACATCAGGTAGTTAATGTGCCTGACCTTCCCCTTTGCTTCTCATGGTCCGCTGATGGCTGCTTAACCTGACTGATGAGTGGGTTAATGCAGTTACAACCACTGAAAATTCTTATGGAATTAAGGGGTATATAAATATAGTGCTTACATTTTAATTATTAAAGCACAGATTTACTGACGAACTATGCCCACTGGTGGGTTTCTGTTGTTTAGTCTGACCCCAGGGACCATTTTTAGTACCTTGATGCAGTCATTCAGGGAAGATTTCATTGGTATTTGATCTTGTAAGCTTTTTTCTTCTTCTGCCATATTGATGACAATTCCCTGGAGTGGAATATTAGGACATTACTCTTTAATGTCCTAAACTTTTTCCAATGCAAATATTCTACCTAAAGTAATTCACACTTATTATACAATTTGAAAAGAATTATTTTAATCAAGTTTTAAGAAAACCTTTTCATTGTTGTATACTGGCAGAAAAGTGCTCACATTATAAGCATACAGCACAGTGCATTTTCATAAACAGATCATTACTGTAACCAACCCCAGCTCAAGAAAAAAAAAATGGTGGGAGCATCCAGAAGCCTTCCTTAGAGCCCTTGCAGTCTTCACCTACTGGTCTCTCCCAATCATAACCATATCCTGACTTGTAATAGCAGAGTCAGGTTTTGCCTTTTTTTGTACTTTCTGCAAATGGAATCCTACAAGATGTGTAGCTTTGTGATTGGCTTCTTTTGTCTATCATTATGTATGTGAGGTTCATCTACACTGTTGCATACAATTATAGATTATGCAGCCTCATTGCTGTGTAGACTTCTACTTAGTGACTATAGCATGCTTTGTTTGTCCTTCCTACTGATGGCATTTAGGTAATGTATTAGTTCCTTCTCATGCTGCTATACCCGAGACTGGGTAATTTATAAAGAAAAAGAGGTTTAGTGGACTCTCAGTTCCACATGGCTGGGGAGGCCTCATAAACATGGTGGAAAGTGAAGGAGGAGCAAAGGCATGTCTTACCTGGTGGCAGGCAAGAGAGCGTGTGCAGGGGAACTGCCCTTTATAAAACCAGCAGATCTCGTGAGACTTACTATCATGAGAACACCACGGGAAAAACCCTCCCCCATGATTCAGTTACCTCCAACTGGGTCTGTCCCACGACACGTGGGGATCATGGGAGCTACAATTCAAGATGAGATTTCAGTGGGGACACAGCTAAACCATATCAGATAGTTTCCAGTTTTTGGCTGTTTTGAGTAGTGCTACTGCAAACACTCTTGTACATGTATTTTGATGAAAGCTCATACACATCTCTGGTAGACATTCCTAAGAGTACAGTTTCTGAGTTAGAGGCTATGCATATGCTGAGCTTTAGCACAGTGGTTCTCAAGATTGCACACGCATCAGAACCACCTGGAGGGTTTGTTAAAACACAGATCTCTGGGAAACACCTGGAGTGTTTCTGATTCAGTAGGTATGGAGTAGGGCCCAAGAATGTGGGCTTCTGGCAAATTCCAGGTGATGCTTTTGCTACTGGTCCAGGGACCACATTTTGAAGACCTCTGCTTAGCAGATACTGCCAAACAGTTTTCTAAAGTATTTGTACCAATTTACATCCCCACCAGCAGTGTATGTGAATGTCAGTTGCTCTATTGGGTATTTGCCTCTTTTTAAAATTTCAGCCACTTGGATGGAAGTATAATGTCTCTCCTTGTGGTTTTAGTTTGCATTTCAGTGACAACAAATGAAGGTGAGCTCCTTGCCATGTATTTATTGGCTGTTAGGATATCGTTCTATGTGAAGTAGGTATTAAAGTCCTTTGCTCATTTTTCTATTGTTGTCTTTCTTTTTCTTATTGAATTGAGTTGTAGAAATTCTTCTTCGTTTTCTTCTTCTTCTTCCTCCTCCTCCTCCTCCTCCTCCTCTTCTCTTCTTCTTTCTTCTTCTTCTTAGATAGGGCCTTGCTCTGTCGCCCAGGCTATAGTGCATAGAGTGATCATAGCTCATTGCAGTCTTGACCTCCTGTGCTCAAGTGATCTCCTGCTTCAGCCTCCCAAGTAGCTGGGACTACAGGTGCACACCACTGTACCCAGCTAAATTTAAGAAATTTTTTTTAGTAGGGACAAGTTCTCACTATGCTAACCAGGCTGATCTCAAACTTTTGGGCTTAAGTGATCCTCCAGCTTCGGCCTCCCAAAGTGCTGATTACAGGTATGAGCCACGGCACCAGGCCAGGAATTCTTTATATGTTCTGAGTGTCAGTTCTTTGTTGGAGACGTGTATTGCAAGCATCTTTTTCTACTCTGTGGGTTTCTTTTCACTCTCTTAGTACTGATAAACAGAAATTCTTAATTTTAATATAATCTAACTTATCTTTTTTGTTTTAAGGTTAGTGCTTTTTGTGTTATTTAAGGACTCTTTGCCTACTCCAAGGTCATGAAGATACTCTCTTATGTTTTTCTTTAAAAGATTTATTTTTTCCCCTCTCACATTTAGATTCAAAATCATCTGGATTTGATTTTAGGATTTAGCAGAGTTTTGGTAAGAGATTTTCATATGTTAAAGTAATCCTCCTTAGAACAACCCTGTTTAAAATTCACCTATTTGTATCTCTTTTTAGTACTTTTAAAAAAGATCAATGCCACATAGCAACTTTTAGAAAATCAAAGAGGTTGTTTTTTTTTAAACCTACAATTGTATTGAAAGCAATACTTCAAATAATAAATGCTTTATATTTACTCAGGATAAGCTTATTTTCAACTGAGCCAAATTTAAGGCAGTTATTAAAACTTTTAAGTAACATAAAGCACTTTTTTCATCTTGTGCCAAAACTATAATGCCTGCAATAATTTATATTTAATTTTTAATACACTTATCTATCATGAGTAATTATGTGGGCTGCTCACAGTATTCCATTCTCTGTTATGTGGTTTTTCTGAAGACTGTGGTTTCTTTGTGTAGCTACTGGGAATTATTACCTTGCTGATGAATTTCTCTTCTGAAGAGATATCAACTATAAGTTTCAGTGCAGTATGTTTTCACTTTAACTTACAAAACAGGTACAGTGTCTGGGTATTCCCTTTACTTCTTAAAGGTGTAGGAACAAAGAACTCTGTGTTTAAAGAAATATTTTAGCAAGACTGTGTTACTTTGTGATAAATGCCTTTGAAACTGGCCAAAATAATTGATTAAAATCACCATACATGTTTCGGCATGTCATTTTGAATAGCCCACTATCTTTTGCCAACAGTGTACTTGAATAGTTAAGAAAGCCCCATCGTATTTGGTGGTCAGACTGGCCATGTCATTCTGCACAGAAGGAATGAAATTTGGCTTACAAGTTAGACAGCAGATAATTAAGAACTTTTAGAAAGATTGAAAAATATATCATACACCAACTGTAAGGTCTGTTACTCAGCCTCCTTGTTCTTGCTACCAAGAAACAAATTACTCTGGAATGCAAGCTCCATGAGGGCAGGCACTTTTCTTGTTTTGCTTACCACTTCATTTCCATCATTGAAAGCAAAGCAGTGTTTAGCACATTGAAGATGCTCAATTAATATTTCTGAATTGCAAGTAGGAATGAACCAATTATTATGCCTCTAAAGGATGGAGTGCAGTATGTATGGAGTTGGGGGCTGGTCAATGGCTTCCATGTATGCCCTCTTTCACCTTTGATTCATTCTAAGAACCTTCTAGAGGGAGTATTCAGGTACAGTAGGACTGGATGTTTTCTATGCCAGCCATTTGCAGCCTTAGGCTTTGGAGGATGTGTAGATATATACTACTTTCTCCTTTGTGTTTTGTGGCCAGTGACAGGCTGTTGACCTTGGGAAAGTTACAGCTAGCTTATAATGGCAAATTATATATATATGTGTGTATGTATATAATATGTACATATATATAGTATATGTATAATTTTATTTGTTTATTTTATTTATTTATTTGTTATTTATTGTTTATTTTATTTATTTATTTTTAGAGACTGGGTCTCACTATGTTGCCTAGGCTGGGATTGAACACCTAGGCTCAAAGGATCCTCTTGCTTCAGCCTCCCAAAGAGCTGGGATTACAGGCATGAACCACTACACATGACCTATATAATATATATAATGATTTATTAGATAATTATAGATTACATATTTTAATATATTATCTTTAATTATATAATATAATTTATAATATATAATATATTTAACATATGTGTATATATAATACATGTAATGTATATATTATATATAATATATACACACATATATATTAAAGTTTTGTATAGACTACTAAAGAAAGCATTAAAGAAATTTGCATTCAAGAATTTGCATACTTGAATATTGTCTGTCCCTGAATATTACAAAAACTATAGGTAACTTTCCTTTGGTATCATACAGTACAAAAGAACAGCTTATAAATGTATGAGCAAGAAAACTTTCTTAATTAGATATATAACAGTGTTTTAATTATAAAGCATGCTATAGGATTATTCTAAAGCTTCCAGTGGATACCAGTGATGATAATGATTATAACAATATTTAAAATAAAGTGGTCATCATAAATAGACTATTATCAGGCACTTTGTGAGCTGTTTTGTACATATTATTCACTTAATCCATAGATAGCCTTGTGGAAATATTATGGTCCTTTATAGGTGGGAAAAATGAGGCTCAGAGAAATTAGGCAACTTGCTGAAGTTGTAATGACACTAGCAAGTGGCAGAACCAGGTAGCTGAATCCATGTTTGCATGACTTCAAACCTCTATGCTCCATGACTAAGCTAAACGAGGTGACTTTTGAGTATACAAGAGAAAGCTACTAGTTAGAAGAAGAAAAGTTGCAATGGAAAACTCTTTAATAGAGACCATGGGCTCACACCTTTAAAAAGTTCTTTGTTAGAGCTTTGAATAGAGGGGAGTGGCAGAAAAATCTAATTACTTGTTGGAGTCATTCAGCATGTGGTAACAAAATTTATTGAGCAACTATTACGTGCCAGGTACTGAGCTTGGTGCTCAACATTCAATAGATCACAGGCCTGCCCTCCTGATTTTATGGCCTAGAGAATAAGTATTTCTCTGCACTTTGTTCTCTTCTTTCCAAAGAACTCAAAAGGGAAATGAAGAAATTTGCTAAAACATAATGTCTGTTTGATTTTTCAGCTTGGTAACTATAAGTGGTTTCATGAGAAGAATAGAATATTTTGGTCCAAGACATGAAATACATAGGACATGAGCATATAGGCACTTTTGAATGAATATTTTCTTTCTTCTGTTAATATTGGATTATTGTACAGTTATTTTCCTAAAATATTGAAACTGGTATAACATGTTTTTAGAAGCCATCCAGTATAAATGTCTTCTTGCCCATCCTGCTTGGCTGGAGAAGCCTAAGAATTAGATACATTTCCTAAGGACACTGACAAAGAGCAAAGAGAAAGAAAAGAGTGAGAGCAAACTCCATTCAGCCCTTTTCTGATAATGTCATAACTGATCAATAACACTGTGCACTCCTTGTCATGGGCCATCATGGGAAATTAGAGCTGGCAGCTGGAAACTGTTCACATAGATTTTCTATTTTTCCTTTTAAGTAGGCTGTATTAAGCCACACCAAAAAGACCTGACGTACTTGATATTCTTGCTACTGGGCACAGAAGCAGTCTGCCTGTTTTTTGCACCTTTGGGTCACCTGACATGGACACTTTGTGGACATTTGGAGTTGGCCACCTTCCTCAGGCACCTGAGCAGCTCCCTGTGCTTATCTTGCATTTATTTCATCCTGGAAAGGAATTCTGGCTTTTTGTTTTACCCTTCTCATCACCACACATCCGTGGGCATAGTAGCAGGCAGTAACACAGAGCTACTTACCTCGGTTTACCCTGCCCCCGGTCCAGGTCCTAGTGAGCACTGAAACGTGGTCACTGAGAAGGTAAAAATGGTCAAGAAGGGCCAACAAAGGAGAAAATCAATCTCAGAATCATTAATGTGAAGGATTCACCTCTAAAACCAGAGCCTACAGACCCATGTGTCTCATATACTCACATTTTAAAAACTAGAGTTGGAATCCTGTAGAAGTCTCTGGAGACAAGGAGGATTTGTCTATGGCCAGATGTCTATTCAGGGTTGTGCTTGGATGTCCCCAGAGGCCCTTTGCAGTGGGATCCATGCCAGTGGTGGGGGTATGTGGCACCACCATCTGAAAAATCAGCATCTGTGAGGCTACAAGGGTACATCTAAATTATTCCACTGGTATTTTTCATAAAAGGCATTTTTCAAAATATTAAGCTTATTTTAAAAGACATTTTATGTCTTTTTTTGGTCCCATTTCTTGTCTGTTTTTTCTGGGAGCTTGTCCATTTCTTTATCTCTTGTCACCATATGCATGATGTACTAACCAGGAGGAAAAAATGACGAGCAGAAAGAGTAAGCATTTAGCAAATTATCAAATGAATGGATCATTACTCCCAAAGAACCAGGCCTCCTGTAATTTTCTGACCGCATGTAATTTTCTTATAGAAGCCACTTGACTCTTGGGAGCAAATGAAGCAATTGGGAACTTTGAGAATGATGAGGGTTGCCATGTGTTTAAGTCTGCGCTTTGGAATAAAACCACATTATCTCTTCCTCTGCTTTGTGAATCTGAGTCTATACTGAAATCTCCTTGGGGGATTGAATTCTGACTTAGATTATATTTAAGTTTAGTTTTGGAGAAGTTGGGTTACATATTGCCTCCTAAAAGCATGAATGTAACTTCTAAAGTTTCTCTCTGACTCAGAAATGAGAGCTAAAGTTATTTTTAGAGATTACAGTTAAATGGAGACAGTGATCTGTTGGTCTGATCCCTCTTTTTATGACATTACTCCTGAAATGTTGCATATTTTCATGCTTAGAAATACCCTCTAACTTTGTCACGTACTCTGAGGTTTGTATTGTACCTATCCTTTGCTCCGTAAATCATGTAATGGCTGCTGTCCAAAAGCAATAAGGTCTGACCTGATGTCTGATCCATGGAATGAATGTCACATGGTTCATCTTAGGTCAGTGAAAGGCTGGAGGGGGTTGTTCTTGAGACGTCAGCACTTTGGGCATGAGGCCATGGGAATCCTTACTCCACAGGAAGGTAGCTAGAGTGTCCGGATAACACTGAGGCTACCTGTTCCTTCACACTTTAGACTTTCTCCAGCAACCAGACTATAAACCAGGGCAGTTTTCACCTGAAAGTCAGGGTGATTATGCACGTGGAGATTCAGTTCATCAAGCACAGGTCTGCAACACTGCCCACATCATTCACCTACAAAGAGTGCTGGGATAGGGCTGACTGACCAACCATCTCGAACCGCAAATAAGGCAACTCTATTGTTTGAAATTCATCCTTGGGCCCCTGACTTTTAACATAAAGCAGAGAACTTTGAGAAACAGATTGTGCCTGCAGCCCATTATGCTGATAATATTGGAAGAATTGGCAGCAGATTGTTTTCCAATCAAAGTCAATGTCCAAGGCCAAGGCTAGAGGGGTGTGAGTGAAAGTGAATGCAACAGGCTTGATTAAAGAAGCTTAGAAAATCAGGAACAGCAGACTAGAATAGATGTGTGGCGGTGGGTGGGCAGGGGTAGGGGCTTTTGAAAAATGGACAATAGTAAATTTTATATTCTTTTTCATTCCCTTTTACCTCCCCTTCCTACTCTTCCCCTCCCGCTTCCCCTTCTCCTCTCAGGTGACAGAGGCAGCAAGTTGACTCCATTATCTATTTTTCTTTCCCCTCCATTGTTACAGAACTCACATTTTAGCTGGGCACACGGGTTTCTCCTTTCCCCAGTACATTTCTCCCTCTCCTTTGTAGTTGGACGGAGATAGGTGGGTAAACTGTGGAATATGAACAGCCATGGCGAGGGTACCTTCTGGCTAGTGCTTTTAAGGGGAAGGGACCCTCTTCCTTTCCTTCTGTCTGGTTGAAATGAGGAGGTGATAATGAACAACTCTTAGACTTTATAGATTAAGAGAAAGACCCTAAGGATGGCAGAACCACAAAGTATTAGAAGATCTAATAGAAGAAAAGCGCTAATAGAAGAAATAGAAGAATCCTGAGTCCTTGACACCATGATACCTCTGTATAAGCCCAGGACCAAATACAACCAGACTTTTATGTGAAACAGAAATAAACTCTTTTTGTGTATACCATTACTGTATTGGATCTCTTTGTGAGTAGCTGTTCCAGTGTTCTACCACGTCACTCTCCTGCTTGGCTCCCCTCACTCCCTCATCACCCTACTTCTTTATCCTTTCTTTACACTTTCTGTAGGACTGACTGAAGAGTAGACCAGTGCCACTCACACTTGAGTTTGGATTATATCAGTAGGATGGACCTTCTTAAAATGCACATGGCCAGGCCCTGCCTCTGGAGGTTCTGGTTTAGGATATTGTGGGTAGGGTGCCAGAATCTGCATTTCTGGCAAGACTCTCAGGTGAGTTGGATAAAGGTGGTCCAGGGGCTAAGATTCTGAGAAACATGGAGGTAGGGTCTGTGGATTCATCTGCTATGAAGTAGATGCTCAAAAAAGCACTGGTGAGAATTGGTTGCAGTAACTCAGTAATATCTGCCAAAGCTGCACACTGAGTCCACATGATACTTAAACAACTGCTCCATTGACTCAGCTGCCTTGCAAGCCTGAGATAATATAATGGTTTAAGCAACACTTAAACAACCACCACCACCACCAAATCAAGTGTTTGGTACAATGTAGAAAAAAACAACTGGTTGACCCAAATGTTCCATACTAATCGGTTGCTTTTGTATGATAGTTATATAACTTGAAAGTGTGGAGTTTCGCTGTTGGTAGTTTGTTTTCGAGGGGTATAATTTGTTGGATAGTCACATGCTTCCTGAGGTTTTAAAACTATTCCTTTTGAATGGGAATAATCATGAAATTCAGTGAATGGCATTGCTTAATTAAGATAATCCACAAACAGTTGAAGTATTCTTATGTGTTAAGCTTTGTGGTAGGCACAAGGACTATAAAGATGAACAGGCTGGATAAAGAAAATGTGGCACATATACACCATGGAGTACTATGCAGCCATAAAAAAAGAATTAGTTCATGTCCTTTCAGGGACATGGATGAAGTTGGAAGCCATTATTCTCAGCAAACTAACATGGTAACAGAAAACCAAACACTGCATGTTCTCACTTATAAGTGGGAGTTGAACAATGAGAACACATGTTCACAGGGAGGGGAACATCACATACCGGGCCTGTTGGGAGTAGGGGGCAAGGGGAGGGAGAGCATTAGGACGAATACCTAATGCCTGCAGGCTTTAAAACCTAGACGATGGGTTGATGAGTGCAGCAAACCACCATGGCACATGTATACCTACGTAACAAACCTGCACGTTCTGCACATGTATCCCAGAACTTAAAGTGAAAAGAAAAAAAAAAAAAATGAACAGAACACAGTTCTGCCCTTGAGCTTCACATGTCAGCTTGCAGGAGGCAGACAAAGAGTCCTAGTACTACCAACCCTGGAAGGTGTGTTCAATAGTGACAGCCACAGGAAGCAGGGGGAAAAGAGGGTGACCTGACTCAGCCTGGGGATGTCAGAGGTGGCTCCCCAAAGGAGGAAGTCACTGAGCTGGGCAGAGGTTGGGCTGGCCAAGAAGGTGGTCTGTTGATAGAAAGGGAGAGAAGACGGTGTATGCCAAGGCATGGGAAGTAGTGTTGTATGGGAAGAGCTCTGAGTGCCTACCTGGGGCAGTGCGAAAAAAGGATGGTGGATGAGAGGCCTCAGTTCATGAAAGGTGCAGAATTTATTCATGAGGAGTACAGAATTTATCCTGAGACAGCACTGGGGGATTTTAATAAGAGAAACAAAATCATCAGCTGTCAATTACAGTCCATCATGGCAGAAGTGCCAAGGGTGGATTGCAAGGGAATGAGACTGGAGACAGAGATACCAGGTAAACCAGGCTGAGAGCATCAATTATGATTGCAACTGTGGAAGAATAAGAGGAATGTGGGATTTAAGTGGGAGAGGCCAGGCTTGGTGGCTGGGATATGGAGAGAAGAGGAAGGAGTCTGAGATTACGTATGATTTCTGTCTTAGGCACTAGTTGAGGGGCTGTGCGAGTCATTGAAAAGGCAAGTAACAGAGGATGTAGAGGTTTGGGTTGAGGGCAGGGATAGGGGAAAAGTCAATGAATTTTGATTTACAAGTGTCAAATTTGAGAGGCCTGTAGTTTATCCAGAAGGCAATTTGGCTGTGATTTTGAATCACAGGAAGGAGGTTTTTGTTTCAGGACATAGTTTTGGGAGTCATAAACATGTGGATGATAGCTGAACACATGGACGTGAAGGACTCCCCAGGAAGAATTTGTAATGAAAATCAAGACGAAGTCCAAAGAAGGAACTCCAAGCAAATTAAACAAGCAACTGCCCCAAGCTAATGAAGCTTTGACCCAGAGACTTGCCCAACCCAAAATCTGCAACATACTCACCTCTGTGAGGCCATCCTAATCATACTCCCCAGGAAGAAGTCACCACGCCCTCTTTACTGTTTCTGAATCACTGCTTCATAGGACCAGTGCAATAGACATCTTGCCCCAACATGAACTGCACATCTGTCTGTCACTTTGCAGGCTAGGTGGTGAGTGCGTGTATTACTTACCCTGTGTCTCTAACATAGATCTCTGTATCAGAACTGGGGCATCTACATGATAACTGTTCACTAATTGAAATAATGATTCCATTTCTATTTATTTTCAGTGCTGACCTTGCAACTGAGCAGTTTTAATGTTCATTGTTTTGAAATTTTTAACACAAAATTTCCTTTTTCTGAATTAATAATAACCCTCAATGACATGTTGGGAAACACGTTTTTCCTGTTCCTACTCTTCCTGCCTGTCCGTCTAAGTTTGTATCATTCTGGGCTTATATCTTAAGCCTTACAAGTCTTAATATCTTGTAAAAAATTATTTGCTGATCTTTACTCACAAACTTGGTATCTCAGTTCCAATCGAATTTATGGCTTTGGAGGTTCCTTTTCTTTTACTTGTGACTATTGATGACATTGCCTTAGAATCAATGTTATGTGAAAGAACAACATTCAATTTTATGAAAATATGTTTTTTAAAAAAATTCAGTTGTTTGTTATTAAAAATGGCAAAAGAAAACAAAAGAATTGATTTCGAGGTCACATGAAAACCCTCTGTTTAATCTGTGGTTTAGCTTGGATTTTGAAGCTGATTTTATTTCCATTATGAATTGTTGGCAGTATTTAGTATTTGGTTTAGCATATTTTTTACACTTAGGTATTTATTTATGCTTCCTAAAAGAGGGATTTACCAGTTAATATTTAAAAAAACTGAATGATAAATGAATAATCTTTTTATTCATTTGGAGCACATATTAAAGTTATATACTAAAAAAAACCTCATTACAAAGAGTTTAAATATCAGGATTGTGAACATTCCTCTATTTTCAGAATGTAATCATTTGCAACTTACTGTCTTTTGAAGGCAGGAAAAGGTATTCTATTTTGTGAATATATGTTTTTTGAGATATTCTGAAACTAATGTAGCATATCAATTAAATTACATTTTTAATTTGTCTGGATAAGGAAAATTGGAGGCTTTAGTTCATTGGTCTTTAGTTCATTGGTCTCACATGGTTTCTTGGGGTGGTTCATATACTGTCTGCTATTATGTGAAGTGGGTTTTCAAATACTCAGGTGGCTTTTTCAAATACAGCATAGATCCACAGAATCAGAATTTCTGGGAGAGTGAGGCCAGGTATCTACCCTCTAGTACCCCAGGTGATCCTTTTGCTCACACAGGCTATGAACCACTGCTTAGTACAGTGGTCCCAGGGACTGAGTGAGGACTCCATGCTGAGGCCACAGGACTGTCTTCAGGGAGCTGAGGCAGACGTTTGCAACACAACCCAGTACAAGGACAAGAGTAATAATCCTTTTCTTTGCAGCAGTGGATCCTAGAACCATAGAACAGAGGTAGAATCACTGTATGGCAGCTGTGTAGGCTTTAGTTTTAAACTTGTAACTATACTTTATGTCTGCACTTGTCATTATTTGTTTAATGCTCTATGACCATCTAGACTCCAAGCTCCTGGAGGACAGGATCTGAGTTCTTTGTTTACAGCCTCATGATAGAGCCTGGTTCACAGCAAATACTCAGTGTGCCCTTATTTACTGATAGGAAAGCTATCTAGTTAGTCTGAGGCAAGAATCATAGAAGAGCTGCACACCTCCTTGTCCTCATTCACACACAGGCATACACCCCTTGCACACATCTTGGAATGCTTCTTCAAGACGAGTTCGCAAGGACAATGGTGACAGTTCTTGTCTATAGATATTTATGTCAGAATGACTTTATGGGGGCTTTTCTCATTGCTGCACGATGAACTTCACTCTGAGCAGAGCCGAGAGAAAAAACAACGTGGCATGAGTTTGAATGAACGCAGTTCTTGTCCCTGGATGGAGTGGTTGTGGGTATAGCTATTCTGTTTCAAGTGTGACCCCAGAAAGGGGTGAGTTTACTGTAAATCAGGGTGGTTTCCTCTGAAAGACTGTTCGTGAAGCTCATGTCCACCTGGATGGGGGCTCTTCTGTTCTTGATTCCCCCAGTACTTTGCACCTTCCTTAGGTAGTTACCAGTCTACTGTCTTTTTTGTTTGTCTTACCCACCTTATCAAATTATCAGTTATTTGAGAGCAAAATCTTTCCCAAGGTTACATCATTATGGCTAGATCTGGGACACTAGTTTTGCAGCTGCACATCTTTCTTTGCACCAGATTGTAACCTGACATGTGCTACAAAGAAAAGAAGGAGCATGCATTCCTATCAAATTTCTTTCCAGGACAACTTGGCATTGAATCTGACTGCTTAAAATTAAAATTTTATTGATTCTTTATTTTATTAAATAAATGTATTTTGAAGTTGCTTTAGCTGGAGGGAAAAGAGTTTTCTGTGCAATTTTACTGGCCATCTATTGCTTATTTGTTGAAGTTCAAAAGAAATATTTGTTTATACTAAACCAGATGGACAAAAGGAATAATAAAAAAAGGAAAAAAACAAAAGTTTCACTTGTATTAAGACAAACAAAAGGAAAACTATTTGCTTAGCATTTGACGTGGTTACTGTGATGGGCCATGGGATGCCTAGATATTCAGTTAACATTATTCTGAGTGTTTCTGTGAGGGTGTTTTTGGATGAGAGTAACACTTAAATTGGTATACTGAGTAAAGCAAATGGCTCTCTCTAATGTGAGTGGGACACATCCAATTAGTCAAAAGCCTGAGTAGAAGAAAAGGCTGAACCTCCCCCAAGTAAGAAAGAATTTCTTTTGCCTACTGTCCTTCAAGCTGGAACATGGGCTTTTTCCTGCCTTCAGACTTGAAGTGAAATGTTGGTTCTTCCTGGGTCTTCAGCCTACCAACCTTTGGACTGGAATTTACACCACCTGCCCACCTGGTTCTCATGCCTTTGGACCCAGAATGGAACTGCACCATTGGGTCTCTTGGGTCTCCAGCTTCCCAACTCACCCTACAGTTCCTGGGACTTGTCAGTCTGTATAATTATGTGAGCCAAGTCCTTATACTAAATCTCTTTCTCTCTATACCTCTATTGGTTCTGTTTCTCTGGAGATCCATGAGTAATACAGCTACACTATAGCTTTTCCTCTCTCTTGGTTTTTTTAACACTATAATTTCCATGGTGTTTGGAAAAGTAGAATGCTTGAGGCCCTATTTAGCTCATGGTTTGTGCCTCAGCCACTTTTTATTTGTCAGACTCTGCACAGAGGACAGGAATGTGATATAACTTATACACCTTGCCATCAACCCAGCCCAGTGCAAATCAGAGCCCCGTGTCTTGGAACATTGTACAAGCTATGCCATCTTCCTTGGGATGCATTGTCAACCCAGGATGTCATATCGTAGACCTTCCCTCAAGACATACACAAGACAGAGCAGGGCAGAGGAGGGACAGGGAGCTGGCAACAGATGCTCTTGTCACTGAGCACTTACAGCTACATCACAGACTGTCTGTCCATTGTGGTGTCTGATGACTGAAGAGTCACCTTCTGAGAACCCTTCATTAGGTCCAGGATGGGCAGTTACTATAGCCCTCTCTAGTCTTGGAGAGCCATCATGCTCCACTTTTAAGGCAGTAATCCCCTTCAGTGATTATTATCTTGATAGTCCTAAAAAGATAATTGGCTTTAAAAAGATGTGTCTTCATTACCAGCCTGGAATATGACCATGCACATTTATACTTACACAGAATCTTACACAAAGCATGGAAAAAATTACATTTCTCGCTATCTTAAAAATATTGACTGAATTAGTAAAATGGAGAAGTTTTCTTAGTTGCAAGAAAAGAAAATAATCCTTTCAGCTTAAAATGGGCAAGAATTTACTAAGTTTGGGAAACTAAAAATAATTTCTGGCTAGTCTTATTCCTGTCCTCTGTATTTAGAGGAATTTACTCCTGATACTATTATTACAGGAAATTCCAAAAGCATGAACATTTTCTGGTATTTTCATAAAAACAAGTGTTTATGTTTTGTTTCATTTAGACATGGAGGAAAACAGTTTTGCTTTCTATGCAGTGAAGTGTCTGGTAGATACCATGACAATGGGATTTTGTGTAAAACTTAGATAATGAAGGCATTTAGGAATTTGTAGAAGCGTGATAGAGTATTGTACTTATATAAAATATCTCAAATACTTTTGAAGTCCATTACAAACAATGGTACTTAATATAAATGCAATGCACACTTACTCTTAATATTGTTCTAGGGAGTGGATGTTGGCATCTTTTTCCAATACCAACTTTTAGTTCATTACAAATGATCACTGGTTGATAATTATGAACAGTTCTGAATACTGTGAGAATCCCAGGTATTTATTTGCTGGCAGCTAAGTAAGTAAAGGGATTGAAGAGTGATGAAATATTCAGATGTCTTGAAAATGTACAGGCCAACATTTTGTTAAGAGCATCCCTCTTGCTCCTGGTCTCAGCCTCTCCTGCATCTTTTCTCTCAACTCTGGAGCATGAGAACATCATCCTGAGGTTTGTCAATATTGCACATATGTGGGACAAGGATGAAGATATTAAAAACGCTGACCTCTAGTTTACAATGTCCTTGGACCACAACTCTGAATTTCCACGTTTACCACGCCCTTTCAAGGTTCCATAAAAATTCCATCTTGTTTTATAGCTAGCATTTTTACTAAACCATAAGTAGATTTCTGGAAAGAAGAGCTATGGAGTGAAGAAAGCCTTTTACATGGCTGTGAGTTCAGTTCTTGTGAGTTTTGTACAATCATCATCAAGGGTCATGTCAATAACTCACTGAAGACAGTGGAAAGAAGCTCTGTTCATGGAATAAGCCCACGGAATTTGTCTGAATATGTTCCTTAACTCCGTTTTAAAAAGTCAACTGAACATGTGCATTCATTAGAGCCTCTGAAGCCACAGGTAACTATAAGAATTTCATCCAACAACTTTGACTTAAATGTACCTTGAACAATAACTTTGTACTGTCAGGCAGCATTAATTTTTTTTTGCATCAGACAAAATTATTATTGAAAAATTTGGTATTGCTTTGCTAAAGTGGGTATCCACTGAATATCCCCAATCCAATTCTTTCCTCTAATATGGTAATCTGTTATCTGTATTTAATCATCTGGAAGGTGAAAGTTGCTGGGCAGTCCGATGGAAATTTTTAAGTCCTTTCACTCTGGGCCGGCTGTCTTTTCAGATCAATCTTTCTGCTAATGACAACCAATACTTTCATATGTGATTACAGGCCTGCTCCATCTTTTCATGAGCCGAGACTCTTTGGAATCATATGTATTGATCTTTTTAATAGAAGTCAGGAAAAATAAAATTACTCTGGCTTCTTGCGGCAAAACGATGATAAATGAGAACTTAGAAACTTATGGGAGAAATTTTTTCTGCCTTGGATTGTTTTAATCACTAAAAATGATTCTCTTTTTAATAATATTTGCTTTCCATTATGCACATTTGCAGCAAAGCCAAAAATTGTTTCTGTATTGCTTTATGTTACCGCATTGAGGCAGAGGCCTGTTGGTATTCCCGTACCTACTGGTGACTAAGGTACAATGACCCCTAATTGGAGGCAAAGAGCCAAGCTCCAGAACCTCTGCAACAATATCAGGTTAGCTTTCAGTAGAAAAATTTTGATAAAAAAGAATTTGCTGAACGATGTATTTTAAAAAATATTTGTTTAAAAAGCTCATTGTTAATATTATTGTCTTAGAAGCAAGTTTATATTTCTTTCTTTATTTTTTCTTTTTAGAGAGGGTCTTGCTCTGTCTCCTGGGCTGGAGTATAGTGGTATGGTCATTGCTCACTGCAGCCTCAAACCCCTGGGCTCAAGTGATCCCCCCGCCTCAGCCTCTCAAGTAGCTGAGACTTCAGTTGCATGGTACCATGCAGGCTAATTTTTAAAGTTTTCTGTAGAGACAGGGTCCTGCCTTGTTTCCCAGGCTGGTCTTGAACTCCTGGCCTCAAGCAATCCTCCCAACTCCACCCTCCAAAGTGCTAGGATTACAGGAGTGAGCCACCTTGCCTGGACCTCATATTTCTTTTATTACTCCTCTCTTTTTTATTTCTAACTTGGGAAATAATAAATATTATTTATGATAAATATAACATGATATATAAATATAATTTATATATTATATAAATATATAATATAAATAAATGTGTATTATATATAATTATATAAATATGTTATATATAAATATATAATATATAAATATATATAATATATAAGTATATACATATAAATATATATAATATATAAATATATACATATAAATATATATAATATATAAATATATACATATAAATGTATATAATATATAAATATATACATATAAATATATATAATATATAAATATATACATATAAATATATACATATAAATATATAATATATAAATATCTACATATAAATATATAATATATAAATATCTACATATAAATATATATAATATATAAATATCTACATATAAATATATAATATATAATATCTACATATATAATATATAATATCTACATGTAATATATAATATATAATATCTACATGTAATATATAATATATAATATCTACATGTAATATATAATATATAATATCTACATGTAATATATTATAATATCTACATGTAATATATATAATATCTACATGTAATATATTATATATAATATATACATGTAATATATATAATATTTACATATATTATAATGTATACATATAATATATTATAATGTATACATATAATATATATAACATAAATATATATATAAATATATAACATAAATATATATATTATAAATATATAACATATATATAAATATAAATATATATTATATATAAATATATATTATATATAAATATATACATATATAAATATATATTATATATAAATATATACATATATAAATATATATTATATATAAATATATACATATATAAATATATATTATATATAAGTATATACGATATATAAATATATATTATATATAAATATATATTATATATAAATATATAAATATAAATATATATTATAAATATATAAATATAAATAAATATATAATATATAAATATGTAAATATAAATATAATTATATAAATAATTATATGTATAATTAATTAAATATAATATTTATTTAAATAAAAATTAAAAAATTTTTCTTTATTGTTTAAGATAAAGCATATGGAATTCCTTACCTGTGGTTTTGGTTGTTTGCTTTGTGTATCTGGGAGCTGAGAAGGGGGCTGATATTGTTGGGAGGTGTCTCCACCCAAGTCTCATCTTGAATTGTAGTTTCCATAATCCCCATGTGTTGTGGGAGGGCCCTGGTGGGAGGTAATGGGATCAAGGGGGCAGTTACCCTCATGCTGTTCTTGTGATAGTGAGTTCTCATGAGATCTGATGGTTTTATAAGGGGCTTTTCCCTCTTTCGCTCTCATTTGTCTCCTTCCTGCTGCCATATGAAGAGGGATGTGTTTGCTTCCCCTTCCACCATGATTGTAGGTTTCCTGCGGTCGGTCTCCCCAGCCCCCTCCCTGAACTGTGAGTCAATTAAACCTCTTTCCTTTATAATTTACCTAGTCTCAGGCAGTTCTTTGTAGCAGCATAACAGACTAACACAGGGGCCATTGGTGATCGCAGAGAATCAATCCTTGTTATACTGCCCTTTCTTCAAAACTGAAAATCACAGGACTCACTGTGGCTCTCATTTTGGAACCTGGGCTTTCTGCTTTACATTTGAATCAACTCTCCAGCTCCCCGCTGAAGACAGGATTGTTTCCTTGGCTTTGGGGGAGCATGTGGCCAACACAGAATATTAGAGAACATTGATGCTACTACACAGAGAGGCCAGATCTCTGTTGGTATGAAGAAATGGATGAGGATCAAAATATCGCAGATGTTTGGCCAAAGCATGCCTTGGTTTGCTTTCCTTGGCCTTGGAAACCTGTCTGTAAGAAAGAAGACTTGTCCCACTGGAATGCCATGTAAATAACCTCCATGGCCCAGTTGTATTGCTTCACCCTGATGCAGACACAAATGTCTCTCTCTCTCTCTCTCTCTCTTTCTTTCTTTCTTTCTCTCTCTCTCTTCTCCTTAAGCATGACAAAAGGAAAGTTAATAATTCAGAAAAAAATTCTGTTCACTGAGCTTTTCATTAAACTTGATTTAATCTGTTTCTTCAAAGATGGGTGTGTGTTATGTGCCTGGCAATGGGAATGGGCTGGACAGAGGACAGGGGTTTCCAGATTGTGCATGTAGAGCTGTTGGTCATTTCAGGAAGGTAGCCGCCAAGCATCATTACAAGCCTGGGAGTGTTGCTGAGCCTCAGGTGCAGAGTAATGTTGGAGGATGCAGAGTCTGATGTAGAGGTTCATGGAAGGCTACATTTAAGCTGAGAACTGACAAGCAGGAATGTCCCAGAAGAAAATTGGAGAAGATGGGTGGGAAAAGGTTGTTCTAGGCTGAGGAAGCTGCTTGTGTGAAAGCTGGAATTTGAGACAGCATGGTCTTTGTGAGTAACTGAGAATGTCCCAGTGTGGCTACAGGAGAGAAGGGGCCCAGTGATTTGGGTCACTCTGTCCTGCTATCACCTGGAAGTACAGAGGGTCTCTGGATTTAAATTTACTCACACTTGGAGATATTGATGATTTCAAGGCAGACTTCAGATGTCAGCTGCTGAATGAGCCATGTGTGCGGTGTTGCCTTTGACAAGAACTTTCAACTGTAGCCACTTTGCTACCTTTCACTGAAAGGCAGTGTTTGAATAATTGTTTATTTCTAGAATTTTGGCTTTAATTTATAGAAATAAGTGAAAAATGCTAATATTCAAATGCTAATAACTGTGATAAGAAGTGTAGGTTAAAAAATTCATACAATTGGAGGAAAAATGGAAAATTTCTTGGTGAGTTACCCTTAGGCATGCATGACTTTAAATCTTGTCAATTGTGTGTTCATGTGTGAAAAGCAAACAAAATATTAAGAGGAATGATTGAAATATTAGAAATAAGTTTTTGAAGGATATATGTAAAGGTGAAGTCAATTTAAGGACATTTTACATACATTTGGGAATCCTGTCATGAGAAATATGTTATTTAAGTTGTACTCAAATTTATTTGCTTTCTGCAATCCCAAACATATGTACACAGGGATGGATGTTTATTTTGTATGAAAGTAGAAGACTGTTGATATGGTTAGGCTTTTTGTCCCCACCAAAATCTCATTTTTTAATCCCCATAATCCCCACGTGTCAAGGGGGGGGCCCAGGTGGAGGTAATTGAATCATGAGGGAGGTTTCCCCTCTGCTATTCTCAGGATAATGAGTGAGTTCTCACGAGATCTAATGGTTTTATAAGGACTCTTCCCCCCCACCCCCCACCCGTCCTTCGCTCGGCACTTCTCCTTCCTGCTGCATTATGAAGAAGATGCCTTGCTTCCCCTTCCCTTCCACCATGATTGTAAGTTTCCTGAGGCCTCCCTAGCCATGCTGAACTGTGAGTTGATTAAACCTCCTTCCTTTATAAATTACCCAGCCTTGGGCAGTTCTTTCTAGCAACATGAAAACGGACTAATACCTCTGTCTTCATAATTTTCTCTGGGACAGTTTGTTAACAATAATTGGAAATTACAGATTCAAAACCTAGTAGCTTATATATCAGCTTTTAGTTCTGTGCATTGGCTGAAACCATAGAATAAAGAAAATTAATAAAAGCAGCTGTAAACATCTCTTTGGTACCTACTTTGCTGAGTGTTTCCACAGGTACCATAAACTTCAGATTTTCAAAATCTGGACCTTGCTATTAGAAAGTGGCAATAGGCTAGGTGCAGTGGGTCATGCCTGTAGTCCCAGCACTTTGGGAGGCTGAGGCGGGTGGATCACCTGAGGTTGGGAGTTGAAGATCAGCCTGGCCAACATGGTAAAACCCCGTCTCTACTAAAATACAAAAGAATTAGCTGGGCATGGTAGTGTGTGTCTGTAATCCCAGCTACTGGGGAGGCTGAGGCAAGAGAAAATCGCTTGAACCCGGTGGGCGGAGATTGCAGTGAGTCGAGATCATGCCACTGCACTCCAGCCTGGGTGACAGAGCAGGACTTCATCTCAATAAATAAATAAATAAAGTGGCAATAATTCTTGGTAATGGTGAACACTGCAGAGCTGTATAGCAATTTGAATAAATGAAAACAGATTGGTAGCAAAATATGACTATAGAAGCAGAAAGAAGAAAGAGCAGTTAAATTGTTAATTCAGCTGAATTAGGAATTCTTAAGATATATTGGAATAAATTCTGTAAACAAGTTTTGCCACATAGTTATTCAAAGGGTACAAGAAAAATGTTGTGCTTTAGTTGCATACTTGACTGTCCAGGAAGGGCTTAAAAACCTTCATATACAAGGGCACCCACTGACATCAAGAGCTTTTAGCAGCTGACTACCCCATGTGCCTGTCTTACATTATACCTTCCTGAGGTTGCTTCAGTTCAAGCCAATCTGTTACTTCATCCGCTACAAGCTATGGTGGTTGCATTAAGCAGATTCCAGAATGTTGGATAATATAAAAGCCCTTTTGTAGGCTGAAGGTTGACAGGCAGAATATGGACTCTAGGTTATCAAGCGTTTAGGTTCATAATTTGCAAACTAAAATATGCAAAAGGAAAAATACCTTCTCTGTCTGCCATCTAATATTCATTAGAGAATTTTCCAATTTCCCACCCCCTTGTGAGGCCTACTGGTAATTTATTTCCAGTATGGCCTTATCTTGTCTTCACCTATTGAAAACATTGAACCTCTACTGTCATGTTGGTTGCAATTCCATCAATACTCAGTGTAGCTTAAAGTGGATTTTAATTTTTCATTAAATAAGCCTACAGAAAAGCATTGTGGGTCATTTTCCTTTGGCTGGTTTTGCCCACCACCTCTGACTCACTGCTTTGCCTTGCAACACCCATCAGCCCTTTGATATCCTTAGGTTTCTTGTGTTTCTTGAGAGTTGTGGAGCTTAAGAACTATGTCAGTCCTGTAGACATTAGCCCTAAGCTCTTTATCAGGGAGACTCTAAAGCTGGTGCATGCTCTGCCGTCTGTCTAAACAGCTCTCTAAAGACTGCACGGGAGAGCTCCTACCAGCATGAGCATGTGACATGGGCACCACATGGCCTGCTTGGGAGGATGTGTTGGCCCTTGATATGCAGTCTTCTTTGCATTTCTTTAGAATTTGCTGTTGGAGTGCATTGGCACAATCACAGCTCACTGCAGCCTTGACCTCTTTGGCTCAAGAGATTCTCCCAAGTAGCTGGCACTACAGGCACGTGCCACCGTGCCTGGCTTGTGTTTTTTAAATATTTTTTGTAGAGATGGGGGGTTTGCCTGTGTTATACAGGCTGGTCTTGAACTCCTGGGCTGAAGCAATCCTTCAGCCTGGGCTTCCCAAAGTGCTGGGATTACAGGCATGAGCCAACATGCCTGGCTGAATTTGCTGTTGGGATGTTGCACATACCTTTAATTGGCAACCTTCAGTTCCAGAGCTGTTCCTGCTCTGTAAATTACATAATCCCTCTGGTAGTACTCATTAATCAGCTGAGAGCAGTTTAAAAAGCCTGCCAATTAAGATATTCTTAAGTGGGGTGTCCCTGGGCTCTAGCTTCTTGTTGAGTCACCCTGATGTAAACTGATGAGCACCTCAGGGTCTTGAAGGTCTGTGGATCCTTTCTGAAATCAGAGAGCTCAGGGTTTACTAAGAGCAACCAAACTAAAAATACACCCCTGTATTGATGCTAGGAGATCTAAGGAACCTGCTAACTGGAAATGTTTCTGAATTGGCCATTGAGGCCAATTTATGGGGTATCTATGATAAGCTTTTAAGAATTCAAGATACCATTTAACATTTAATTTCTTCATTTTCTTTGGTCACTCATTTTATAAGTGTTTTCTTAGCACCAGTGAGATGCCAGGCACGGATGTAGGCACTGAGCCCCAAAGTGCATTATATATCTCCTCCCGAAGGGTATACATGGTCCATGGTCCTGAAAGATAACAGCGTTCAACAATGATGACAACAACCTGTGCTTGTGCTCAGGGCTACCAAGGAGGAATTCTCAGGGGCCAGGAGAGAAAGGAAAGCCCTCATTCTGCCTTGGGGTTCATGGAAAGGTGTTGACATTTTTTTCTTAAGGGATCACAGGGCAGGAAAACCTGGATCTGTAGAGGCAGTGATATTTGGATTGTGCCTTTATGGTTGAGTAGGAATTTCCCAGGTGGACATGGCTCTATGCAGATGAAACAGTGTTTCTGAAGGCCCAGAAAAGTTGTGGAGATTTGAAGGCCCACACAAAGTGTATTTTCACATGAGTTATGCTTATAAGAAAGAACACTCTTCCTTAAACTCTATGATTGTTTGATATTTGCTGTTTGTATTACTGCTCGATTCCTGCATTTTAAAACTTTGAATCTTGTTTTATGTATTTAAAAATATATGTCAACGGGCCAGGTGGGGTGCCTCATGCCTGTAATCCTAGCACTTTGGGAGGCCGAGGCGGGTGGATCGCTTGAGCTCCGGAGTTCCAGACCAGCCTCGGTAACATGGCGAAACCCTGACTCTAATCACAACAACAACAACAACGACCACCACCACCACCACAACCACCACCACGACAAAACAAAAAACAAAAATTAGCTGTGTGTGGTGGCACATGCCTATGTTCCCAGCTACTCGGGAGGCTGAGATGGGAGGATTGCTTGAGCCTGAGAGTTGGAGGTTGCAGTGAGCCGAGATCATGCCACTGCACTCCAGCTTGGGTGACAGAATGAGACCTCATCTCAAAATAAAATAAAATAAAATAATGTCAATGGGAAAGTAGATTTTCATGTAGTACAATTTTTCAGGAATCCATTTAATTTATAATTTGAGATTGGTATTTGTCACATCTACTTAAGCATATGAAAATAACTTACTCTGTGGTACATTCTAGGTATGTTTGATATAACAATCATTTAAGCTGATACCCTTTTTCTACCTTGTTGACAATTGGGTTGTGTGTAAATGTTTGGATTTGGTATGGTTGGGCACGAGTATGCTAAGTTACTAGTCCTCTCATTCCCGAATCTGGGTAACAGGCAGAATTTTGAAAGTGCAAATTGGATTCATGACAGCTGGCAAGAGAGGAGCAAAGAGAATTTGTTTCCCCTTTGGGATTTGATAACTGTTAATTCTTCATGACTTTGGCTTCTGCCAAACATATATTGTACTTTTCTCTGATAGGAAATTCATATTGTTAAACTCTATGTGAACTCAAGGTATTAATGTAGAGTGCTTACTAGCAAAAATGACTTGCAAATGTCAGGTAAAATTAAATAACATGGCTTAATAAAATAAGCTTGTTTCCGAAAATCTGTTTTTCATATTTGTGAAAGAATGATCTGTCCTGTTATTTAAAGCAAGATATTGCCAGGACAGGGAAAAGAGACACTCTTTTATCAATTATCAAGGGAACCATTGATTTCACAAAGCCAATTAAAGTATTTCTGGAGGAACAAGTAAATATTAGTTTTAGAAGCATTTCTTTTTTTAAAAGAGGTTTGGTGGCTAGAATAAAGACTACTAAATAAGTAAGACATCCTATCTATTACCTACAGTTAGCTGCTGGGAATGCTGGTAGATTGCAAGTTCTCAAAGTTGTTAATTTCACAGAAAATGTGGAGAGTCAGCCTTCACTATTATATGGGTATAAACTATATGGGCAGACTTCATAGTCATTCAGAAAGAATTTTGACATCAGCCAGTGTCCCACGGTTTGAGTACATATTTGGGTAATAGTTATTGAAAAAGCAAGTCGAATACTGGGGACTTTCTATGTACAAATGCCATTGACAACCCCTGCTTTTTGTTGCGGACTTAGATGTGAATGACCCATTTGCCATGCCTTCTTGCCTGATGTAAATGACACCTGGGAGAAGGGGTTGAGGAGCTCTCTCTGATGGTCTACAGAAGGGCTCATGTGTCCAGTGCAATGATTGGAAATAGAACAGAAACAGGGAGCTGCAGAAGCTGCAATGGGCAGGATGGGCTGCTTCTGGAGCATGTGACCTCCTGGTTGGAAGACCCTTTAGGGAAAGCATATTAGACTGGTTATTGGTGGGAGTGGTTAGGAGGAATCTCTTGGGATCGTATTCTTATCTGGCCATGTTAATGTGATCTGTGATGCTCCAGAAATATCTTTTCTGACAGGATGGATGGAAGGTGACTCTAACTGTGATGGAATGATCTATAACGATCTATAATGAGATCTTTATTTAGCACTTGATCTTTCTTTAGAACCAACTCTCTCAGAAGAAGTCATAGTCAGGTTGTTACTGTGGGTGAAGTCTAAGGTCATTTTTCTTGGAGGCTATGATATCAAACTCAGGACAAAGACTGGCCCAGCCAAAATCTTTCTCAATAATTCTTTATGATTCTGTCATCTGCTAATGGCCTCACAGCTCTCCTTCCTCCTGGGAATACTGAATTCCGTAAACCTACTCACCAAATGCATAGGAGAGACTTTGCTCTTATTTATTTTAATTTTCAAATAGTCTGTCTTATATTTCTTTTCACTAATTTAAGGAGATGCTACCAAGGTATGGTTCACTGGAATTTGGTAAAAAGCCAGTGAAAGTTGAGAATGGAAGAGCAAACATATGTATAACTCAAGAACTTTCCAATTATTTTTCTTCTCAATAGACGTTAAGCTGCTCATCAATCTTTTTATACCCTGATTATATGGTTGAAGAAAATATAAATTCTATCCATTAACTTAGGACTTATTCTTTTCTCCTTTTAGTTGATATTTACTTCTTAATAGTTTTCTTTTGGATTAAAAAAGAAGTTCCACTATACTTTATTCTGCAGTCCTTATGTATTAGACCTAGGAATTTACATTTCATTCAGAGATCAGAGTTTTAATTTTTAAAACTTAATAAAATATTACTATTTTGATAAATAATATTTATATATATGAATGAGCAGACTATATATATTGTAGTTTCTTAACAAAAAAAAATTGTTACTATAAGGAACAACCTCCCTGGACTGTCATCCTTGCTGAATCTGACCCTGGCTGTCATGGAAGATGGTTGGTAGTCAGAGCTGACTTTTGGATGTGTCTGGCTCTTGAAGTTCTGACAGCAAAGCTTTGAAGTGGGGTTCCTGCCTCAGACCCCCCAAACAGCCTTGGTTATAGAACACACAGAACAACCAAGGATGTGTCTCCGTCGTGTTTTCATTAGGCTTCTGTGATGGTTAATTTTATATGTCAACTTGACTGGGTTAAGGGATACCCAGATAGCTGATAAAAAATTATTTCCGAGTGTATCTATGAGGGTGTTCTGGAAGAGATCAGTATTTGAATTAGTAGACAGGGTAAAGAAGATTGTTGTCATTGATACAGGTGGGGATTATCAACCTGTTGAGGGCTCAAATATTATGAAAAGGTAGAGGAAGGGTGAATTCACTCTTTCTTTTTGAGCTGGAACATCCAATCTTCTCCTGCCTTTGGACATCAGGACTCCTGATTCTCAGGCTTTGGATTCAGATTGATTTGTACCACTGGATTTCCTGAGTGGCCAGCTTGCAGACAGCAGGTGGTGGACTTCTTGGTCTCCATAATCACATGAGCTGATTCCTATAATAAATCCCTCTTGTATAACTCATATTTCTACTGCTTCTCTTTCTTTGGAGAACCCTAACTAATATAGCTTCTTCACTCAGGAGATTAAGAGTGATTATCGAGAGTGATTATCTTGTAACTTGAAAAACGACTTCCCATACTAAAAAATCTTTTTTTGCACAAACTTTTTATTATGGGAAAATTCAAATACTTATGTGCAACAGTAGAGTATAATGAACTCCCATGTTTCCAACAATTTGCTTTAACAACAATCAACTTGTGGACAATCTCATATTCTCTGTACCTCCAGTACCTCCTGTATTAGGTAATTTATACAGGTCTCAGGTAGTACTCCTGAGACTGGGTAATTTATAAACACAAGAAGTTTAATTGACTCACGGTTCTGCAGGTTGTACAGGAAGCATAGCAACTTCTGCTTCTGGAGGGGCCTCTGGAAGCTTCCAATCGTGGCAGAAGGCAAAGGGGGAGTGAGATATCTCACATGGCCAGAGCAGAAGGAAGAAGGGAAGTGGGGCAGGTACCACACACTTTTAAATAACCAGATCTCATGAGAACTCACTATCTCAAGGACAGTACCAAGGGGAAAATCTGTCCCCATGATCCAATCTCCTCCCACCGGGCCCCATTTCCAACACTGGGGGTTACAATTTGACATGAGATTTGAGCAGCAACACAGAAGCAACACATAGCACCTCCCCTCCAGGTTATTTTGAGGCAAATCCCAAGCATCATATTATTTTATCTAAACATATTTCTAAAGACATAGGCTCCCCATTTTAAATAAAAACACAATATTATCTCACTTTAATATTCCCTCAACATCACTAAGTATCCAGCGAGTGTTTACATTTCCTTGATTGTACTGTAATTTTTAACCTTTTATTTATTTGAAAAAGTATCAACTAAGACCCATATAGTGTGATTTGCTAACATGCCTCTTATGTCTTTTTTAATCTATATTTTCCCTTGCTCTTTACCTTTTAACCTTCAGGCCTCCCCCTAGTTTGTATTTTGCTGATGCTTCCCCAGATGTAGACACCTGTGGTGTCATTTAACATGTTCTTCTGTTACCTGGATTTCCTATGAGCTGGTATTAGATCCAAATGCTTAAATGGACTAAGGTTCACACTTTTCAGCAAGGTTATTTTACAGGTGGGGTTGGTTCTTCTGTGGGGGACGTAATGTCTGGTTTTTCTCTTTGTGTAGGAAAGGCAGGGTATGTGCTTGACACTCTCTTTACTCATCAGTTCTCAAAATAACAAATTGGTTTACTAGTCTTCTCCAAAGGCAGTCAGTGATTTTACAGTGTTCTTATGAAATTTTGGATGAAATCTATTTGGTATGTTTCCATCTGTTACAGTTAGTGTCCTTACTCATGCTCACCTTGTGCCATCCTTGACCAGTGGGGCCTCATAAGTTGATTTCTGAGTCCTTTGAAGCACTCTGGCTGTCTTTGATGGCTTCCTTGCTTTCCAGTGTGACGGTGCATTGAAGGGCCCTCTTCTACATACCCTGTTTCAGGCCCGGAGTCAGCCATTACTCTGGGATGTCCTGTTCCTTTGTTTTGGGAAACGATATTTGGAGCACCAAGAGACCCTGTTTCCACCATATTTATCATCATTCTTAGATTTATCTATGGAAAGACCTAGGATTTTTTGTTTTAAGCATAAAATGCATCAGGAGTTCCTCCTGGTGCTTCCTGTTTATTTAACTTAATTTAATTTATTGATATATAAGCGTTGTATAAATTTTGGGGTACATGTAATATTTTGATACCTGTATACAACGTGTAATGACCAAATCAGGGTAACTGGGACATCCATCGCCTCAAACATTTATCTTTTCTTTGTTTTGGGAACATTATAATTCTTCTCTTCTATTTTGAAACATTCAATAAATTATTAACTATAATTTTCCTACGGTACTTCCAAATACTAGAAGTTATTTCTTCTGAGTTTTTGTGCCCTTTAACCACCTTCTCTTCATCTCCCTTTCCCCTCTTCCCTTCCCAGCCTCTGGTTACCACCATTGTACTCTCTACCTTTGTGAATTCCGTGAGTGAGAACATGTGACATTTGTCTTTTGTGCCTGGCTTGCTTCACTTAATATAATGACCTCCAGTTCCATCTATGTTGCTGCAAATGACAGAATTTCATTCTTTTTTATGGGGGAATAATATTCCATTGTGTGTATACCACACTTATCCATTAATCTGTCGACGAACATTTAAGTTTATTCCATATTTTGGTTATTGTAAATAGTACTACAATAAACATGGGGGTGCAAGTATCTCTGATATACTGATCTCCTGTCTTTTGGATAAACACCCAGTGGTGCGGTTGCTGGATGAAATGGTAGTTCTGTCTTTAGTTTTTTGAGGAAGAGAATTACTTCCTTTAAACTTACATTTTATTGTATACAGAAGATCACGTATCCAGAATTTCTAGGACCTGCACTATTCCAGATTTAGAATATTTTTTAATTTTCTAATTAAAACAAAAAGCCCCATGACCCTGGGGAAGGAGGGAGGTGTGTAGTAGGTACAAAACAAATCAGTTGTGCACAAAATGTAATCTTTTCATATTTCTATTATGACCTAATTTTTACTGACTCTCCATTCTGGTGGATGTTAGAAACTAAATTTCTGTGAATTCATGGTCTTTCCCTTTTTCCCTGTGGCTTCATCCTCATCCTGGGGGCTACAGAGAGCCAAGACACCATAGGCACGAAGCTGCTGGGCCAGGGTCATTGTCAGGTGTTTGATGCTACATCTGCCTGCCCCACCCAACCTGCAAGGCTGACCCAGTGAAGGCAAAGTCGCAGCAGGCTGCATCCTGCATGGACATTGGGGCTCAGGGGGCCCAAGGCATCACATGCAGACATTCCTCCCATTGCTATACTGAGTGAGGCATGAGAAAACTTTGAGGTCTTGCTCCTTGTTCACAAACTTCATACATGGAAAAGGACCTCTCATTCTCTGGACCTACCTGGAATTCTCTTGTGAACCCCCGGTCTTGGTCTTGGAGACAGGGCAAGGATCTTCTCTCTCAGGACTCTCATTGATGTCTTAACTGTTTTCTTCCCCTTGGATTCTTGTGTTCCCTTCTCCCAGAACAGAGAACGGCACTGGCAGCACACAGAAGGGATGTCCTATCTGGGACAAGACAATCTGGCTCATAGCTCATAATTCATTTTTATCCCCAATCTTGTTTGTTGTATAAATCTGATGCCCTGAGGGTTTATTTTTGTGTGTGTATGGTTGCAGAGAGCAGCCACAATATAGATGTAAACATGGCAATGTGGATAGATTATTATTAATAATTTATGATTAATTAGTTAAACATACACATAATGGCTCTGGATATTTTACAAGGACATATGCATATTTAGGGATAAACAGACCCTCCAGAGTGGGTTACCTGCAGGGCTCTAGGGAATGGAGTGGGGATTACAGATCAAAGGGGAAAAAATAAAACCAGAGAGGAGTTTTGCACAGGCTGATGCTAGCAATAAACAGCTAAGAACTGAGAAGCAGGATTCACTTGATTTCTCTGCCTGGGACCCTGAGAAATAAACAAACTGGGCTTTATTTCCTGAAGGATTTAGAACGTGGGCGATTCAAGCTTAAAATCTTAGTCTCTGGAAAGATGAAGACTGTGATTCTGAACAAGGAAAGCCATATTCAAAGTTTCATTCAAGTCTTTTTTTTTCTCATTTTCCTACTGTAATGTACCTTCCCTGACTCAATGACTGCATATTACTGACTCTGAGTTGGGGAAGGCAGGGAGAATTTCCATCGTTCTCGGAAATGCAAGGGGAAACCCTCAGTTAACATTGCAGAGTTTTAGTTCATTGGATTCCCTTCTCCAGTGTCTTTGCTGAAAAGCTTTACCTACCATTTGGATGTCCCCATCTTTCTTTAGAGCACTTGCCATTGCTTGCGTGGTTTGGGTGATTGTGATTCTGGATCTCTTACTGTATGTGTCATTAAACAATAGGGTCTCTTGGAATAAATTAATTCCCATTTTCTCTCTATCTGGGAGATTCTCCAAAGCAGTGGAGAAACACACTTGTGGGACAAAGAGATTCATTCGAGGTGTAACACATCATCTGTAACATTTTTCATGAATTCTCCTGGGAAATAGTTCCATGGAGTCTTACAGAAGACATTTTAGCCCTTTGCCAGCACTCCTGAGCATGTCTGCAATCTTGGACAATCGGTCCATTCTCAGAATAAGAGGTTAAGTGAGCGGAAAATATTAGACATCTTACATGTCAGCCATTAAACAAGAAGCCTTTAACTGTGCACTGAGAGTCCCTGGACACCATCCTTTTTACAAAACCTTTGCATTTCAGGGCCAATCACTGATATTTTCATTTCTATCCAAGAATGGGCAAAAGAGGGTACAAATGTGGTGTTCCAGCTTCTATATCCAGCCTTCTCATGCATGGTTTAAGACTTCACTCCGTGGGGTGGAAGATTCCTTTCCATCTCCACACAGCTGGTATCTTTTTTTCTCTACTGGCCTTTGCCTTATCTCTGTGGGCCCCAAGCTAGAATAACTGTGTACCTTCTAGCCATCCAGAAATCACAGGCCAGGCAGTTGCTACACTTGCTTCTCTCAACCCTGCTGAGTCCTATATGCTGTTAATTCCTCTCCTTTTGTCAGGTGGCGGGGGTGTTGGCGGCGGGGGCTTCATTATATATGTTTTTGGTTACGTGTTTTCCCTTCTCTCTTACTTTCTGTTTCTGTTAGGCTCTTGGATCCTCTCTCTGTTCCTTTGGTTCCTTTGACTTTCATTCTACATTTTCTTCTAGACTGCATTCTTATTACCTAGGGTGGAAACTGGAACTGAATGGACAGACTCATGCAAACTTCTGGAGTTTTCCATGTTAGTAAAATGCTCTGGCTTGAAACCCGGGAATCCTGGTGACCCTGCTGCCTCCTTGCCTGCCGCAGCTCCCACCTCTGCCCCACTCTGTGCATGGCACACGCCTATCCATCATGCTACTGCCTAAGCAACTCTTGCAGTTCCCCACCCCTGCCCCTGCCTCATCAAGCCTCCTCCCTCTCTTGCCATGAACACACTTGTCCTAGGCCATCCCTTCCTATCCTGCTGCCAGAGTGATCTTTAAAAACCCAGCCCTTGATTCCTCTACTTATGGCCACTTAGTGGCTTCTCACTGCCTTTAGAATAAACAACAGGTGTGGTTTATCAGGCCTTAGTCGCCTGATCCGGCCCTTGCCGGCCTCTCCTGCCTCTTTGTCCACCCTTCTCTTCTAAGCCCTCTCCTCTAGATAACTATGCCCCACTCCTCAGAGTTCCTCGCCACACTCTTTTCCGCTTCCTGACTGTTGGCTCTGTTTGAGGTGTCTGCTTTCTCTTTGCCTTGTTGACACCTGTCCTATCTCAGCACGACTCCCTGCACCGGGTTGGTCTCCCGGTATGTGCTCCCATAGCATTCTGTACTTCTCCTTGCAAGTATTTCATGATTTAGAATCACCTTGCCAGTGCTAACTTTCCCTTTAGACCCCTGGTTCATCAAGGAGCTGAGCTGGTTTATTTGGATCCCTACTGTACTCTTCTTGGTACTTGGAAGACAAAAATGTCTCAAAAAATACTTGTTGGCTGGATGCTTTTCCTAGGTTGATTAGTTGCTTATGCAAAGTTCAATGCTCTTGAATAGTGCTAAGAAAATTCACCTTTGAAACACAACCACTGTGGGCCCAAGTTAATTCCCAATTCCTTGCCATGCCTATAAATACTACATTTTGGGTGAACTAAGACATTGTCTAATTCAGCACAAGACTGTCTAATGTCTGTGTTCCAATGATTTCCTTATGTCTCATGTGTTTCCTTTGCGCCGTGTCTGAGCTTCAGTCCTACAGGAATGATTTCTCATCTGTTTCTTGTACTAGATAACACCATATTAGTCTTGAATGAATGTGACAAAGTTCTAGCCAAATTCATCATCCTAGTAGAAGTCAATGCCCAGGATTTCAATCAAGTGGAAAAAAAGAGATAAATAAGGTACTTGGAATTTATTTATGAATTGTGTGCTCCCAAAGTTACAGCCTACAAGGGCTGAAAAATAACGAGGCTGCCATTTCTTGCTTCTTAGGAATATGTCCAAGCCAGTTCTATCTTCTCTAGACAATAGTGACAGAGACATTCCATAGATGAAAAGTTCTTTTTATCATGGGGATCAAGAGGCAGGAATGTTCTAGTAAATGGTACCGCTAACCACTTCAGCTCAAGCCAAAAAGTGGCTGTTCTCCTTGATTTCCTTCTCTCCCTCAAAACCTCTACTCAAGCTGTTAGTGATCCTTTTGCTTCAGCCTCCAAAACATTGCAAATCTGTATATACTTCTCTGATCTCTACCATCTCTTTTTCCCATAGCTCTAGGCTTCTACTCTTGTCCTAAAATGCATCTACAGGCAGCCAGAGTGAGTCTTAACAAGCATAATCAGATGATATCATTCCATTGCTTATAGCCTTCCAATAATTTTCAATAATGTAAGAAAAAATAGGGATGTATTACTCTGGCCTATATAGCAAATGCCCCCTCCTTCGAGAGAGATTTATGAGATGCCCTTTTGTAAAGCAACAGCTCCCAACCAGATCTATCTCTTATTCCCACCTGATGTTATACTAGGTATTTATTTGATTATTTGTGTTTTGGTTTCACCCACCAGAATATCAACTCCACGTGGGAAAGGACTTTGAAGATCTTGTTCAATGTTGCAAATGCAGCATTTATAGGAGTGTCTGGTGCAAAGTTGGTACTTGATAAAAATTTTGTTGGCTGAATGTGTGAAACAAGCAAATAAATGGGACTCAGTCTTCCTTGTGTCCCTTCCCCTTAATTTCCCTGCAAAGACAATTTCCCTTAAGTCAAAAGGAAAAGTGGCATAGAGCAGTTATAATCAAGCTATTACTATGGTGTGTTGTTTTCTTGTTATCTGCCTTGGCTTGTGGAGAACCCAGTGACCTAAGCTCAGTATACCTTTTGCACCGAGTCAATGAAATGATAATTCACCCAGACCTCCTTCTGCTCTAGCTACCTAGCAATCAATGCAGGACTGCGCTTCCTGGCTGGCACCTGTCAGGCACAGGGGCTCATTTCCCTCTGTGGAGCTGCTGAGTAGAGCTATTTGTCCTTCCCAGGGTGCTAAGCCCTCATTAGCAGCTTGTAAACTTTCCCTTGCTCTTCAAGACTGGCTCTTTAGTAAACAGTGGGGCATTTAGTAAGGCCTTTGGAGAAATAAGCCACAGTTTTGCAAATGTGCATATTGAAAGAATCTGGAATAAAAGCTTACTTCTAGTGATGAAAATAGTGTGTTTCTTTGTAGACAAAGTCACCAGGCTTCAATTAGGTGTTTTTGAAGCATTTTTCTGTTTTTTTTACCCCATGAATTATCCTGGAGGTCTAATTTCAGGATTAATTTCCATAAGCCTCAGCTTTTACTTGCTGTTTTTGGGGCATACGGAGCCAGTGAGAACTCTTCCTTTTAGCAGTTTCAGTTGATATATAACACAATACAGAAAAGTGGCCATGGATATATCCTAAGTGTACAGCTTGATGAAGTTTACATTCTGTTGTTGATGGGCATTTTGATAGTTTGACCATTATGAATAGAAGCTCTACTTTTTTTCCTCTCTCCCCATTCCCTCACGTCTTCTCTCCCTCCTTCCCTATCTTTCCCCTTTCTTCCTTTTCCCCACCTTCCCTTCCTAGTTCCTTCCTCTTTTCCTTCTTTTTTTCTTCCTTATCTCCATTTCTTCTTCTTTTCCTTCTCCTTCTGGTACTCCTCTTCCTTTTTCCTCTTCTTCTCCTTCTTTTTCTTCTTTTTTAAAATGGAGATTGTCTACCGAAAGTCCACCCAGGTGGGCACTAGTGTGATGCTGATAACCCCACACTAGTGGGGTTATCACCATCACACTTAACCCCCTTTCTGGGGATAAGCCTGGTTACACATCAGAAGGTCTTTACTCAGCATCTACCCTGGTTGCTGCTTCTCCTCTGCAACAACCTAGTGTTTTCCTTGGGCTGGACTTAGGTGTCATTTTGATGCCCTGTTTCCTATCTACCAAGACTTGAAGGAGCTTTTGGAATCAGAGATGGGTTATGGGATGGGCCAGCTGGGTAGCTGCCCAGGGCACTGAGCTATAAAGATGAGTTTAAACATCTCCGTAATCGGTGCACCAGAGAACTCAGGTTTTTCTTATTGCAACTACTACCACCATGGAAATATAACTTTGTCCACCAAAGACAGCACCCTCCAGTGGAAATTCTCAAAAACCTCTCCCCACTTTCCTAGACCTTTATCTTCGAGGCTTATTGCCATGGGAATATCATGGCATTTTATGTCAGACAGTTCTAGACATTTTCTCCAAGTCTTGAGATGTCATGGTTGGGCTCACTAAGAGGGCAGACCTTGGCATGCAGCACGTTCACTGGGGAGAGTCCTCGGGCTGGAAGCAACACCTGTTGGATGGGGGCAGGAGTGGGCAGGAAAGAAGTTGAGTTGCAGCCTCAGTCAGCCCCACAGGGGACTCTGGAGCTCAAATGAACCTCAGAGTTCTGACTGGAGCTAAGATGGCCAGGCTTTTATACTCCTTCCCAATCAATCAGGAAGGGCATGACTGAGGCCTCTGAGGCCACTCCTGCAGGCCCTGGGAACTGAAGGCTTCTGTGGACACTGACTGCAGCTGGGGCTACTAGTCCTTTATTGAAGGGGATCTGAGGTGGGTGCATCCCAGCATCCACTCCAAATGCACAGCTTTCCGGTTGTTCACATGATGCCTTAAGGAGATAGATACTGTGTTTATTTACAGAGATGAGTGCAAAGCCACTCATTGAATCTGCAGTATGTTCTTTGTTCAGCACTTCATACACACAATCTCATCTCATCTTTTCAACAACCTTACAAGTTGACTGTCTCCAGTGTATAGAGGAGGAAGAAATGCAGTCCTACTTAGAGCAATTAAGAAACTTCTCATGGTAGGCCACTTAGTAAATTGTGAAGATTGGTATTAAACCTTATATTGTCTGAATATAAAACCTATGTTCTTATCCATTGCACCTGAATGTAGTCAACCCCCAGGACAGCAGTTGATAAACTCTTTCTGTAAAGGGCCAGATTGTAACTATTTTTGCTTTTGTGGACCATATGGTCTCAGTCTCAACTTCTTAACTTTGCTCTTGTGGTGTGGTATGGAAGCAAACTGACTTCTGTGTGCCAATAAAACTTTATTTACAAAAAGCAGGTGGCTGGCTGGACTTGGCCCATGGGCTGCAGTTTACCAGCCCCTACTCTATGAAGTCAGTGGATTGAGCAATTGTCATGGAGTTCTCACTCCTCACTTCTAAGCATGCTTCCTAGTAATGTGGAGGGCTTGTTAAAAAACACACAGCTCAACCCCATCTCCAGAGGTTTGATTCAGTGGGCCTGGGGTGGGGCCTTAGAACTTGTAGTTTCAAAAGTTTCCAGGTGGAGCTGATGCTGTTGGTCCTAGATCCACACTTTGAGAACCACAGGCTTAGGCTAACAGTCATTAAATGGAGGCAATAATGACATCCTTAAAGAAATGTCCTTAAATTATCCTTCAGTCAAACAGTGGTGCACAGTCATATTCTGAGTGTGTAACTAAAGGACATACTGCTTAAATGGATTCCTTTCTTTGGGTCTCTGACAGAGGAGGAGCTTGCACTCTTTTACATTTGAGGAATATAAATTGTAATTTGAGGAACATCAGGAATGACCTCTCCAAAATGTTTTCTGTAATCTACTATTAATGTATGAATTTTCAATAGGGTTGGTGGCAAGGAGCCTCTCCTCCAGGAATGCAAATTCTTTTCTTTTGAAATGCCAGTATCTTAGATGGAGAGAAACTTGAGGTGGAAGTGTGATGGGTAGGGAACTATAAGGTTTGGAGGTGAGAGACTGCTTACTAGTTTAGTGGCCATGGACAAGCTTTTTCCTTTCTGAGCTGCGGTTTCCTTATCTGTAAAATGGGAATGATGTTTATCACTTCATGGGTTGTTGTGAAAATAAAATGAAATATAATGAGATAATGCATCTGAAAATACTCTATCTGTTCATGTATTTGCTCAAATCGATTTTATTAAATAGTTTCTCTTGGGACAGGAATACTGAGGATGGCAGAATATGGCAGTATCTGGAGAGAGTGCTGTGTGCTGAGGGCAAAGAAAAGGCAAGATAAAAGGGGGTTACTGAGAACATACTACTTACTTTATATTATCTAAAACATAATGCAGGCTGGGCGTGGTGACTTGTCTGTAATCTTATACTTCAGGAGGTTGAGGTAGGAGGCTGGCTTGAGATCAGCATTTCAAGACCACGCTGGGCTATTGCCCAGATAGCGAGACCCTATCTCTAAATAAATAAATAAATAAAACATAATGCAGAATGATGCTTAGATTAGCCTTTGTTAAAAACAAACTGGGTGTATCAGTTAGTATTTGCTGCATAAGAAACAATCCCAAAATCAAATGGCTTCAAACAACAACCATTTGGTTAGCTTATGATTCTGCTAGGTGGTTCTTTTGGTCTGATTTGAGCTCAGCTGATGTTGGCTGGGCTTGCTTGTGAGTGTGTGGTCATTTTGTGGGTCAGCTTGTGCTGGCCAGTCCCAGTAGCTTCATTCACTCGATTGGTAGTTGGTTGGTTAGAGGCTGAGGTGAGGGAGTGACTGCCAAAGGTCTCTCATCTTTCAGTAAGCTATTAGGGGCTTGTTCAGGTGGTGGCAGGATTGTTAAAGCATCAGACAGTATCTACAAGACCTCTAGAGGACAAAGCTGAGAAGTTCCCATGAGAAGTGGCCAAATAGCACTTCTGCTGCCTTTTATTTGCGAGAGCAAGACACACGGCTAGATTAAAGAGACAGGGAAATAGACTCAGTCTCTTGATGGGAACAGATACAAAGTATATTGACCATATTGCAGTCTACTAAACCAAACACAAGCTCATGATATTCCCAAGTACTTTTCTGGTTTTAGAGTTTACTGCTTCCAGCTTTTGTTATTTGAATGAAAAAACTCAAAATGAACTCATAATTGCTCAGATTCTCAGGGAAATAAGCACACCACACACATCACAATATTCTTATTCTTATTTGCAGAAAAAAATATAAAATCTCTCCCCAAATTTGCATAATTCTCAAGTAAGAAGTAGTAATGACCCTTTTTTTTAAAAAAAACCTCAGGTATAAAAGAAGAGCATTTTAGATAATTAGAATGTCAAAGAATTTGAGAACAAAATTCATATTTATTTATTTATTTAATTTGGGGTCATGTAGAGAGAAGATACAGAAAACTGTGCCTTAAGAGGTGTGGATGGAGGAAAGAGCAAATACGATGAACCACATATAAAAGTTCCTTGAGCTAATTCTGAAACCTGAAGAATGAAACAAAAATGTTGGATGTCTTTGAAAACAAAACCAAACCTTAATATTGATATTTGACTTGAAACTAGAAGGTTAGCTCAGGGCTTTATCTCTAATATACATAACCTTTAAGAGGGTTTCTATCTCTGTGACTGTCTTTTTACATATTGGAATTGAGAAGGTTTTCAGGAAACTGTGGCCCAGAGAGACTCTGAATTGTTTCAGAAAACCCAGTCAGTGGCAGACTCAGGGCTAGAAGCTACATAACCAAGTCTAAAATCCAAGATGTTTCCATTACTCCATACTGTTCTCATCACAGATGTTCTGTTCAGAGGCCTCAACCTCCAGGGGAAATACCCACAGAGCTTAGCGAGGGAGTTGGTTGCAATGCTACAAAAAGTCAGTCATTCCCATCAGAATGGGGAAGTTGTATGTGTGAGGGCATCCTCTGTTCTTCCTATTTGAAAAGGCAGCCGGGTCTTTCAAGGCATTTTGAGGATGTGTTAATATTGCTGCTTGCCTCATTTTTGGTTGGGCATGTCTACATTACCTAGTAAGTAGGTGACAACATTTTCCTTGGTGGAAAGTGTACTAGCTAATGATATTTTTCCTATGCACTCATCAACAACACTGTCCCCATCCAAGACATGGCTGTGAGTTAGCACATGTTCCATCTGCTGGGGCACGGTCAGCTTTCCCAGTCACCCCATGTTGATGTTAAGCTACTGAAACTGCTCTTTGTGTTACTGGGTGACTATTAACCATATTTGACAAAAAGAATGTTTTCCATGTTCTGGTAAGGAAATCCTCTGTCAAGATAAACAGCCCTTTCCCTCCTCTCCTCTAACCTGGCTCTTGCCAGGAATGTCTAAATAGGTCCTCTGTAGTCATTTTCTTTCAATATTTCACACTGGAGTTCAGTTATACACTCTGAGCCAGAAAAGTTAGCTTCTGCTAAAAGACATGGAACCTAAGGAATCGAGAGTTATTTTAGGCTCGAGTGTCCTGCTCCAGGCCTCTAAGACATTTTGTGTCTAGGGAAATGTCCTTTCTCTCTTCCTACCTTTTCTGTCATTTTCCTACGCAATTAATTTAATAAATGCATTTCCTATTTGAAGATTTGTTAATTTTTTTTTTATCCCAACATTTACCTGCTTAATTTTTCTGTTTCAAATGACTCTATGAAGTGTTCGGTTTACCAATGAGCTGAAATCAACACTTAGTCCATTATAATGCTATCAAACTGATATTTGGAAGTGACTAACATCCAAACTAGCTCCTTGTTTGAGACAGATCTTTTTGTCATGGTAAATAGATGATATTACCCTGGGGAGGCAGTGGAGCCCCGTGTTGCTGCTGGTGGATGGGTTGTAACTCTATAAATGCGTGGTGCTCCAGCTAATGTGAAAATTAATTTAGGGCTCATTCATGCGTCTTTGAGCTACCATTTCTATTCCATTTTTTTCCTACTTCCACTCCTTCCACTTGTGACTTTTCTTCTTCTTCACAGGTGCCATTGAGGTTAAATTTTTCTTTGAGACACACCAAAATAAAAAATGAGATGGTGGTGAGGAGTGTGCATTGGGGGGCGCACAGACAATGTTTTGCCTTAGATCAACACATCTGAGGAGTGAACTTGTCCTCAGATTCTTGTGTTCTGGGAAGGGCTAAGTTCTCTGTTGCTCTAGTGAGGTGTGCTTCTGTAGTGGGAATTGTACTGGAATGCTGAGAGTGGCTACAGGAGGTGACCTGAGTCTGATCAGGAGGAGAGTTTGGCTTCCCAGTCAGGAGTATCATGAAGCCTTAGAGTCCCATAGCGTTTCCCTGTGTGATTCTGCAGATCTTAGAAGCAGAGCCTTGAGACTATGGCAGTCTGGACCTGCTCTCAATCCTGCTGTTTTCCCATTGTATCCATGGAGGTCCAGTGTGTGTTTCTCTAAGGCACTGGAAAGCACAGGATTCGGAGCTATTGTCCTGGGCTGCCCAGAGTCATACCTTAATGTGCATGGTAAGCAAAGAAAACTTGGCTATTCAAAATTCAAGTTTTCCTTGAAAATAAATAACAAGGAATGGGGTGCAGAATGTTAAGACTGGAAGAGAAGAAGGAGGAGAATTGGTGCTGCCATCTCTCTTCTCATCTCATTTTCATTCCTTCATTTAACTTGACTGAGGACTTTTTTTGCAACAGAAACTGGCTGGATGGGCTTCAAGACTGGAGGCAACATCTCTCTACCTTGTCTCCACATTAACTCAGTTTAGATGTGTCTGTTACACATATGCACCACTAATTTATCATTAAAGTTATCATCATTATTTGCATCGGTCTTCTCCGTCCCCAACACTCTACTTTTGGGGCATTATCACGTTATACTTAGTTCTAGTTTAGACTGTTGAAACACATTTCTAATAGCCAAAGAAGCTGCAGGATAACAGAAAACCCAAAATAAGGGAGAGAAAATGGCCAAAACCCTGGTCAGGGTGACAGGTCCGTGTCTCTTCCAGGCAAATCCAAATAAGGGAGAAAGGGATTGGTAAACAGGGGTCCCTGAAATTCCCTCTTTTTCCAGAATATCTAATGATTATTCCATTTCCTAATTAAAGAAACACCCATAAAATAAGAATGCTGGGTGGTCACCAGAGAAGTGGGAAAATATCAAGCAGCAATTTCACACAGCAGCAAGAAAGGAGCTGTTAGAATTAGCTACAAGGACAAGGATGAGCTTGGGCTGATAAGACCCTCACAAGCAGGGTGAGGGCTAAGCTGGTTGAACCTGGCTAGATCCAACATGGCATTGGATTTGCCCGTATGCCCTACCTCATACCTAATTATATGCTCATTACCACACTAAATCACACACCCACTAGTGAACATGACCAAGGGCTGAGCATGCCCATATTTAGTATAAAAATGGGTGGTGACAGGGCACGGTGGCTCACTCCTGTAATCCCAGCACTGTGGGAGGCTGAGGAGGGCGGATCACCTGAGGTCAGGAGTTCGAGACCAGCCTGGCCAACCTGATGAAACCCTGTCTCTACTGAAAATACAAAAATTAAAAATTAGCCAGGCGTGGTGGCATGCACCTCTAATCCCAGCTACTCCGGAGGCTGAGGTAGAAGAATCACTTGAATCCTGGAGGCAGAGGTTGCTGTGAGCCGAGATGGCACCACTGCACTCCAAACAAACAAACAAACAAAAAAAGGGTGGGACCTCAATTCTAAAAAGTCCCCACCCTTTTCCTAGAAAATGTCGTGAATATTCCACCTCTAATTAGAAGAGCTCGTAAAATTAGAAATGTGAAACCCCACCTGTGTTGTGCGTGACTCAGTCTCCTGAGAACGCTTGCGCGCCCACTGTTGAGTGTGTACTTTCGCTTTGCAATAAAAGCTTCTTGCCTTTCATTCATTCTGACTCATCCCTGGATTCTTTCTCGCTGTGGTGTCAAGAACTGGGAACACCAAGTGGGGCCAGAGTCTCTTGTAGTAAGGTCTGCACTTCCTACAGTAAGATGGATGAATGATGATCTTGCATTCTCTGAGAGAGAGTATGCTGCTACCTGGCACATGGTTCACTTTGCATATGAAGCGAGCTTCTGTACAGCCATAGATGGACTCACTTTTTGCTGTGGTTTATGAGGGTTTACAAAGGTTTACAACATGTTAGTTGTAAGTGATGAAAACACAACTTAAAAAGCTAAGGCAAAAAGGAGAATGTGCTAAATGGATGTTGGGCTGCCTCATGGAACCCAAGGGTGAGATTGGGTCACTCCCAATCTGAGGAATGAACCTCAGAAATAATCCTCTCCTTCTCTGCCTTGGTTTATTCCTCCCTCTCTCGCTTCCTCCTGGACTTTAGCTTCTTCTTTTAGCTTCTTTGGTGCAAACTGTTGGAAATGGGAGAGAGCAGCATCTCTTTCTCAGTTTTAAATTTTCCAGGGAGCTGTTGTAGTTGGCCTGAAATGTGGCCACAAAGGTGCCTCACCTTGTATTCACAGGTGTAGTGGGGGAAGGGAGAAGAGTCCTCAGAAAGGAGATGAGGTCCCTACTGGAGGAGGTGCTGAGTGGACACAATGGGAGGAGTCCACTTCCTTGTATGCACTTTTTTCCACCACAGCAGACGTTCCATGTGAACGCTTGGCCATGGGAGGTTGGAAGCGCCATCTTCCTAGAGGGGTAAAGTGATTCTGAGGGGCCACTGGCTAATGGCTATTTTAGATATTGCCCATGACTGGTCATATTGTGTTTGATGATTGGTGATCTGCTTGGAATGAATGAATACAGGGACCCAGGAAGTGTAGCTGCACCTTGCAGGTGATGCTAGAAGGTGAGAAAATGTCACCAGATAAAAACTTAAAAGTGCAATGTGTAAAAAATAAGATGCATAACAGTGGAGGGTTTTGTGTGTGTGTGTGTGTGTGTGTGTGTGTGTGTGTGTGTGTGTGTGTGTGTTTAGGTAAAGCAATCAAAATTTAAGATGTCAAAACGATTTTGGATGATAAAGCAGCTGTTTGAGTATGACAAGTGGCCAGATGTACACAATGGGAACTATGCTTTAGATGAAAGAGAAACTTACCTTTTGTCCCTTATTGGTGCATTCATACATTTTGAAAATTTGTGTTGAGTGCCCACCATCGTAGGCATTCACGATGGTGAATAAGAGAATCCTAGACTCTGCCCTCTAGTTTTTAATTAAGTGGGGATTAGAGACATTAAAACATACAGAGACAGGTGTGAACAGGTAAGTAAAGGGAGCATGGGCACCTCTAACATGAACAGGCTGAGGGTCTTTAACTTGAAGGTTGAAGTTGGGAGTAGGTGTGCAGCAGATAAAGCAGGGAGGAAGGGAGGGGGTGTTCCAGGAAGTGGGAAGAGTTTGTTCCAGGCTCAGAAAGAAGAGCTCCTTTGAGAGCTGGAAGCAGTTTAGCTTTCTGGCAGTGGACAGAGGAAATGAGAGTGGCCAGGTGAGGCTGTGGCTGGCAGGGCAGTTCACAAGAGCCTTGCCATCCTTGCTAAGGATTCTGCTTTATCCCAAAGGCACTGGGAAGCTATTGAAGGATACTGTGCTGTTTTGATACTATGAATATTAGTAAACCAACATATTAGTTTTCTATGGTTGTCCTAATTATCATATACTTTGTGGCTTAAAACAGCATAGTTCTAGAGAGTCTAAGTCCAAACTGGGTCTCACTGGGCTAGGATCAAGGTGTTGGCAGTGCTGTGTTCTTTCAGGAAGCTCTACAGGAGGATACTTTTTCTTGTCTTTTCCAGCTTTTGCTGGCTGCTTGCATGTTTTAGCTTGTGCCCCCGTTCCATGAGGACGTGGACATCTTTGGGGGCTGTCTTCTGCAAGCCGCAGATACTAAGCACAGAGATGACAATCAGATTCATGTCTACTCCATGAAGATGGGAGCTACAGCTCTTTTGCTCACCACTATATACTGTACTTGGCATGGTGCCCTAACTTGTGATAGATACTTCATAAATATTTGTCGAATGAATAAGGGAAAGGATATTTAAGTACTTTTGGCTGCAGAGGGAAGAATGGGTAATTCAGGGACAAGAATGGATGCAGAGGGGCCAGTTAGAAAGTTATTGTGCAGAAGAGGAATCAGAGTTGGCTGGATGAGGTAATATCAGTGTGTGGATTTGAGAACACAGGAGACAGAATCAATGAGATTTGGAGGGGGATCAGATATGGGGTTGGTGATGCCCTGATGTTTAGCTGGAGCACCAAGAAAGGTGGTAATGTCTCTAACTGACCAGGAGAACTTGAAGGAAGAGCAGGTCTGGAGTGAGTTGACGAGCATAGGTTTGAATGCGCTGAGGTTGAAGTGCCCAAGTTTGAGATACCCAAGTGTCAGCTCCTCACAGGCAGTGGCATATGACTTGCAGGCCCAGGAGAGAGGTTGAGGCTGGAATTGAAGATCTGGAAGTCAACCCTGCATCTCAGCAGTTGTTCACGGAAGTCACAGACGTAGACATTGTCATGGAGAGGAAAAGCATAGTTGGGAAAGGTGAGAGAGCCTAGATTTTGTAAAACTGAATTGCAGTTTTACAAAATCTGCTTCTTATGCCAATATTGCTGATATGTGTGAAACTTAGGCTTGAAGAAGGATTATTGTTTTTGCCATTGTGTTTTTTCTTTTTTTTTTTCTTTTTTTGAGACAGAGTCTCACTCTGTCGCCCAGGCTGGAGTGCAGTGGCGTGATCTCAGCTCTCTGCAACCTCCGCCTCCTGGGTTCAAGTGATTCTCCTGCCTCAGCCTCGTGAGTAGCTGGGACTACAGGCACACGCCACCATGCCCAACTAATTTTTTTATTTTTAGTAGAGACAGGGTTTCACCATGTTGGCCAGGATGGTCTCGATCTCTTGACTTCGTGATCCACCCGCCTCGGCCTCCCAAAGTGCTGGGATTACAAGTGTGAGCCACCGTGCCCATCTGTCATTGTATTGTTTTTATAGACCTTTCTAATTAGGAATGAACCCTGGGGGTTAGGATGAAACAAAAAATCACATGTTTTTAGTAAATTCATTTAGAGATTGCTTGCATTTAAGTTCTTTGTATAAGATTTGGGATTTGGATCTAGTTAAGTGTGTATTTATCAAGTTTGAATGGGGAGTGTTGTAGGTGCTCCCAAACACTGTAATGTCCACATAGGCACTCCTGGGGGAGGGAGGAAACTGGGGACTGTGTCCATCTAAACTTTCTTTATTTCCTGGTTTACCTGCTTTTGAGCCAGAAGCTAGGGTCCCAGCCTGACTATCTTGAGGCCCAGTGAGAGTACTGAGCCTAAGAGTAGCAATTATGAAGGATGGAAAGGGCCAGGGAATTGCCTGAACCTAGTGACTTCACCTGGGAAAGGGAGGGAAGCCCAGTTCACAAATCTAAATGGGACAAATGAAGAGAGGGCTTTCAGGGCACTTGCATTTAAGAGTATAGATGATGTGGCCTGGTGCAGTGGCTCACGCCTGTAATCCCAGCACTTTGGGAGGCTGAGGCAGGTGGATCACCTGAGGTCAGGAGTTTGAGACCAGCCTGGCCAACATGGTGAAACCCCATCTCTACTAAAATACAAAAAAAATTAGCAGGGCATGATGGCACATGCCTGTAATCCCAGCTACTCGGGAGGCTGAGGAAGGAGAATCGCTTGAACCCAGGAGGCGGAGATTGCAGTGAGCCGAGATAGCGCCATTGCACTCCAGCCTGGGCAGCAAGAATGAAACTCTGTCTGAAGAAAAAAAAAAAAAAGGAGTATAGAGGAAGTGAATGACCTTAGAATAGTTAAAGAGCTTGAGAAAAGCCTGGGATACTTCAAGTTTTTCTGAGATCCTAGGTATAAAGAAATAAACAAAAGCCCAATTTTAAAAAAGATGAAGAAAAAAAAAAGCCAAAATAACCTTTCAAGCATTCTGGACTATCTGAGTTTACTTTTAACAAACACATTATTACTATTTTTGATATGGAGTCTCTGTCTGTCACCCAGGCTGGAGTGCAGTGGCACGATCTCAGCTCACTGCAACCTCTGCCTCCTGGGTTCAAACAATTCTCCTGCTTCAGCCTTCTGAGTAACAGGAATTACAGGTGCCCACCACCATGCCTGGGTAATTTTTGGTAGTTTTAGTAGATATGGGGTTTCACCATGTTGGCCAGGCTGGTCTTGGACTCCTGATCTCAAGTGATCCACCCAATGTGTTGAGATAACAGGTGTGAGCCACTGCACCTGACCCAAACAAATTCTTTTTAACCTAAAGACAAACTGTTCAACTCAGGATAATGGTGTTGGGCACAAGATATTTATAGGGTTTATAAAAACCAATTTATTGTGTATAACATGTGGTGTGGCCTGGTAATAACACAGGAAATCAAAGTTATATGATGAATATCATCATCTTTCAACTATGCGTGTCATCTATATATGTCATATAAGTGTCTTGAAAGTTAAAATTTGAGACCCTGTGATTGTGAGGTCAAGGTCAAATGGCTCTTCTGTGATAGCCCTTAGTGCATTCTATTCATTATTTAAAGGCCAATAAAGTGTTCTTTCCCTCACTTTAGCATAATCAAATGCCAGGAAATGAGCCCTACTGGGCGCTCAGCACACAAAGATAAATAAAACACAACCTCCACTGACAGGGCTCACAGATGACTGAGGAAACAGCCCATCACAACAGCTAACTCTGATTTGGATGATCTTTCTTGCTTTTGCTATCTTTCCATGAGTCTGCTGACTCAAAGCTTATTTCATCTCCTTTCCTTCTCCTTGCTCTTAAATTCTCTACTACTTTTTGAACAAAACTCATACAGCTTGTATTGCTCTCTCTTTTGATGAGAAAATAAATGAAACATTATTATAAATATTTGTTATAAAATAGTAAATGATTATAAACAATTTTAATGCAAAAAATGAGAAAATGCCTTACCTTTTGTTGCAGGCTGTAGAGTACATGGCCTTATGCCTTGCACACTCAACAGAAACGGTCGTGCTGATGGCTATTTTCTGATGTTATGGTTCCTTTTCGACTCCTACATGGCAATAGTTTAAAATGACGTGCACAACCTGCTACCTGTTCCCCAGAGTTGTCTTTCCTTTCTTCCTTTTGGTAATAGAAACTCTATCCTTCAGGTGGCAATGGCTGCTCAGAGAGAAACTGCATTTTCCCGCCTCCTTTGCAGCTAGGTGTGGTGGTCAGAGTAAATTCAGGACAATGAGATATCAGAAAAAGCCATTCCTGGAGCTTTTATGTTGCACCCTAAAACAGAAGCTTCTAGTTAGCTATTATTGCTCTTATTGTCTCTACTTTTGGCAATCTAGGAGAAAAAATTTTACCCCTCTCTGACTCCCAGGGAAGGAGTGCATATATACATATGATCATATCTCTTATCTCCCTCTGTTGTAAGAGACTTCTCTATCTACCAGGCTTCCTGTGGAGCTCATTGAAGTCTTATTCATATTTGCCTCTCTAGTTGTGAGTATACTTGGCACATTAGACTGTCCTATAATGTTTATGAATTAATCAAGGAATACCCTGTACTGTATCATGTTGATTGGTGTCATCTTTCAAAATATTGCAAGAATCATAAGAAAGTATCTTATCTTCGCTAGCATGGTGGCTCATGCCTGTAATCTCAGCACTTTGGGAGGCCAAGGTGAAAGGATCACTTGAGCCCAGGAGTTTGAGGCTGCAGTGTGTGATGATTGTGCCACTCCACTCCAGCCTGGGAGGTGGAGCATAACCCTGTTTCTTTAAAAAAAAAAAAAAAAAAAGTATTTTATCTATTTTTGCCAGTAACTCAAAATTGTTGATAGCAATTGATTATATTTCAATAATTAGCCCTTCCCCACATCCCACTCCATGCCATACGCATTGAAGAATGGACTTCATGTTTCTACCATCCATGAAACATCCAAATATCTAGACATCAGTGACAACCTTTTGTATTCGGCAACTATTCATTAGTGTATGACCATATTCTTCTGCCAATGTTAAATGCACATTTTAGATAATTTGGTAGGTACTTTATAGGAAATTCAGCTTTTCTGAGAAGAAGTGGGTCAGATATGTTCCTTTAAACAAAGGTGATTAGTTTGTGACTGGGAAGAAGATGTCATATTTTAAAGGGATGCTTTGTTTATGGAATTACCGTCAGAATGAAGTAACATTTTGGAGCATCTCTGGGTGACGTGACCCAAAGGAACCACACTGGACACTGCTAGGAGCCATCAATGCCATCTTCCATTTTCTGAACTACTGCAATTTTCCCTGATTTGGGAACCTCAGGCTAATTTTGTTTGGGCTCTGAAAACTGTCTTGGGACACCCTCCATCAGTTGCTATTTATGTGGTAGGAGCATAAACAGAAAGGCCCCTTTTCTCCCCTGAGGCGGGGTGGAAAGAAGAAACAAGGCTCTTGTACTGAAGTGTCACCACGCGCAGCAATCGCTAATCATGGTGGAAATAACGTGGTCTTTTCCTTCCCCCTCATTGCTTTTATATAAACAGCCAAACACAGTGAATCAATTTTTCAAACAAACTTGTAAAATCAGAAAATACAACGACCTTTAACAGTTGGTAGCATGAATTATCAGGGCCTACAAAGAGGTTTTTAACCATTGAAACATGTTGGCAACAGGACAAATGAGTTTTTTTCACCTTCCAACCTGTTAAAAATAGCTTTTATAAACTCTTAACTCCCTCTGATGGTGAGCTTACCATTAATCACCTTTATGACATCTTATATTTAGGCCACGGATAAATCCATGGGTCCTAATCGACCACTTTCCTGAGGAAATTGGCCAAATCCCGACTGGAGGGGGGGATGAATCACAACCACCCTGCTATTCAGACAAATCTCTTTTCAAGTGCTCTTAAAGCCTTTTTTTTTTTCATACACCAGTGAAGACAGCCACACAGGAAACAATAATAGTTTAATCTCTTGAAAAATTTCCTTCCTGCATTGCATTGCTTTCAGACAGGTAGTCAGAGCCAGCCAAGGAAAATTAGCAGTAGCTCCTGCCAAGAGCAGGCTGCTACTTGAGCCTGTTCGTTTCACCGCCTTCCTCTTCCCCGGCTGCAGCCAGGAGCCTACTTGCGCTCCCCAGGACGCTCTCTCCTCCATGGGCCCCCAATGGGTGTTCTTCTGTTCAGAGGTGACCTTAGTGACATTAGGAAAGAGAGAACAACAAGGCGAAGAGCTGCTTGGTGACTCACTGCATGGCTAGACATTTTTAAAGCCTCTTCTTCCTTCTCCTCCTGGAGTTCTCTGGAGCTTCCAGTAGGGAGGACAGTGTGTTATCTGGAGAAACACATCTGGCTCTTGAAAAAATGCAGTTCCTTGCAGCTGGAGCCATTGTAAAGTTGTGTCTCTCCTTTGCTCATGGAAGGCTCCCGTCTGAGTGGTGAGCAATGCAGCCTAGTCGCAAGACCTCTGGGAGTATTTTCATTTGAACAGGGCTCTAAAGAATCAGCTGTTTCTGAGATTTGTGAGATACACAGGTCCACCGGCTTTACCCTTGGCAGGCAGTGCAGGACACCAGCCTTTAAAGTTGCTCAACAATTCTTTGCAGATTTCGTGAGACCCATCATAGACATTATTCCTTAGAGGTTAGGCTGCATTTTTCATGAAGGCCTCAAGCTGCCTCAAAGGAGTTTCTTCTAACAGCAAACTTACTCAACTGTGGACAAAAACAGTCTCAGCTTCCCCACAGGCCACTGACCACAGGCTCGGCTTCCTGGATTGCCCATGCCCATCTGTCCTCTTGACCCCATGGCTACTGTCTTCTCTAACCGTCGACCACATGCAGGCTTCTGCTGTAACACACAAGCCAATGCTTCAGCTCAGAGTTCTGGCTTCTCTTCCAACAGTGTTTTTATTTTTTCCCTTGGCTTTGTAATTTCATGAACAACTTGCAGAGCCCGGACAAAGTTAGTTGCATTTCCATCTCTTGTGTATTTCTCCCTTCCTATGTGTGTGGTATGTATAAAGAAAAAGTAATCTGTTTTATAGAGACTAGAATGAGGAGGGTGGGGGAAGATTCACTGGCCAAACTTCTGATTGGCATAAAAGAAAATGAACAAAATTAGTTATTATAAAAATAGCCCCTCAGAGCCACCCACGGTGTCTGGGAATTCTCTGGAGCTGTTCCCATGCATTTTTAGGCCAAGCAGAAAGTAGATGAAATAGCGCCTGTTTTCATCTCCTTTTCCCTCTATTATCAAGGATAACTGAAAAGTAAGCTCTGTAGTATTTTCCTTAGACAAGTGCGTTAGCTAGCCAGGAATATTTTCACAGCAGTCCAAGTAAGAACATCAGCAATCCATATTCACATAGGAGCTGAGGAAGAGCCCACCCTGTTGTGAAGGAATAGCAAAAGCCTTGAAGATGTTCATCATGGTGTTATTTATCATGTCAATAAATTATTAATGACCTCTTTCCAGCAATAAGGAAGTGCTAAAATCATTGTCTAACATCCATATAATGGACACCATTCACAGCTATGAAAAGACACATTTCCTTTTTTAATTTTTATTTTAGGTTTGGGGGCACATGTGAAGGTTTGTTACATAGGTAAACGTGTCATGGGGGTTGGTTGTACCTATTATTGTGTCACCCAGGTATTAAGCCCAGTACCCAATAGTTATCTTTTCTGCTCCTGTTCCTCATCACACCCTCCCCCTCAAGTAGACCCCAGTGTCTGTTATTTCCTTCTCTGTATTCACAAGTTCTTGTCATTTAGCTCCCACTTACAAGTGAGAACATGCAGTATTTGCTTTTCTGTTCTGTGTTGGTTTGCTAAGGATAATAGCCTCCAGCTCCATCCATGTTCCTGCGAAAGACATGATCTCATTCTTTTTTATGTCTGCATAATATTCCATGGTGGATATGTACCACATTTTCTTTATCCAGTCTGTTATTGACAGGCATTTAGGTTGATTCCATGTTTGCTATTGTGAACAGTGCTGCAGTGAACATTGGCATGCATGTGTCTTTATGGTAGAATGCTTTATATTCCTCTGGGTGTATTCCCAGTAATGGGATTGCTGGGTTGAATGGTAGTTCCACTTTTAGCTCTTTGAGGAATCACCATACTGCTTTCTACAATGGTTGAACTAATTTAAATTACCAACAGCAGTGTATAAGGTTCCGTTTTTTCCACAACCTCGCCAAGATCTGTTATTTTTTTGGAAAAGTCACATTTTTCAAAGAAAGCTAAATTAATGGCAGATACTCTTATACTAAGTGAAAGAAAAGTAGGATGTACTGTTTATACTATTTTCCAATTTAAGTGTATTTATTGGAGAAAAAACTTCCGGTTAATGAAATTGTGAGTGATTTTAATTTCATTTTTATAACTTTCTATTAATAATTTCTAAAATGTTTTTAATGCAAGATGTTTTTAAGTAGTCATATAGGCATTATTTCTGACTGTATCACTACAACCAATTTCACTTTTCTGGAGCCTTGAATTTCTCTTGAATTGTCTTCGTTTCTCATGACTTTGTCCATGGAAGTCTATGTAATATTTTTTTTTTCTTTGAGACGGAGTCTTGCTCTGTCACCCAGGCTGGAGTACAGTGGCATGATCTGCGCTCACTGCAAGCTCCGCCCGTGGGTTCATGCCATTCTTCTGCGTTAGCCGCCCGAGTAGCTGGGATTACAGGCGCCCACCATCACGCCTGGCTAATTTTTCAAAATTTTTAGTAGAGACGGGGTTTCACCGTGTTAGCCAGGATGGTCTCGATCTCCTGACCTTGTGATCCACCTGCCTTGGCCTCCCAAAGTGCTGGGATTACAGGTGTCAGCCACCGTGCCTGGCCTTATTTTTTATTTTTTATTTATTTATTTATTTTTGAGATGGAGTCTCACTCTGTCACCCGGGCTGGAGTGCAGTGGTGTTATCTCAGCTTCCTGCAACCTCCGCCTCCCAGTTTCAAGCAACTCTCATGCCTTAGCCTCCCGAGTAGCTAGGGATTACAAGTGCATGCCACCACACCCAGCTAATTTTTGTATTTTTAGTAGAGGGGGGGTTTCACCATGGTTGGCCAGGCTGGTATCCAATTCCTGATCTGAAGTGATCTGCCCGTGTCGGCCTCCTAAAGTTCTGGGGTTACAGGCGTGAGCCATCACACCTGGCCGTAATTTTTTTTCTGAGCTTTCTTTAGCCTTTTTCAAATTCACTCTCCTGCCTGGCTGTGAAACTCCAAGGTGATGGTAGAAGCTTTCTTCTGTATTTCTGCCACTTCTACTCTCCCAGAGATGGTTTATCTTGGTTAATCAGAACTTCATCCTAGGTAGCATTTCTCATGGTCTCCTCTACATTCGGATAGAAGAAGTTATCACCAAAGAGAGTGAAGAACGCCTCAGATGTGCTGCTTTCTAGAACAGTCAGCAGGTGAAAGTTCGCCTGCTCCGTGCCTCTTGCGTGGCCTCTGAGTTACATCAGGCCAGACTCTTCTTCCACACATTCCCCCGTTCCCCCGGCCTTTGTTCTATCCACATACTTCCCCCGTGACATCTTGGCAAACCTTCTGCTAATTATTTCTCTCTTGTATTCTACTCTGCTTACACCTGAGGTTGGCTGTTTCCTCTTACATATGCCAGATCCCATCCCTGTCCCCAGGACATTGAAGTACAGTCCTCTGTTCTTCCTGCGTGTCTGTCATCACGTTGACCATCTTGTAGGGGAACCCTTAGTCTGACTCCCTCCTCAAGGGCAGAGATCACTTCTGATTTAGCCCTCCAACCCCAGTGTGTAACATAGCACTCACTTTATTTTATCAATATATTATATTTGTACATATTTATGGGGTGCATGTGAAATTTTATGACATGCATAAATGTGAAATGATCAAGTCAGGGTTTTTGTATATTCATCACCCAAGTATTTCTCATTTCTGTGTGTTGGGAACATTTTCGTTCTCCCTTCTAGTTATTTTGAAATATACAATACACTGTTGTTAACTGTAGCCACCCTACTCTGCTATGGAACACTAGCACTTATTCCTTCTATCTAACTGTATGTTTGTACCCATTAACCTACCCCTCTTCATGCCCCCGCCTCCCACCCACACACCCTTCCCAGTCTCTGGTATCTATCATTCCACTCTCAACCTCCATGTGCTCCCCTTTTCTTAGCTCCCACCTATGAGTGAGAACATGCAATATTCATCTTTCTGAGCCTGGGTTATTTCACTTAACATAATGACTTCCAGTTCCATCCATGTTACTGCAAATGACAGGATTTTATTCTTTTTCGTGGCCAAATAGTGTTCCACTTTGTACATATACCACCATTTCTTTATCCATTCATCTGTTGATAGACACTTAGGGTGGTTCCATATCTTTGCTATTGTGAGTGGGATATACATGGGAACACAAAACCTCATTTTGGTAGGCAGTCAGCACAGTGATGTGAACTGGATACTGCCAGCTGTAGTTTTGATTTCCTAAAGTGCAGGATTAGTTTATTTAAAAGGTGCTTAGTCCTGATGTGGTTCCTATCACATCAACTTTCAGTGGTCTTATTTAACTCCTTTCACTAAAAGTCTCATGTTTTCTTTATTAGTTATACCAGGTGCATTGGTTTCTAGTTGCTCCTATTTATTTTCTCTAATTCTCTCAGGTCACACTTACCTAATGATTTTCATACAGAATGACACAGATATTATGCCGAATGGATTTGCTTGTATAGTTTTATTTGGGGAGTTTTCTTCTTTCTCAATTTGTATTTGAAAGCTTCTGGAAGGAGGAAGGGTAGAGATGAGGTAGGCAGAAAAAGAGAGAGCCAGAGAAAGGCACAGGGAGAGGGAGAGAAGGAAGGGAGGGAGAGGGATTTTATGCACCCTGAGAACAATGAGAAGCCTTATCTAACTGTGCTCACAGATGGGTTTTGACACCAGGTAAAGGCAAGAACATCAAGGAACAAAACAGTCAGGGAAAAAGTTACGTTGACTCAAAAGTTTTTTTAAAAAAAGAAAACATTGAATTAATGATGCTGCATCATTGAAGATGTCTTTGGATAGTGGCGTCACTATATACGTGTCTCCTGAAACAATAAAAATAGGCAAAGTTAAGATCTTTGAGAGGTATTTTATTTATTTATTTATTTTAGATGGAGTCTCACTCTTCTTGCCCAGGCTGGAGTGCAATGGTGCGATCTCGGCTCACTGCACCCTCCACCTCCAGGGTTCAAGCGATTCTCCTGCCTCAGCCTCCTGAGTAGCTGGGATTACAGGCACCCACCACCACGCCTGGCTAATTTTTGTATTTTTAGTAGAGACAGGGTTTCACCAAGTTGGCCAGGCTGGTCTCGTACTCCTGACCTCAGGTGATCCGCCCACCTCGGCCTCCCAAAGTGCTGGGATTACAGGTGTGAGCCACCGTGCCTGGCGGAGAGGTATTTTAAAGGCAACACGAGGGTTTGTCTTCTGGACACATGGAAGTCTGAATGTCCTGGATCTGATGTTTGATAAGATACCTCTTCACTTTCCATAATTGGAAAGGAAATTCTGATGGAGGAATCAAATAAAATTCATAACAAACAGGACATAATTGAATGGCAAGCAGAGAGGTAGTCACCCTTCGACAAATGTCTGTCTTAGTGCCAGCACTCTTCTGGAGGCTTGTAGCTGTAGTCAGATGAGCCCCGCTATGCCTGGCTTAACTTCATGAAAGTTTTATGACTTAATAAACAAGGTGTGGTAGGAGCCAGAGTGAGACTCAGGCTGGTCGAGCCTTGCCTAAGCACTCAGGAACAGGATCATGTGAAACAATACCTTGCCCAGGTCACGGCTACGTCAGGTATCAGCACTTTGCTTATTTCCGGCCGAAGCCCAGGTGAGTCAGAGAAAGTTCACGTACCTCTGTCCTTTATTCCACCCCACTTCTGCGTTTAGTTGTGGAGGGAGACTCTGGCCTGGAAGACTCAGAGGACTGACCGTTCTTGAAAACACGAGAAGTCATAATCCGATTTGTGTGAATGTTGGTTCTCTGCTTGGGGAACGGTGAGGGAGGGAAGGTGGCATTCACACTGGAGAGGTGGTCGGGGCCAGCATTCTTCTCTTGCTGTCTATCCTCTGTCCCTAAGTGACCCACGCTTCTAAGATTGCTCTGAGAGCATACCGTGTGTTCATCAATGTGTTCATTTTTCTCTTGATCACACAGGAGACCATATTTCAGGCCTCCTTATTCTCTGTCAACTGGACATGGTCCACGGAGAACTCCAAAGACCAGAGGATGATGGAGCCTCTAGGAGGGAGGGCCCAGGGCTTCTGAATCACCTTGTGGAAGGATGCTGCTGAGTATCTCATCAGACTGTGCTATGACTGGGGGATGAATCTTCATTAGGTGACACTACTGAGAAGTGGGGTTGTTTGCTACAGTGGTAAGACTGTCTGACCAATACAAGGTGGCTGCAAAATCTGACTTTCCAAGGGCCCACATACCTGCCTTATTTTGTGCCTCAGCCTTCTCATTTATAAAATGGGATACGACAGTACTTACATCATAGGGATGTGATGAGGTAAAGTATTTAAAGTCGGACCTGATACTTGGTGAAATGTTAGCCACTACGCCTATTACTGGTGCTATGAGACTATTACTACTACTACTTCTATAACCTCTACTACAGCACCCTCCCTATTATAGCTGTGGGGCTTTCTTTTGAGACTGGAAAGCCCATGAGATAAGTGGTTGCTTGTTTTCCATGAAAGCCAGCCGTGGATCTCCTGCTTCCCAGAGAGGGGAAAATAGATTTCTTGATCAGAATCTATGTGAAGTATGAGCTAAGCCAACCGAACAAATCTTAGGTCCTGCCACCCAGGGATTATGTGCAAGGAAATGGCACATTGTCTATTGTTATGGAAGCCGAACACCACCTGATGATTCATAATGGATTTAGAGGGGAGAGATCATTTTGGGTTATGAGAAAATTGTTGAAGATTTTATGGAGAAAATCAATTAGTTGCTTAGTCTATCCAGTTCATTTGACGGGGGTGAAAAGAACAAATGCTGAACATGGCCCCAGAAATTTAATAGCAACCATGGAGTAAACTTGACTTTTCAATAGGGGTTTGCCTTATGAAGCTTAGACAATGGGATTGTAAACAAAGGCAATATCGCATCTGTAGTGACATCCAGGCCACTCAACCAGGATAATTTGAATTGTTCTAACTGGCTAACAGATGAAGGTTGATGTCTGGGTCTTAGGATGGTGCAGTTGAGAAGTTGAGTGTGGTAATTAAGAATGTGGTCTTTGAAGTCAAATTTCCTGGGTTCAAATTCAGTGGCTTACCAGTTGCATGACCTTGGGCAAGTTACTTATTCTGTCTGGGCTTTGATTTCTTCATTTGTATTATAAACTGGAAGTAATCATATACTTCTCTTACAAGGTTGTTGTGAGGATTAAATGAGTTAACACATTTCAGTGGCTTAGAATAGAATGATATTGTGAAAGGAAATTAAATCTTGGGACCCCAAACTCATTAAGCCAAAGGGAAAAGTGGAGCTAGGGACGGGGTCACCCAAACCTGCCTCCCCGTTTTTCATTCCTAAATAAGATGGCTACAAGATGAAAAGCTACATGTCTCCCCCATATTTTGCCTACAAGTAAATTCCTGGTGAGCTGCAAGATCTTTACTCTAAGGTGTTTCTGTTAAAATTTCACCATGGCAATGCAAATTGATAGCTTATCTTTACAGGTGCAGCCATCCTCCTGCCCAACTGACCCAAATGCCTATCTGATTATTTCCCTGCCCCATTTTGTCTATGTTATCTTATGTAAAATGCAGATTGCCTGCCTTTTTCCTCTGCCTTATTTGTCTATGTCATCTTACATAAAAAAAATGCAGATTTATTGAGCCAGACAAAGGCACGAATGACTAATTTTTCCTAGCCCCCTCTTACGTGAAAATTGTGTACTTTGCAATATCCTGCCCTTTCCCCTTTAAATTTGGAGCCCTCAGAATCATCTTTGGAGAAAGGCATAGACCTGTCTCCCAGGCTCGCATTCTTACCTTTGGCAAATAAACTTCCTAAAATGATTGAGACTTGTGTTGTCATTTTTCTCAATTGACATCACTAATGATTATTGTTATAATAAAATATTGTTTAGTACCTTGGTCTGCAGCGTAGCCATCTATTTCGAAGGGGGTTTTAAGTTTTGTAACATTGAGAGAGAAATTCAAAGCTTCATGCCTTTGAGCGTCAATCCCAAGGAGTTCCCCCTAGAGGTCTGGCATAGAAATGTGTTTGCCTCACCTGTAATTCCAGCACTTTGGGAGTCTGAAGCGGGCGGATCACCTGAGGTCAGGAGTTTGAGACCAGCCTTGGTAAACCTCGTTTCTACTAAAAACACAACAATTAGCCAGGCGTGGTGGTGGGCACCTTTAGCCCGGTGACTTGGGAGGCTGAGGTAGGAGAATCACTTGAACTCGGGAGGCAGAGGTTGCAGTGAGCCAGGATCACACCATGGCACTCCAGCCTGGGCAACAGAGCAAGTCTCTGTCTCAAAAAAAAAACAAAAAAAAAAAACAAAAATCAAAAACCAAAAACCAAACCAAACCAAAACAAAAAAAAATGAAAGAAAAGAAATGTGTTTGCCTGATTCAGTGGTGGCTCCAGGAGCAGCACGAGGAGGCAGAGTGCTCAGGACCAAGAGGATGCAACACACCATTTCCAAGATACTCATTTTCACCCATTTTGTCTGTGGATTTTTTGAGCCAACCTGGCTGACCTTTGAAGCTATTTCCTGATCAGGAAGACTGGAGAGATAAGAATGAGGCTGAGGACTGGAGTACAGTAGGCATCTATGATGCTGACCTGTCTCAGAAGATGGGAAGAAGCCACCTAGATGTGTGGATAATTATTTTCCCGAAATTAATTTTTTACCTGTTTTTTTCCCCCTTTTGTCTCTCCGCTTTCCAACTTTTCTTTAAAACATAATTTCAAACTGTAAGGTGTATATTTGTTAAACTTCTAGTGTGGAACTCATTTCAAATTACAGAAAAATTGCAATAGTAAAAATATTGAGAAGCACAACAAATACCCTTTATCCAGAATCACCTGTTGTGGACATTTTATTCCATTGGCTTTATCATTTGCTCTCTCTTTCCATACATACACATATACATGTATGCATAACATAGAAAAAATATATTTGTCTCCTTTGCAAGCAAGTTGCGTACACCATGGCCCTTTACCCCTAAATCCCTCAGAGTGTATTTCCTAAGACTAGGAATATTTATTCTTTTGCACAGCTGTAGTACGCTTATCAACTTTGGTAAATTTTGCCTCAATATAATACTCTTATTTACTGTCCATATTCCAGTTTTGTTAATTGACCCAACAATGTACTTATAACACTTTTTTTCCTTCAATAAGGACTCAGTCTAAGATTGTATTTAGTTATATGTCTCTAGTCTCTGTAAGGTATATTTTTTAAAGGGCAGAGCACTTTCAAGCACTAAAAGGATAATCTGTTTTTTTTTTTTTTTTGGAGACAAAGTCTCACTCTGTGGCCCAGGTTGGAGTGCAATGGCGCGATCTTGGCTCACTGCAACTTCCACCTCCCCGGTTCCAGTGATTCTCCTGCCTCAGCCTCCCGAGTAGCTGCGATTACAGGTGCCTGCCACCACGCCCAGCTAATTTTTGTGTTTTTAGTAGAGACGGGGTTTCACCATGTTGGTCAGGCTGGCCTTGAACTCTTGACCTCAAGTGATCCACCCGTCTCGGCCTCCCAAAGTGTTGGGATTACAGGCATGAGCCACCATGCCTGGCCAATCTTCCTTTCTTGCTCTTAATAACAGGAGCAAACACACTTGATCTACTTATGATATTCAATGCTCTAATTAAGAAAAAATAAAATGTTCATATCTTAAAAATGGCTAACTTTTTTGGGGTGCTGTTTAGAGGTGTTTAATTTTTCTAAGTTATCTAAAGTTTCTATTCTGGTGCTTCTGTTGCTATAAACTTCTCAAGGACAAGTGTTCTCTTCCTTCCTCAAGTTTAATTTGAAAAATGTGCAGTCACCAGCAAATGGAATTACAGGGAAATCTTTTAGTGTACAGATGGGAAAGCACACCCTTTTGGAATTCAGATTGAATCTGTGCTTTCCCAGGTTTGGTTTTCTCAGACAAATGCCACCTATTTTTACACAGGAAAAATTCTACCAGCAGTTATAAGTACCTCTCAAATTTTGGGCACAGCAAAGAAATTATAGTTGATCCTTGAACAATGTGGTGATTAGGGATGCTGACCCCCCTCCTCCACCAATGCAGTTGAAAATCCATGTATAACTTCACCAATAGCCTGCTCCTCAAAAACTTAACCAATAGCCTACTGTTGGCTGGAAGCCTTGCTGATAACACAGACAGTCAATTAGCACATATTTTGTATGTTATATATATATATTATGTACTGCATTCTCACAATAAAGTAAGCTAGAGAAGAGAAAATGTTATTAAGAAAAAGGTGGATGAAATACATTTACTATTCATTGAGTGGAAGTGGATCATCATAAAGGTCTTCATCTTCATCATGTTCATGTCGAGTAGGCTGATAAGGAGGAGGAAGTGGAGGGGTTGGCCTTGCTGTCTCAAGAGGGGCAGAGGCAGCAGAGATGGAGGAGGTGGAAGGGAGGTCAGGAGAGGAGGCATGTTCAGTGTAACTTTTACTGAAAAAGAGTCTGTATAAATGAACCTGCATAGTTCATACCCATATTGTGCAAGAGTCAACTGTACTGGAAAAACAAAACCCATAAAATCTCTTCCAAAGTGTTGAGCAAAGACATGGGAAACAATATTAAGGTTCGAGGTCTCTCTTTTCATTGGCAATAGCTTCTTTGGCTGTTTCTTCCACTCTTTATAACAGACTTCTTTAGAAGGGACCAGGGACTTTTTAGATTCAGCTTGCTACATGTTTTTATGAATTCCATAAACAGAAAGGGATGTGTGCATGGGTGGGAGAGGAGGGGAAAAAGAGGTAGAAGAGTGGTGGTCGTTCGCAGGAAGGCTTCTCTGACTGCTAAGAATGTATGAAATACTGCTCATAATAGTCACTATGCAAACTTAAATACACCTCAGTTAGCAATGAGCAATTTACCACACATTGGCTTCCAAACGTTGGCTTTCTTCAGAAGCCAACATATAGTAAATTGGAATGAGGTAGTTGAGGAGAGCAGGCTCTGGAAAATAAGGTGAATTATGGAGGGGAGATGGAGGAGGGTTAAGGGAAGGGTTCCTTTGCAATCTTTCAAAGTTTACTTGTTTCTTGAAGCCGTTATCAGTTTATCATTTATAAAAAAGGTAGAACTATAATAGGACCAAAAATGGGCTGTGTAGGGAGGATGCTAGCTTCCTCTTCAGAATGTGTGGAGTCACCTATAGTTCCAGCTACTTGGGAAGCTTAGGTGGAATGATCGCTTGGGCCTTGGGTTCAAGTCCAGCCTGGGCAACAGAGACCCTGTCTCTCTTTTTTTTCTTTTTTGTAAGAGAATTTAGGATGTGTGGAGTTAATGGTTATGTGGTCTAGCAGAGAATATGTTTCTGAGAATAAGAAAGAAAAACACCAGGGAAACTGGTGTTTGAATCTCGGATCAAGTTGAAGGTAGTCTGAAAAGCAAGGAATGTTCTAGAACCTCAAGTCTAAGGGAGTGGAGAGTAAAAATGAAATCCAAGTTGAGGTGAAGATGGAGTCTTTTATCACTGACTCGTCAGTGGCTGTGGGCAAGGAGGAGGGTAGGATGGTGCAGGGAGAGCTATAGGATAACGTTTCTGTTCTCCCTGAAAAATGCTGAGGTTTTCCAGTTCTCTAGCTGCAGAAATTAGTCCTCTGGGATATAATGTGGATGAACTGCTGACTTTCAGTGCACAAACTCATTTCTATTAGAAAGGAATGGCAGCTTTTACGTAATCCTTCTGAGTGGCCATTTTGTATGCATAGGATGGTTCAACTCATGGGTAATGCAGACTTTGAATATTTGCTTTAGGAAATGGCTGTAAAGGAGAAGAAGGTCTTGTAAGGCCTCTCATGTCCATTTCTGGGGCTCACAGTCTGGTTTGGTGTGGAAACACCTAAGTATGCTCTTTTCGCAGCTTCTTAACAAACAACTCTTAGTAGCTCCAACCTCTTGTGGAAATTAAGCTTAACATTGAATAAGTTAAGCAAGTGAGATGTAACCATAGTCAGCAAACCGTTTTTCCTGGGTAACTTGTATAAATTAATTTGATTATTTTGTAGACTGACTTCATAAGAAATCAGGAGCTGGAATTCAGGTCCACATTATTCATGATGTGTAATATAATTGAGATTAAAGATTAAATTTTAGTCTTAGTAAACGTTGAAGATGTAGTTAGATACCATAAAACCAGTCATGTTTAATGATCCCCAGCATTTTTTTCAGTCTCTCAGTATGTATGTGAGAGGGAACTGTGAGCTAAAAATAAATAAAACCTCACTTGTCACATGACAGCTAACAGCATCCATCCATTTCCAGAATGGCAACTTTTGTATCTCGATTTTAATAATTCATGAAAGAGAAGAGGTGTGGTTCCTTCAAAAGCAGGTGAAGTGGACCCTTATCAGCCCATCAATTCCTTTTCCTGCTGGGACTCACAGATTGATGGCAACAGTGAAACTTCAGTTAAACTTCTGTAGTTTCATAAAATAAAGTTTGATGTTTACATAATCATGTGGGTTGTTTTTAACCTTTTTCGTTAGAATTTTGTGGAACGAATAATGCACATAGCAAATAAAATTTAATTTACAAGTTTATCTGGTTGATCAATGTATAAAGATAAATTACACATCTATATTAGATTTAACTCTATAAAATGGACATATTTAGGTAAAAAACAGCCAGCTATTACTAGTTTCATAAGTTACGAATTAAAACACATACTTGCAAACATATTGCATTTCTACTTATCAAAAAATAATAATGGAACATAGTGCAATTATAGTAAGATAGATTGCAAATAATAACTTTTATAATAAAACACTAAACAAACTAATTTGTAGAGTACTCAAGGAAAGTCATTTTTCTTCTGTATGTAGGTAATGTGTTTTCTATCAGGGAATTGGGGTATGGGTTGCTATGGACCAAATTGTGTTCTTCAGAATTCCTGTGTTGAAGCTGTGAATTACTGTGTTTGGATGTAGGGCTTTTAGGAGGTTAAGGTTTAATGCAGTCATAAGGGTGGGGTCCTACTCTGATAGGATTGGCGGCCTTCAAAGAGGAAAGAATATTACTCAGCCATAAAAAGGAATGAATTAGTGGCATTTGCTGCAACCTGGGTGAGATTAGAGACTAAAAGTGAAGTAACTCAGGAGCAGAAAACCAAACATCATATGGTCTCACTCATAAGTGGGAGCTGAGTTATGAGGATGCAGAGGCATGAGAATGACACAGTGGACTTTGAGGACTCGGGGGAAAGGGTGGGAAGGGGGTGAGGGATAAAAAACTACAAACTGAGTGCAGTGTATACTGCTTGGGTGATGGGTGTATCAAAATCTCACAAATCACCACTAAATAACTTAGTCATGTAACCTATGGGAAAAAAAAAAGAATAGCTTTTTGCTCCTGATTCACCACTGTTCACTCTCGCCAACGAACAAGTCGGTCAAGAAGCTGCACTGCAGCCATGGCTTTTAAAGATCCCAGAAAAACACCCATGGAGCTGGAGGTGGTGATTTGCTGAATTCGAATCACGCTAATGAGCTGCCACATAAAATCTCTGGAGAAATGTGTGCTGACTTGAACAGAGGAGCAAAGGAAAAGAATCTCGAAGTGAAAGGACCAGTTAGAATGCCTACCAAGACTTTTGAGAATTACTACAAGAAAAACTCCTTGAGGTGAAGGTTCTAAGACATGGGATCATTTCCAGATGAAAATCCACAAGCCACTCATTGACTCGCACAGCCCTTCTGAGATTGTTGAGCGGATGACTTCCATCAGTATTGAGCGAGGACTTGAGGTTGAAGCCACCATTGCAGATACTTAAGTCAACTATTTTAATAAATTGGTCACCAGTTAAAAAAACAAGAGAAAGATACACCAGAGATCTCCCTCTGTCTGTGTGGGCAGGCCCTGAGGAAAGGTTACGTGAAGACATGGTGAGGACTTGCCATTTACAAGCCAGAAAGAGAGCCATTACCAGGAACCTGCTCTTAGACTTCTGACCTCCAGAACTGTGAGAAGATAAATCTCTGATGTTTAAGCGATTGGGTCTGTAGTATTTGCTATGGCAGCCAGAGCAGACTAAGACAGGGATAAGGAGGAGGTAGTTGAAGTCAGAAGGCCATCCTAGGGGCTGTTGCATCTGAGCAAGCAAAATGTGTAAATAGATTTTCCTCTATGAGTAATGCGGAGGGGTTGTATGGAGCTGAGGGGATGTGGGAAGCAGCTTTGTGCTGGGAGCACACGTGCAAAGGCTGGTGAGTTTGGGGAACTACAGGCAGTCCAGTATTTCTACAAATTAAAACTCAGAGGAGGCTGGGTCTTGGAAAACCTTGCATGCCCCTATGGAATGTGAATCAGCTTCTACCATGGTCCTGATAGCTTCCATTTATGGGTCTACCGGAAGGCTGCATTGGTCTTTGTTAAGCTGTGAATGCTGAGGCAGAGTGTGAGTGACAAAGGGGCTGAGTGAGAACTGAGCTTCCAGTCACCCCCACATCCATCTCTCAGGCCTGGAGCTCTCCACAAGTTGATGGTGTAAGCAACAGAGAGTTGGTGAAGGGTAGATACTCCTAGGGTGCAGGTAAAAGGCAGTGAAGGGACTGCAATCCCATTCCTAATTCTATACTGAAGACGATGTGATGGGGATAGAGAGCAGAGGACAGGCTCAGGTGACTTTAGGTGATCTGTTCAGCAAGAGATGGACAGGACTTGGACTGTGCGGGAGGGATCATTTAAGGGAAGGAGTCCAGGATAACTCCCAGGTCTCTGTCTGGTTTCACATGTGGGGAGGAAGCAAAGAAATTGGCCTGAAGTAGTGACATTTTTTATCTTGGTGGACATCTGGAAGGCAATTCAGTCTAGGACTTGCAGAGAGGTCTTGGCAGACAAATGGGCTTAAGGGCAACCTTGCTTCATTTCCCATTGCTCCTAAGTTTTAGCTTACTTTCTGGTAGATTCTACAGATGGAAGATAGTAGGATCACAGCAGGAACTAACTCTCTATCTTGTCCACTCCAGGTCACAGGAATCTGCATTTAGGTTTCCCTTAAGGCAAAATTGGTGGTGTCATGTGAGAGGGGTTGGGGGGGGGAAGAAGGGAATGTTCAGTGACTTAAATACTTAGGAACACATCAGCCAAAATGGTGTGGTGTGGTAGGAATTTAAATTGTGCTTGCGCAGCTTGCCATGCTGGTCTGAACTTTCAGCAGAGTGCCTTGGATTGAAAAATAACACACATGTTGTGGGCAAGGCACTTTTATGGACTTGGAAGGAATGACTATGCTTTCTACATATCTAAAGAATTAGAATTTAGGCTGGGTGCAGTGGCTCATGCCTGTAATCCCAGCACTTTGGGAGGCTGAGGTGCTCAGATCACGAGGTCAGGAGATAGAGACCATCCTGGCCAATATGGAGAAACCCCGTCTCTACTGAAAATACAAAAATTAGTCATGCATGGTGGTGCGTGCCTGTAATCTCAGCTACTTGGGAACCTGAGGCATGAGAATCGCTTGAACCCAGGAGGTGGAGGTTGCAGTGAGCCGAGATCTCACCACTGCACTCCAGGCTGGCGGCAGAGCAAGACTCAGTCTCAAAAAAAAAAAAAAAAAAAAGGAATTAGAATTTAAGCCCACTTGTAGCATTATAATTTATTATACACATAGAGTCACTAAGACTAACAGGAGTCCCTAACCTCAGGAGCTTAGGTAGAGCACAAATGGGCACACCCCAAATCAGAACAAACTCATGGAGGGGCTGGGCCTCCAAAATTGTTATTGCTGCAGCCTATCATGAAGCAGCTGGGTTTCAGAGGCAGTGATGAGTTCCCAAATTGGATAAAGAGAGCTATGAACATTGACTGGCAATACTTTGGAAGCCTAGGATGACTGTTCAGCCAGCTAGGACAGGAGCAGACCCTGTGAGATGTGTGGAAAAGGATCCTTGAAAAGATGGTGCTATGGTTTGGCTGTGTCCCCACCCAAATCTCATCTTGAATTGTAACTCTCACAATTCCCACACGTCATGGGAGGACCCCAGTGGGAGGTGATTGTATTAAGGGGGCCGATCTTTCCTGTGCTGTTCTCATGACAGTGAATGAGTCTTACAAGGTCTGATGGTTTTAAAAACAAGTTTCTCTGCACAAGCTCTCTCTTTGCCTGCTGCCATCCGTGTAAGATGTGTCTTGCTCCTCTTTGCCTTCCATCATGATTGTGAGGCCTCCCCAGTCACGTGGAACTGTGAGTCCAATTAAACATCTTTCTTTTGTAAATTGCCCAGTTTCAGGTATGTCTTTATCAGCAGTGTGAAAACAGGCTAACACAGATGGGATAAGGGAGAGGGAGCTGGAGGTTTAGAAACAGTGCTATGGATGGAGGTCTGAGCAGGGAGGAGGATGGATGGAGAACAATCCTGTTCAGAGGAGGGCGACAGGGAGTTGTGGTTCCTGAGGAGGGGCAGGGAGTCAGGGAGGATGCTGGTTCCACCGTGGAAAGCAACAGGGCAGGGAAAGGAGATCCGACCCCCTCTTGAATGAGGCTGGACACTCCTAGCCAGTGTAGCCACAAGGAGAGAGGTGAGAGGAAGCCTGGGGGAAATAACCTGAATATTTGAGGGATGAGCCTAAGAAAAGATATATGAGGTGAGATTTTTAAAGGTGAAGAAAGATCAGAGAGATTATGGACCTAGGATGGCAAATGCAGCAGTACGTGTTTGCTTTCTCCTTGGGCAGAAATAGAAGGAAAAAAATCTCATGGATCCTAGAATAGTATGCATTTGCTAATTAAAGGCAAAAATGGCCTCTGGGAAGGGAACTCTGAAATGCACGGATTGCAAGTGAGATGATGGTGAGGAACTATTAGTATTTAGGAACTCTCTGAAACTTTGAGAGATAAATTGGATTTGTTCAGGTATGGAGGACAGGAGTTTAAAGGTCCAGGGACAAGTGGAATCCATCCAGCCATTTTTGTACAGGAGGAGGAAGAATAAAGAAGTAGGGTCACAAAAATAAATAAGTAGGAGTTCAGAAAGTTAAGGAGGCTGGGTACAGTGGCTCACGCCTGCAACCCCAGCACTTTGGGAGGCCAAGACAGGAGTATTGCTTGAGGCCAGGAGTTCAAGACCAGCCTGGGAAATATAACAAGACCCCATCTCTATTAAAAAAAAAAAAAGTGAAAGAAAAGATCACAATACAGGGAAAAGTGAGCTAAGAATCCCGGCATTAGAGAGCCCTTGATGTGGTCCTGAATCGGCTATTTCTATCTGTTCCCTGAGCCTAACCTCAGCGCTGGCCTCTCTAAACCTCTTTTCAGTCCTCTCATTTTGAAAACAGGGCCCATTACACATTCTCTGAAAGCTTGCTGAGTGATTTAACCACATAGTCTAGGGGAGGCACTCATCAAACATAAGGCCTCTCTTTTTGATTTTTATCCTATAGTGGTATCTATCTAGAGGCTGGTGAAGACAGTGTGGTGGAAGGAAAGTGGGAAGGATACACTGAAATAGGACATAGACGTAGAGGGGAGTCGATGGTCATCTGGCTTGATAGGGAAAGTTAGAGAGCTCTCCTGAACCACAGTTACAGAGCTTGGGATTATAACACACACAGCCCCAGAGAAAACACTTTGTTTACCATATTTCCTCTTCTGCTGGGGCTCTGGCACCTTAATTGGTCAAAAGGCAGCAAAGATCCGCAAAGCCTGTTCTGAATTTATCCAGGTCTATGCATGAACGGCTTCCTTCTCCCACCTTCCTTTGCAAGGTCCAGCTATTAATTACACTAAGTGACAAAGATTCTCCTTGTTGCATGATGGACACAAGGATGAATCTTTGTTACTGACTGCAAATAACAGAACGAGTGGTGACCAAGAGTCAGGCTGGGAATACACGCTTCAAATCACGCAATGGGCATATGGCACTTTCTTCTGAAATGACACAAGAGGCTGCAGAGAAACAGAGTGGGTATTATTTTGTTAACTTCCTCCTATGAAAATAGAGCCTCCGTCCTTTTTTTTGCTGGTTCATTTCTGGCACTGGAACAAACTGTCTCTTTACATTAGTTCAGTTCTGCAGAGAAACGCTCACTTAGAAGGAAATCGTTGGAAAATCCAGGCAAGAATCCATTTTTTAAAGTCACCACTGAATGATTGCTTTCTTATTGTGCTACATAGGGCTGGAAAAATCATTCCTTTTTGTACATATTTTTCTTTTTTACTTTGTGTTTTCATTCTGCTTAAGACACACATATGTGCCAAAAATGAAAACATTTTCAAAGGGCAAGTTTCAAGGACTCCTAAAAATAGGACCAGTTGCCAAATATATATTTCCCCAATATGTAAATGGCTGAAAAGGAGCACAATGAAAAGCATATGCTATTCAAATTTTCTTTAGAAAAACAAGAGCTGGAGGAGCTGACTGAATCTCTTTAAACTAGTGGCTTCCATGTAAATTTTATCTTTAAGTCTTCAGACATCATTCTTTGAATATTTTACATCTATCTTTTAATCAAGACTGAAACAAGCTACTAAGAATAATCTTATTTTCCAAATGGGAAAAAGTCATTTCATCACATCAGCCTGTAACTTGACATGAACCTTGCAAATAAGCATTAAGGCCAAAAAAGGTATAAAACACCCAGAACAGCTAGGCCACTTGTGGCTGCTTCACAGATCTAGGGGCAAATCCATGAGCTGGAAAGTAAAGTCACATTAGTTCGGGTAAGAAGTCTTTTATTTCTTGGCTTCTGCGGCCTGCAATCAGGAATTACCTGAAATTCTTTCTGGAAACAAAAAGGCAGAGCATATATACATTAATTAAAATCAAAGAAGTCAGTGGTGGAAGGGGTTTGCTTAGCATTCTATGGCTGTCACCCAGTATGAATGGATGTTCTCTATTCTTAAGCCTGTGCCTTGTAATTTAGGAAAATTATCATTCTTTGTGAAAAATCCCATTGGTGAGCTAATCTCTTAAATGCCTTCTTTTATTTTCTGAAAACAAAAACAAAAACAAAAACAAAAAACCAAAACTTTTTTGATCAATGAGTCAACATGTTTAATGATTATAAGTTGTCTTGTCAAAGGTTTACAAACCTGCATGGCTGTGTCCTTCTTGGGTGGGCTCCTGTGGGGCTGGAGTCCCCTGAATTCCCTGGAGACCTCCTTTTCCTCCAGCAGGGCTATGGAGACAGTGCTTGGCCAGGAAGTATGGCTGACAGTCTACACTTTTATCCTTGGAATTATCTTGCTTTCCCAGCTCTGGTTAAAATTTTTCTTTCATATCTTAATATTTCCATGATAGACCATGGGGGAGGGAAAAAACCTCAGAAAAGGTTTCACCCTTGCTGTTAAAAAGTTGTGACCTTTGCTCACATTTGCCAGAGAAAGTGGCTTATACCACCAATTAACTTGAATTATTAACTCTTAGATTAATAATTTATTAGAAACCTAAAGGCCTGGGCACTGCCAGATCCAAACGATTTAAAGAAAAACAAAGAAAACAACATAGCTCTGATTATAACAATTTGTAGACAGTGCTTGGAATAAGCAATGGCATTTTGGCTTTCCAAAGGATTTCTTATTTTCCCTCTAATACCATACTGACTGAAGAGTCAAGCAGATTCACTAATAATACCTATAATGACTCATGCAGATGTTGGTTTTAATTTTTTTTTATTTAAGAAATATTCATTGATATGGTTTGTCTGTGTCCCCAACCACATCTCATCTTGAATTGTAGTTCCCATAATCCCCACATGTCATGCATGGGAAGGACCTGGTGGGAGGTAATTGAATCATGGGGGCGGTTATCTCCATGTTGCTGTTCTCGTGATGGTGAGTGAGTTCTCGCGAGATCTGATGGTTTTATAAGGGGCTTTTCCCCCTTTTGCTCTGCACGTCTCTTTGCTACTGCCATTTTAAAAAGGACATGTTTGCTTCTCCTTCCGCCATGATTGTAAGTTTCCTGAGGCCTCCTCAGCCCTGCGGAACTGTGAGTCAATTAAACCTCTTTCCTTTGTAAATTACCCAGTCTCTGGTATGCCCTTATAGCAGCGTGAGAACGGACTAATACATTCATATACCTCTTTCTTTGCGTCAACTTCTATTTGAAACACTTGCATATGTTAATTTATTTAATTAGTGTTCCTAACGACCCTCTGACTTAGACATTTATTGTCATCTACATGTTACAGACAGGGCAAGGAGAAGCCATGCCAGAGTCACACAGATAGATGGTGAGTGGCTGCGTGACCTCGCCAGGGCTGCCCAAAGTAGCACAGACTAGGTGCTTTAAACAACAGAAATTTATTCTCTCACAGCTCTGGAGGCCAGAAGTCCAAGATCAAGGGGTCAGCAGGTGTGGTTCCTGCTGAGGCTGTGAGGGAGGATCTGTTCCTGGCTCTCCCCCAGCTTCTGGGAGTTGCTGCAGTCTTTCGCATTCCTTGGCTTTTAGACACATCACCCCAATCTCAGTCTTTATCATCACAGGGCAGTCTCCCTGTGTGCTTGTTTATGTGTCCAGATTCCTTCTTTTATATAAGAACACCAGTTATATTGCATTAGGGCCCACCCTAATCACCTCATTTTTATTTGATTACCTTCTGTAAAGACCCTATCTCCAAATAATGTCACATTCTGAGGTGCTAGGGATTAGGACTTCAACATGTGGATTTTGGAGGGTGAGAACACATTCAACCCATAACACTGGTAGAGCCAGGATTCAAATCCATGACGTCTTGGGTCTGTGCTCTTAACCACCATGCTATGCTGCCTTCCATTGTTTGGTCTTTTTTTTTTTAATAGATAAAGCTCATTAGGGCAAGTTTGATTTGGAGTATCTTATTGATCCCTATCCAAGACTTGTCCTCAGGGTAGGTGCTCTTGTGGACAATGTTTTCTTGAGCCCAGGAAGGGATGTGCTTAAATTTAGAGAGATCAGATTGGTTTGCAGCTAGAAGGTCTCTAAATTCTCTTCAAGCTCTGAGCTCAGTGTTTTAAATGAAAAAGCTCTTTTAGTTCCTCCTGCTTGACTCCCTAGCACCTTTTCTTAAATCTACATTTTAAAGGGGTTGGAACAGGGAGAGGCCTTATTACTTCCTTTTTTTTTTCTTCCACATTCCTGTTCTTGGAGCCATGATTGAGTAACAGAGCACCTCTGCTACCTTACAAATCTACTTGACCTCATCATATCTTGAAATGGAAAAGGGAAACCAAAAGGTCTGATTCTTTGGACTTTTAGCTTGATAAGGAAGCAAAGCTTGAAAATCCTCGTTCCTTAATGGGGAAGGAAAAAGAAAAAAAAAAAGAGTAGACAAAGGAAAATCAGGAGAAGTAAAAGCAGAGAAAATAACTTGGCAAATAGAAGTAAAAATAGGATTTGGGATTTAAGAAATTGTGCTTTGTTTCATTAAATGCCAATTTGCAAAGGAGAAGGATGATGGCTGACACTCCAATGATGAAGCCTGGGGTGGAGCTTTACACAGTACCATGTCTTATCACCTCATCCACCGCACCACTGAACTCACTCTGACAGCTGTCTGGGAGTTTCACTGGAAGGATTAGATTCTCAAAAACATATGCTGCATTTGGCTCCCAACCTCAATATTTTTAGGGTTTTCTCTTTTCTTACTATTTCTTTCTTTGTGTGTGAAGACTTACTAGCATTTAAGTGCAGTATATATGTCAGATTACTTCCTTATTTTTATTTTCCTTTGAAGCAAAGAATGTCATTAAAAATCATGCAGGAGGGTGACAGGCAGATTATAGAAATTTGTTCCCATTTTTTGAACACATTGTCTACCTTTTTCAGTATGTTGCTCTGTTCTGAAGGCAGAAGTGATAGAGTCATTTCTAAGTTGACTATAAAAGAGGACAGGGAACACACAGAGGTCACTTCAGAGGGTAGGATTGAATACAGAGAAAGGTCAGGGATTGACTGGGGCCACATTGTCCTGCTGCGTTTCTAAGGAGGGTCATCAAATCTGTTTAGAAATTTCTGACTCTTGCCTTGAAAAGACTGGTCCAGAAATTTGATCAGGCTCTTACTTCTCTCACCCTCTCAGGGGCTGCTCTTCTTTGGAAGCTCCCATAAATGTTAATTCATACAGAATCCAGCAGATTAATAGACTGCAAAAACTGCCACAACTCTTCACTTTCCCCTGTATCCATGTTCCTTGTAATGTGACTTTGCAACTTTTCCTTCAAGAGGTGGAGTCTATTTCCTCTACCTTTGAATCTGTTACTGGCCCGTGACTTGCATTGGCTAATAGAATTCAGCAGAAGTCATGGTGTGCCCTTTGTGAGCCTAGCATGAGAACTCAAGAGGTCTTACATGTGACTATTCTTTCTTAGAACCCTGCCCAGATATCTTATGAATAAGACAAGAGTAGCTTGCTGGGGATAAGCAAACACATAAAGCAAAGGTAAGATGTTCTAGCTGAGGCCACCCCAAACTAGCCAATCCTTAGCTGACTCCTCAGCTGAGCAAAGATGTGTGAATGAGCCCAGGCAAAATCATGGTACCCATCCAAATGAGCCCAGATCAAGTTGCTGACTGAATCACGAGCTAAGCAAATGGTAGTTGTCTTAAGCCACTAAGTTTTAGTGGCTTAAGTTTTAGATTTGTTATGCAGGAATAGCTAACTGATGTACTACCTTGGAAATTTGATTATGTTTTGTGTTGTCTGTTCTTTCTTGTTGCTAATGTTCTTTGGAGAGCCTCAACAAATGTTTATTTATACAGAAAACCTAGCACTGTTGGTAATCCCCTCTCCTGCTAATGGTAGAATGATCATTGCTAGTGGAGAATATTATAAGTTGGTCCTTGGGTTCACCTTTGGGCTTTCCTCTTCATGGGGGGAGATGCAAGATGCAATATTTGATCCTTTAGTTTGGATAAGGTGCCCTGGCATACCCCTTGACCGCTGGACTCCTAAACATTTTATTGATGTAGCAAGCCTCTGAATCTTCATGGGCTTTATCTGTCATCCTCTGGAAGATGTGTATCTTACTAAGGTCTGCAATGTACTTGTCAATTCTTGCTCATTTGACCTGACTAGAATGATGTCATCTATATCACATATCAGTGTGACATTCTATGGAATGCCCAGGTGTAGAGATGTCCAGATCTCCACAGACTATAATATGACCAAAGGTGCAAGAGTTAACATAGTCCTGGGGCAAAACTGTAAAGGAATATTTTTTATTCTTTCTATTTCATTGCAAATAGCTTCTGATCTTCTTTTTTGATAGAATTAGAAAGGAATGGTTTCACCAAATCAATGGCTGTGTAGAATGTCCCTGAGACATTATTCATCTCTCCAACAAAGATGTCATGTCAGGAATTGAAGGAAAAAATGGCTGCTGCTTAGTTGAGTTTGAGTGGTCTATCATCATCCTCCAGGATCCAGACAGTTTCTGCAGGGGACTTCCCATGGAATGTGATGATCTGGTGGGTTTTCTGGGAGTCTTCTGTCATATCTCCTCTCCAGCTTGTTCCCTGCAGTTGCTCCCAGCAACTCTGGCGTCGGAACCTCACTAAGTTCAGACATCACTTTTCTCATGCTTTGAGACTCTGTCCTAATAGCCAATTTATGCAGTCTTCTGGGGTCCTTGCTGAAGTAGGTTAAATACCAAGCAAGGTCAGTATTCTATGCCAAAGTCAGGTTCCTGGTTGGAAGAGAACAGGACCTGACACTTAGATGCAAGGCAGCAGCTAGGGTGAGGCAAGCCAGGGGCCGATGGTGCAAAATTTAAGGAGGTGTTCACTCTCAGGTCCATGCATGTGCAGGGAGTATGTAAGTCCTGAAATTTTGTCCCCTAGATGCCTCCCTCACCTCACCTCACCTCATCCCCAGCTCTGCTCGGGTAGAGGAATCTGTGTTGATGCCATTAAAATCTTGAATCTCTGGGTTCTCCTGAGCCCTCTAAGTTGCAAAAGGAGCCCACACCTCCTGGGAAGAGCTAGAACTCCCCTCTAGCCTGGAGATAGTACAGAGACCTCTCCTCTGCAAGATAACGAGAATCATCTCCTCAGTCTGTGCCTACACCACCCCTTTTGACCCTTAAACCTATCACTATGGTTATAGCACAGCATGCCCCAGTGGAGGCTGTGCTGGGCCCCATAATTGAAGGTAAAGCACTCTAAAGCCCAGGTAGCGTGAACCAGCAGGGCTTGGAGAGTATGCATAGGCTGGATCCCAAGGGTGCTGTACCATGGGGCTCAGCACAGAGATTGGCTAAAGGGAGTTGATTGATTTGGGAGTACTCTATAGAGACCCAACTCCCTGGAAGGATCCTCCAGGGACTGTGCAATGTAGCTAGCAGGGGGTCTGGGCTGCTCATCAGTCTCCCACTCCTTCCTGTGCCAGATTGCTTCAGAAAGCTGATTGGCAAGTGGACTGGGAAGAGGATCCATGGAGCTAGGAATTTTGATTCCTTGGACATGGAGATTGCACAATCTATAATTAAGACTTAAATCAAATTCGCTCACCCCTCCCTGGTGCTTGCTCTCCTCTCTAAGATTAATAACCTGTGTACTTTCCTAAAAACTGTTGACATACTTACACGTATTATCTGTATTTACTTTCTCATTCACTGATTCTTCCTTCATGTTTTGGTTCACTGAATTCCAAACTGTCCTTAACCAGGTTCTGTTTTTGTTCAAAAACCCCAGATGGGGTTCTCAAACCCCAGGAGTTTGAGACCAGCCTGGGCAACATGGTGAATCCCCATCTCTCCAAAAAATACAAAAATTAGCCAGGCATGGTGGTGTGCATCTGTAGTCCCAGGTACTCGGGAGGCTGAGGTGGGAGGATCACTTGATCCCAGGAGGCGGAGGTTGCAGTGAGCCAAGTTCGCACCACTGCACTCCAGCCTGGATGACAGAGCGAGACCCCTTTTCAAAAAACCAAATCAAAACAAAAACAATAACGACAAACAAAACCCCAGTGGAAACGTTCAGTCCTTATGTCATGACATAAACACCTTATTCTCATAACAGTTGTCACTGGAACTCCTTGTAGGAAGGAATTTGTCTCGCTTAGTATGGTTGGCAGAATGATGCTCCCCTCTGCCTTCTAAAAAGATGTCCACATCCTAATCCGAGAATCTGTTTTATGTTACATAGGAAGGGGAGAATTAAAGTTGCAGATGGAAGTTGTCATAGGGGCCCTCATAAGTGGAAGAAGAAGGTCAGTGTTAGAGAGACACATGTGAGGATGCTACGCTGCTGGCACTGCAGTTGGAAGAAGGGACCACAAGCCGAGGAATGCAGGTAGCCTTTAGAAGCTGGAAGAGGCAAGGAAACAGGGACTCCCCTAAAGCCTCCAGAAAGGAATGCAGCCCTGATGACAATATGATTTTAGCCCAGTGAGACCCATTTCAGACTTCTGGGTGCTGAAACTATACTACAATAAATTTGTATTGTTTTAAGTAACTAACTTTGTGGTAATTTGGTGCAGCAGCCATAAGAAACTTTTACACTTAGGAAAGCACTGAGACACAGCTTAGGCCAGAATATTGGGAAGTCTGGTAAATGTGTGCAGCCAAGAAGGAAAAGCTTTTGTCTGGGGAGAAGTAGGGAGGAGGAAGGGTAGGGAGGGTAGTGTTAGCCAAACATGGTATTAGATGAAAGGCTGGAACCACAGCTGGCTGTCTCTGAGTCTTTTTTTTTTTGGTGGAGTCTTGCTCTGTCACCCTGGCCTGATCTCGGCTCACTGCAACCTCTACCTCCTGGGTTCAGGTGATTCTCCTGCCTCAGCCCCCTGAGTAGCTGGGACTACACACATGCCACCACACCTGGATAATTTTTGTATTTTTAGTAGAGACAGGGTTTCACCATGTTGGCCAGTCTGGTCTTGAACTCCTGACCTCAGGTGATCCACCTGCCTCAGCTTCCCAAAGTGCTGGAATAACAGGTGTGAACCACCATGGCTGGCCTCTCTGAGTCTTAATTGCTGTCCCGATGGATGTCTTTGTTGACCACTCCCTTCCGTACTCACCCCTTGGTTTCTGTCATGCCACACTTGCAGTCGGGGACGTCACATCAGAACTTAGCCAAGCAAAACGTTCAGAGTCCACTGGCACATCCAGGGGTCTTCTTGGATCTTCCCCAGTCTTATCAGAACGACTCACCTCTATGTACCCAAAGAGCCCTCAGTCATTGCCCTTCAGAGCTGAAAGCTGACTGCGGAGGTGAAATCACACACAAGAGACGGACAGGAAAAGCACAGCTGCTGCAAACTTGGGGAGACGGTCCTCTTCACCCCAAACCATCCTCTGTCTGAAACCTGGGATAATTTAATTGAGCTGTGTTGCGGGTTGAATGATTCCCTGTCAAATTCACACATTGGAAGGCCTAATTCCTAGTACCTCAAAATGTAACCTTATTTAGAAATAGGATATTTACAGAGGTCATCAAGTTAAAAGGATGTCTATAGGGTGAGCCCTAACCTAGTGATTGGTGTCCTCACTAAAAGGTAAAAGGGGAAATTTGGACACAGAGACAGACATGCACAGAGGGAAGACAGTGTGAAAACACAGGGAGAGGATGGCATCTACAAGCCCAGGACAGAGGCCTGGAACAGAGCCTTCCCACACAGCCTCACAAGGAGCTAACCTTGCCAACACCTGGATCTCACACTTCCAGCCTCTGGGACGGTGAGAAATGAACATCTGTGGTTCGGGCTGCCCAGTCTGTGGTACTTTGTTGTGGTGGCCCTGGCAGATGCACACAGGTTGGAAACCTCCACAATTTGCATTCACTTCCATAAACAGGTGTTCATTCTTAGGACAGCTGGGGGTTTTCAATCTCAGACACTAAAGAAGATGGTAAGCCTTCTCCACTTCCTTTCTGCTTGTGGTTGAGGTTTGGTACCAAGAAGCCCACCTTTACTGTTTTTTTTTTTTTTTTTTTACAACACCAAGGCCAAGGGAAAAATGTGAAAACCCAGAAGCCCCACCTGGAGAAGAGGGTCAGTGAAGAGTGATCTATTACAACATCGACTTTCTGAGAAGAGCAATTAAATGCACATAATCCCATTTTCTCCAAAGACAGATAATGATTATAGGGCCCCAGCTTCTGGAAAGTAAGATGCTTCTGCGAATGTCCACAAAGATAAACAAAGTTAAAGACCAGGTTATAAATGGGGCCTGTGCAGGGAACCATGGCTCAGTGACACAGGCTGTGTCTGCTGCTCTAACTCGATTCCCCAGCTCTGCCCTCCCCACTGTTTCTGTGAGTTTCTTATATTCCCAGCATCACTCTGCCTCAACTGCTCTGGAAGGCAGAATTTTGGAAAGGAAAGGAAGAGATTTTCTTTACTTTATTTCTCATATGTTTCAGAAAGCTGTATCTTAATCAAAAAGTGTTGACAAAATGCATTCTTAAGCATTTAAAAGTGATGATTTTTTTTTATTCCTTAGAGAAATGGCTTCATTTACTTACCAGAGTCCTTTATTGATGCGTGATACTGACATGACCTAGGAAGCTTGGCCTTTAATGACTTAACAGTGCTGCCATCTCACCTTGACCCTTGTTTAGGGAGAGTTATTCTGTGCAAGATGTCACAGGGAAGACTGTTTGCATTCATGAAAGTCCCTGATTTACCTCTTGTTGTTTGCTTTCCTTAGGTAAATCCACTGACGATGAGTTTGTAGATGAATAACTGTCCTGGGAAATAATTACAAATGCTTTAATTGAAGGCTACATATGTCTTCACAGAAGGTTTTTTATACCTCCTGGGTACAATGGTAGGGACCCTGAGATGGTGCAGAAAAATGAGTGTGAGGTCAAAGTGCATGCATTTGAGACAGTGGAAATCACCATCCTCCGGTAGACTTATGGGGACAAGGATACTAGGCCGAGTGTCTTAGGGGCTGAAGACAGGAGAAATTACACTGCATAGCAATGGTCCCAGGAAAAGTAAGGGAAACCCTAAAGGGAAGGGACCAGGCACCCAGTGCCAGGAGCCATATCAAACATTTCCAAAACAAGGGGTTTAGGCTCACCTGTGCAGATGAGGTCTGATAAAGAGGTCTGATGCATTCCTAGTTCCTAAGAATGTGGAAGCAGGTTTACTCTTACATGTTCAAAATGATAAAGTAGATACTTCTAGTGATGTGGCATTTGGGAAGGGACAAGAAGTGAAGGTGCCTCTGCACACCCAGATGCTGACTCCATGCAAGAGTCAGTCTGTGCTCACAGGGTTGATGGACGGAGCTGTGATTGATGGGATTGGCTGGAGTTCTCCCTGACATGCTCTGGGACCAGCTACTTGTAGAAAAAGTACTAACGAAAGACTTGGAACCAACCCAAGTGTCCATCAATGATAGACTAGATAAAGAAAATGTGGCACATATCCACCATGGAATACCATGCAGCCATAAAAAAGGATGAGTTCATGTCCTTTGCAGGGACATGGATGAAACCGGAAACCCTCATTCTCAGCAAACTAACACAAAAACAGAAAACCAAACACCACATATTCTTATGCATAAGTGGAAATTGAACAATGAGAACCCATGGACACAGGGAGGGGAACATCACACACTGGGGTGTGTTGGGGGGTGGGGGGCTAGGGGAGGGATTGCATTAGGAGAAATTCCTAATGTAGGTGACGGGTTGATGGGTGCAGTGAACCACCATGGCACGTGTGTACCTGTAATAAACTGCACATTCTGCATATGTACCCCAGAACTTAAAGTATAATAAAAAATGAAAAGAAAAAGTGCTAACCTGGAACTCAGGAGGTTCAAAACTTCTTTCCCTGGGCTGTTTATTCAGTCACAAGAAAGTCTGAGAAAGTCACTGAACCTCTGTGTCTCACTTCATTTATCTGTAAAAAAAGGATAATAATGCTTATTTCACTTGTCTCTCAGGATAAATACAAACATCAAACTTTGAAGTGGTTTAAAGATGAGAAGGAAGAAAGAAAGGAAGAAGGAAATGAGGAAGAGAGAGGGTAGGGGAGAAACATGAGTAAGAAAGAAAGGAAGGGGAAAAGGGAAAGAAAGAAGGGAGAGAGGAAGGAAAATAGTTACTTGAAATTCACCTTGCTCTGTGTTGAGATTCTGAATTAAGTGAAAGTTGGGTGCTCTGGGGGAATAGAGGTTGTACCTCTCAAAATCTGTTTCTTGGATACTTAAGCTAGAAAAACTGAGTAGTACAGCCACTGAACTTATATCCTGTATGAAAAACTCCAGTTCCAATCTCTGGAAATTTAATTGCTTGATGTGTCTTAACTTTTGTTGTTGCTGTTGTTGGCTGCAGTCATCCTTAAACTATCAGAATTCTCTTTAAAACTGCAGAACTGTGCAATATACTTTAACCACTGGGCCCTAAACCGCAAAACCCATCACAAAGTCTGGCAAAGCAGATCAACATAAGAGGATGTCTTTGAAAGACTAAGATGAACATTAAATTAATCAACCAATGCTCTAGGGGGAAATGGCCAATAATTTCAAATTTTTCATCTCTGGGAAATCAATTATTATTATGTTTATTGATGTTGTATTTGTCACTATTTTCAGCCATTTCCCCTGATGACATGGGTTAAAATAAGAACATTGTTGTAAAAGAGATTAGACGTGTTCGATTCTGTTTCTAGACTTTCCACCTCTCAGCTACCTGGGATTTGGGAGAGAAATCGAGGCCGTGGGGCAGAGGCTGAGCTGGCTTTTTTCGTTGTTGTTCCTTTCTAGCATTGCTTTTGCCTCAATAAGATTTTTAACATTTAGCTAAACACCAGCTGATGTTTATCATTTGCTGGCCGGATTTCGGAGACATGTGTATATAAAAACACTCCCTTTCCAATCAGGTTGTTTGGGGGTTGGAATTTGTTTCCTCACTCCCCGGAAGATTCTGGGGACCCTCTCCCTCAGTGTATGGGGTGGAACTCCCCCTTGTCAGCTGCAGAGAAAGGGGCATTCTGCTGATGTGTTTAATCCCCAAAATGGAATGGCCCTGACTCACGGGAACCAGTTAACACCAGCCTGTGCACATTGTTCCAAAACCTAATTGCCTATTCCGTATGGAATTCCTCTTGTCCTTTTCGAAGCACTCAGTGATTTGGAGTCACCGTAGCAGTGATCAAGACAGGTTTGTCAGCACAATGACAATATGCAGATCATTCTCCCATTTGGTTGTGTATATATTTGCATTTGCAAATATGCAAAACTGTCATATATATGGTTTGTGTATAGCAATAGAGAAATGATTCTAGAATCACAGTACATGTTCCATCATATTCTATGAAGTTAGAGAAATTTGTAGCAAATCTCACTCACACACACACACACACACACACACACACACACACACACACGTCTCTTCTAATATGCCAGGCACTATATAAATTCTGAGACACATTCTGGGAAAATAAAAAAGCAAATTGACTATACCAACTCTGCCTTTAATGAACACAGTCTAGTGAGTACATTATATTATTAAATCTTAGGTTTATACATACACATATGTTAATGTACCTCAAATAAAAATATAGTGATAATTTCTAAATGAAGCTCTTAGATGACAAATGCGTTTATAAACCTTTATTGGCTTTAGATATTTAAAAATAATACCTGCGTATGCTGTAACATATTTTAAGAACACAGACGCTTACAAAACAATCACAAAATAAACACAGAAGCCCTCTTTTCCCCTTAATCTCACTCCTCAGGTGGCTACGGTTTATAACTGTTTGATGTGTGTTCTTCCTAAATGTTTGTTTGCCTATAAAACATAAAAACAAAGAATATATGTGGTAGATTTATTTGTATGCCATCATCTCATTCTTTTTTTTTTTTTGAAATGGAGTTTTGCTCTGTCACCCAGGCTGGAGTGCAGTGGCACGATCTCAGCTCACTGCAACCTCCACCTCCCAGGTTCAAAAGATCCTCCTGCCTCAGCCTCCCAAGTAGCTGGGACTACAGGCACCCGCCACCACACCAGGCTAATTTTTTGTATTTTTAGTAGAGACAGGGTTTCACCGGGTTAGCCAGAATGGTCTCAATCTGCCGACCTCGTGATCTGCCCACCTTGGTCTCCCAAAGTGCTGGGATTACAGGCATGAACTACTGTGCCCGGCTGCCATCATCTCGTTCTTTCAAATGACTTCCTATTATTCCATATGATGGACGACATGCTATTATCTCATGTCATGGATGTACTAGAATTTATTTAACAATTCCTTATTGGTGGGCACTTAGGTTACTGTCACTTTGTGTGTGTTTTGCACTACATTTTAAATGGATTCTGAATAAGGGAGAACTTGTTATAGCAGGAATACTAGCAATGTCAGTGATATATAAGCAATGTTCAGTACTTGACCATTGAAGCTTTTGATCGAGACACAATATGATCAAGGGTGTATATTAGAATAATGCAAGGTGGGAGCTGAATTGGAATGTGACTCTAAGCAGAGAAGACCAGTAGGCTACTTCTGCAGTCATCTAGATGTGAGATGCTGAAGATTTGAATAGGGGCTATGGTAGTCAGAAAGGAGATAAAAGATTCTGGAATTACCATTCATATTCCATTAACTGGGAGAAATTGGTAGTGAAGAAGAAGATACTAATTCCTAATTGCAACTAAATCAAAGCTACAGTCAGCTTTTGATTTTCTAATGGTGGGACACAGAAGAGAGCTGGGACATGCTTCTGGTTAGTGGACGAATGCTGATCATTCATTTTGGGAATGGGTCAGGTCTTGGGAGTATATGTGACTTGGGGTGGAGGCAGGAGGCTGAGAAAGGGAGGCCAAACAGTTCTGATCTCTCTTCCCTGCTTACATCAAACGCAGCTCTTCTGCTTGCGGAGTTCTTGCTTCTCCACTTGACAGTTGGCTAACAAATGCTCTTAGCTGGAAAGGTAAAGGGGTCCCAACTCACTGCTCAGCCTCAACCATGTTTAATTCAGCCTCAAGTAATCAAAATGTGATCCTTTTGGGGAAATAGAACTGAAAGGAGATGGTGGCTGATTAGATACAGGAATAAAGAAGAGTTAAAGATGGCTATGAGATTTCAAACCCAAATGAATGGGATAATATGGTAACATTAATTGAAAGAACTTGGCAAAGGGATCAATTTTTTTTCTTTTTAGTGGAATCAGGATGGAAATTAATGTCTTTAAATTTTTAAAATGCAAGATGGAGAAGATACAATTAGAAACTGAAAATTTTGTCCTGGAACTCTATAGAGAATTCAGTTGGAGTCATCATCACGTGGCTAAGGTTTGGCCCTATGAAAGATGGAATTTCGCCTGGAAAAGCTGTCAAGAAAGTCAGGGAAAGCACTGTGGTGAAGAGCAGCATTTGGTGATGGGAAGAACAGAGAATGGTCTTAGAAAGAGTTCTCCTAGAAGCCAGAAGAGGAGGGCGCAATTTCAGAAGAAAAGTGTGGTCCACATCATTAATTACCACACAGGGACTGAGGGGACACATGTCAAGATGGAGATGCCAGATCTGCTGACTGAGGATAATTAGTGCCCACTGGGCCAGGGCCAGGGCCAGATGGTAGCCTGGTGCAAGTCTCTGTGGGGAACACACAAGTCCCTGACTCTGGCTTAGGCAGAGGAGGCCAAGAAGGGGAATGAACAAGAGGAGAGAAAGAGAGGGTAGGGATTCCTGCACCCATTTTTAGGGGATTCTCCTTCCCTTTGCAGGTTTCAGTCTCACTCTGAACCACAAGGGGATGTTGTCTTTTTGTTCTTTCCCATCATCAGCAAAGAACTCCAATTTTCTATTTTTGCTATGGAACTAAAATTTGTTACATATTATGGTGGGGTAAAATGTTCATTCCTTCAACTGAAAGAATTTTCCTTCTGACTGTATTTGAATTAAGCTTTTGGTTCTCTCATCGTTAGGTTGTTCAGAAAGGAAAAGCTGGAATGACCTAAATGTCCAACAGCTGGTAGATTGCTTAATTAGATATGTTCAGTAATTCATATTGTAGTGTTCTCCTTTTTTTTAGAAAAAGTATAATATACTGATACATATAAAATAACCAATCATTTGTTCAAATGTACACTGGGACACCAACCACATCCCATAACAGGGAGCATTGCGGGGTAGAAAAAACCATACACTTTTTTTTTCTACAAACAGTAGAAAAAACAAACATTGGCTCTCCTGACTTTCTTTAGCCAGGAATGGAAAATTCAGTCATCAAGGTGTGGGATTTTTCCAGGTGCATTTGACAAATGATTAGAAGGGCTTAGGGAAGCTGTTACCTGGCTTACACTATAGGAAATATGGAAGATTTCTTTTATTTCTTTCTTTCTCTTCTTCCTTCCTTCCTTTTCTTTTTTCTTTTCTTTTCCCACCCTCCCTCCTTTCCTTCCTTCCTTTCTTCCCCTTTCTTCCTTCCTTTTCTCCTTCTTCCCTCCCCCTTCCTTCTTTCCTTCCTTCCTTCCTTCTTTCTCCATCCTTCCTTCCTGCCTTCCTTCTTCCTTCCTCTCTCTGTCTCTGTCTCTTTCTGTCTCTTTCTTCTTTCTCTTTCTTTCCCTCCCTCCCTTCCTTCCTTCCCTCCTTCTTTCCTTTCTCTTTCTTTTCCTTCCTTCTTTCCTTCCTTCTTCCCTCCCTCCCTCCCCCTTCCTTCCTTCCTTTCTTCCTTTCTTTCTTTCTCTTTCTTTCTTTTTTCTTTTCTTTTCTGTCTGTCTCTCTCTCTTTCCTTCTCTTTTCTCTTTCTTTCCCTCCCTCCCTTCCTTCCCTCCATCCTTTCCCTTTTCCCTTTCTTCCTTCCTTCCTTCCTTTCTTCCTTCCTTCTCTTTTCTCCTTCTTTGCTTTTCTTTTCCCTCCCTTTCTTCCTTCTTTCTTTCCTTCCTCTCTGTCTCTGTCTCTCTTTTCTATCTCTTTTTCCTTTCTTTCGTTCCCTTTCTCTTTCTTTCATTCCTTTCTTTTTCTTTCTTCTTTCTCTCCCTCCCTCCCTTCTTTCCTTCCTTTCTTTCTTTTCCTTCCCTCCCTCCCTCCTTTCTTTCTTTCTTTCTTTCTTTCTTTCTTTCTCTCTCTCTCTCTCTCTCTCTTCCTTCCTTCCTTCATTCCTTCATGTCCTATTTCTTCCTTTTTTCTTTTTTTCTTATAGGTTCTCTCTGTGTTGCACAGGTTGGAGTGCACAATCATAGCTCATTGCAGTCTCAGACTTGTGGGCTCAAGTGATCTCCCACCTCAGCCTCACAAGTAGCTAGGACTAAAGGTGTATGCCACCATGCCAGGCTGAATTTTAAATTTTTTTTTTTTGTAGAGACAGGGTCTTGTTACGTTGTCCAGGCTGGTCTCAAACTCCTGGCCTCAAACGATGCTCTCATCTCGGCCTCCCAAATTGCTGGGGTTATAGGCATAAACCACAATGCCGTGCTGATTTTTTTATATAGGTCTGATGAAATGCTGTGTGAACACAAGAAGGAAGGTTAGCCCACAGAGATGTCTCTCACTTTCCAGAATGTCAAATATTTGGGCTGATAACAAAACTTTGAACAGTCATGAAGTATGGCAATATATTCATCTAATGAACTGGCAATATTATAAATGTCTAAGAATCATAAAAATGTTAAGGTTTCATCTTTTCTTAAGTAGAACACTCAGAAGCTGTGTTGGATTCTAATGTGCACTTATTAGACTGTGAAATTATTTCAGTTATTTACTAACCAATTAATGCATTTAAAGGACATATTTTAAAAGGACAATTGAATGCGCAAATAAAGATTTTTGCCTTGTCATCAATTTCAGTGGAATATACTTGTTGGATTCAAAACATGTTTCTGAAATATTTTGGTACCATGAGATTCTCCAGGAATATAATCATAGTTTGAATCATAGGTGGTTAAAATGGGATGGGGTATTAGAAACTACTATCTGGTAACCCATTTTCTTAGAGGAAATTGAAGCTCGTAGAGGTGGAGGACTGGTTCATGGTCAAAGCTAGTGGACAAAATGCATCTCCCTGATTCCCAGTCCAGTGCTGTTTGCAAAGCACAATGATGCCTCATCCAGAAACACAGCTTTAGGGCATTTTTAGAGCCTTCACATCTAGAACCTATACAATTGTATACGGTGGCTCTGGGTAATTTGAACTTGCTGGACAGTAGACAGGGCTATTTTAAACTATCTTTAGGGGGAAGATGAGAGTGGTGTATACTCACAGACAGATACCTTACTGCAGAATAACTCAGGGCTATGCCCTTCCCTTTTCAGCAAGAACACATCTGCTGTGGGAAAATGAAAGGGACCCACAGACTCTTTGCAAACCCTATCTCCACTGGCCTTGTGGCTTCATCACCCGCTGGGGACCCTCCGCTCACTCTCTATCTCAGTTGGGCTGATTCCCATCCCTGAGGTGTCATAAAGTGTGTCTATGCTGTTGTATGTATTTGGGGAGTCATTCGAAAAGGAGTGCATGTAATGGATGGGTGGGGAATAAGTGGGACTTGGATGATTCTCTGACTCAGGAAATCAGAGATCTCTTGGGAAGGATTCATAACAAGTGTGATTTTTTAAAAGTTTAACTTAAGTAAGAATAATAAAAAATTACTGAGGTAATACAAGAGAAACAAGGATGTTCCAGCCTCTGCCTTCCCCTTTCCCTAACTTCCGACCTTCCTCCATCCCTGGAGGCCTTTGCCTTTAACCGCTTCTGTTTTTGCTGTTATTAGTTACTTCTGGTGGTTAACTCCCTATCTTTAAATAATATGCCTCTGCCGGTAGTTGTTATTCCCCTTGCCTACCTCTCCCCTCCCCATTTGGTGGTATCACTATTTTTTCCTTTATTTCTACTAAGAAAACTTCCTCTCCATATGAATGTAAATAAAACTGCATCCCAGTTGTGTTCACTACCATATACAAGGCTGAGCTCCAGATAAATTAAAAACCTAAATATAAAATATAGTACTATAAAGGTAATAGAAAAAATGTAGAATATCTTCGCGAGTTAGGGGTAAGAGAATAATTATAGAAAACTTCAATATTAGGCCCCTGTAATCCCGGCACTTTGGGTGGCCGAGGCGGGCAGATCATGAGGTCAGGAGTTCGAGACAAACCTGGCCAACATAGTGAAACCCCGTCTCTACTAAAAATACAAAAATTAGCCGGGCATGGCAGCATGCGCCTGTAGTCCCAGCTACTGAAGAGGCTGGGGCAGGAGAATCGCTTGAACTCAGGAGGTGGAGGTTGTAGTGATCTGAGATCTTGCCACTCCGTTCCAGCCTGGGTGACAGAGCAAAACTCCATCTCAAAAAAGAGAAAAAGACTTCAATATTACAAAAAAAAATAAAAGCCTGGTAGATTTTATCACATCAAAGCTAAGAATTTTGATTCATTGTTAGACCTCACATAGACAAAGTTAATAGCCTGTATGTTGGGAGAAGATATTTGCAACTTCTTAAACCAGGAAGTCTTATATAGTGTTAATTTGCTTGACTGTTGTAATCACGTCACTCAGTATATGTGTATAAAAGATACCTATAGAGGCTGGGCGCGGTGGCTCACGCCTGTAATCGCAGCACTTTAGGAGGCCGAGGCAGGTGGATTACGAGTTCAGGAGACTGAGACCATCCTGTCTAACACGGTGAAACCCCGTCTCTACTAAAAATACAAAAAAAAAAAAAAAAAAAAAAAAAGCCGGGCATGGTGGTGGGCACCTGTAGTCCCAGCTACTCGAGAGGCTGAGGCAGGAGAATGACGTGAACCCGGCAGGCAGAGCTTGCGGTGAGCCGAGATTGCGCCACTGCTCTTCAGCCTGGGCGACAGAGCGAGACTCCATCTCAAAACAAAACAAAACAAAACAAAAAAACTTATATAGGATGATCAAGGAATCAAGGCATATTAAGAAAATGCCACAAAATCTAAGAAAATGGCTATAACAAATAAATTCAGAGGAAGGGATCACTGAACAACCAACATTTATATTAATAAGTGTTCCAAATTATTAGGAAGCAGTGAAATGAAAATTAATACAATGAGATGCCATTTTCTGCACAGTGGATTGGCAAAATTAAGAAGTTGAGCAGTGCTATTGTAGCCTGGGCTCTCCCAGAGCACAAACTGAGCCGACACTGAATCAAGGTTTGGCTTAAGGTGTTTATTTGGAATGAGCTGAGAAGAGAGTGGGGAGGATGCAAGACTGGCAGGAGAAGTAGAGATGTGATGTAGCAGGACAAAGTCTCACTCAACCCAAAAGGAGTTGGAGTGGAGGTTGCTCTTCAGGGTTGCGGGCACCTGGCTGAAATAGCTGGCCATTATACCCCCAGCAGCAAGCTGCCCTGGGAGGGGTGAAACCTCGGGCCAATCTGTATTTGGCATTGGTCAGATAATCAACTCCAGGAGGTTAAAGACTACGTGTTGTGCAGTCAAGGCAGACCCTTCAGTTGCTAACAGCTGGAGGCCGCCTGTTGACCACACTCCCTGCAGCTGGGCAGCAAGTCCTTCCTTGAAGTGGCACCCGGGCAATGCACTCTGTGTCTCTCACGGGGCTGTTTATATATGTGTGTGTGCATGGGTGTGGATTTGGGAAAACTGCAACTTTCAAGCATTGTGGATAGAAGTGAAGACTTATGAACCATGTTTAAAGGCAAGAAACAAGCCTTAGGTTGAGCAGGTATGTCTCTTAAGTTCCAGTCCAGGTGATAAATATCAGAGAGATTCTCATAGGGGTCCATAACACAACATGCAAAAGAATATCTATTGCAGAAGTGCCTGTGCTGGAGTTGACTGAATCTGAGGTGTTTGTTGCTGTGGGGAAAGTTTCATAAATCAAGAAAAAATATGCAGAAACCAAAGTAGGCGTGCACACATCAGAATGACTAGACCTTAAACACAGAGTGCTGAGTGAAGAAAGGAAGAAAAGAACATCAGGGGCCAGGTGCGGTGGCTCATGCCTGTAATCCCAGGACTTTGGGAGGCCGAGTCGGGCGGATCACCAGGTCAGGAGATGGAGACCATCCTGGCTAACACGGTGAAACTCCGTCTCTACTAAAAATTCAAAAAATTAGCCGGGCGTGGTGGCGGGCGCCTGTAGTCCCAGCTACTCGGGAGGCTGAGGCAGGAGAATGGCGTGAACCTGGGAGGTGGAGCTTGCAGTGAGCAGAGATCATGCCACTGCACTCTAGCCTGGGCGACAGAGCGAGACTCCATCTTACAAAAACAAAAAAACAAAAAAACAAAAAAACAGACCATCATTGCTTAGCATATTACCATTTATTCAAATGAAAACTACGTAAATCTCAAGAATACATCCAAATTAGTAAAACACAATGGAGTGCATGCCCATGGCAAGAGAGAGAGATGGTTATGGGAACGGGAATAAAAGGCAATTAATCAATCAGAAACTAATGAGGAGATTGCACCATTAACTGATGGTATGTCATTAGCTGTTAGCTAGGAGTATAGTTTACTTAACTCTGCGTGCTTGAGGCTCTGGGGGTAAACTGAACAAAACATAGTAGACCCCTTATGGTTTTGGGTGTGTTGCAGCATCTGCTGGCCTTGTCTGACGTTCCTGTAGGCTACTTGGTCATTAGTGTCATCACTTGGTCCCTCCTTGTCTGCACTCTATGCTTCTTCAGTCCATTGACCTGTTCACCACTGAGGCTCATGGCAACTTCTGGATCTTTCTGTGCCTTGCTTCTCAGGCTGTGGACATCTGGGGTGGTGGCTGTTTCAGGGCCTCCAGATCCTACTCTAACATTTCTACTTTACTGGGATCACCTCATGTTACCTTTGGGCACCACCCCCAAGTGGTCTCCCACAATTCTAAGTAAGAATTGGAACATAAACCTTTCTTCTTTTTGGGTCCTTCTACACCCAGTGGGGTGTGTGTGTGTGTGTGTGTGTGTGTGTGTGTGTGTGTTTAATTTAATGTCTCCTACCTCATGGGCATCTGGGTGGGAGCTGGGCCTATTCTGGGACCCTGGAAACACGCTAACCCTGGCCTCATTCCCTTGAAAATCCCTCTTTTTGGTAATCCTGGAACATGCTTCTCCTTCTGGGGCAACAGGAACTTCCCTCACTTCTTGTTTTCCCTCCTTACCTTTGCCCTTCATTCCTTCTGGTGCCTCCCAGCTCATAGGCCTTCTAAGAGGAACTTGTTGAGAAATGTTTTGATAGTTCTTTTTTTTTTAAAATTATACTTTAAGTTCTGGGATATATGTTCGAAAAGTGCAGGTTTGTTACATAGGTATACACGTGCCATGGTGGTTTGCTGCACCCATCAATCTGTCATCTACATTAGGTATTTCTCCTAATGCTATCCCTCCACTAGTTCCCCACCACCCTGACAGGCCCCGGTGTGTGATGTTCCCCTTTCTGTGTCCATGTGTTTTCATTGTTCAACTCCTACTTATGTGTGAGAACGTGCAGTGTTTGGTTTTTCTGTTCTTGTGTTCTACTTGCTTTTAAAAGTGATACATGATCACTGAGAAAGTTTTGAAAATATAGCAAAGAATAAAGAAGAACATAAACAGGTACATAAAATCTCAACACTCAAAACGATTGTCAAAATTTTGGTGCTTTTCTTGATTATTCTTCATTCTGGGAATCTTATTCATATACTTGATATCATACTATATAGGGCATAGTATATATGTAACATTACACCATAAACATTTCTTTCTAGGCCTGGAGCATTATTAAATCATGCCCCTTCTATTGGAAAATGGGTTGGCTCAATGTTTATTTTTATTTTTTGGCCATTAGAAACAACAATGTATGGACATTCTTAAGTGCAACGTCTTTTCTGTATTCTGTATTATTTCCTTAGACTGAGAAACAGACTTATTGGATCAAAAGGCATGCATATTATTAAGGTTTATTATTTCCCTTACTAAGTTACTTTCCTGAAAGGGTAAGTCAGTTGATATGAGTGTGTATAAGGTTTATATGCAGGTAAGCTCAGTTTAGCAATTCTCACTAGCATTTGCCAAACAGCCTTATTGCCACATGAAAGAATTATGAAATTGCTGAACTTGAAGACTCCAGAGTTAAGAAGCAAAAGTGTTCAAGTCATAACAGATTTATCTCCCCCTAAGTTTATTATTTTGGGGGCAGTGACACTATCTGAAGATTGACAGTCCTCCGGATTCCATTTGTTCTGTAGCTGTGCACTGGTGAGCAGCCAGCTTGGCAGTAGGTTGGCGATGTTTAATAAGATTGTCCTCCATGATTGAAACAAATGACTCTCTTTTTGTCATCAGAAATGGAACTGTTGTGCATTTGTTTTAGGAATACAAGATCTGACATCATTAATAATCTGGGCTTGCAGCTTTTGCTTGTTGAATACAATAGATGAATGAAAAATTTAATTTTTTAGTAGATCATAAAAGATGTGCCAATAGATCAAAAATAATTTAGGCAGAGAACCTTTTATGCATGAGACATTCTGTTGTCTTTGCTTTCAGTTAGGCTGGCTGGCATGTACCTGCTGAAGTCATTCTTTGTGAATCCTCTAAATGCCACAGTGTAGTATTCAAAGACTTTTATTAGCTGGTCCTCCCTCTCTGACTTTCTCTCCCATTTATTCCCCCCGTGGCCTTGCTGTGCCAACCATGTCAATCAGTGCCCTGTCCCCCAAGGATGAATTTAAATTTCCACCATCATGTTTTTTTTTCCCAGCTGTGGTTCACGCGAGGAACACTCTCTCTTCTCTGACAATCTGTAGAAGTCCTCTTTCTAAGACCAATTTAAAGCCCACTTCCTGGGTATATTTCCCAGATTGTTCCCTCAAACCCAGCACTTAAACCTTGAGTTTATAGTATTTTGCTTTTCATTTGATTCAGTTCTCTGCTGCTTCTCCAAGAACTTTATCTACCCCTGGCCTTGGACAGATAATCAGCTCTGTGAGGTTAGGAACCACATGTTTGAATTCTTTGCCTTTTGAGCTGCACCAACCAGCATGGTTTGAGTGTATGGAGCCATTTAAGGTATTTCTTAAACTTTTGATTTCTCTAGCTTGTGCTCCAGAGGAGAGGTTGGATTTGTGCCTATCTGAAGCAAAGTAACACCCAGCACAGAAACACTTGGCCAGGGGCTGTTTAAAAAAAAAAAAATCCCAATTTTGCTTTTGCTGACAAGTGAGAGAGAGCTTGGCAGTGAGCCCAGAACCACTGTGGCCTCAGCTGCTCGGTGCGTGCTCTCTGGAGTGGTTCCTTGGGTCAGGCACTTGTAGAGGTTCCCCCAGTGTTGTGTCTGGTCCCTCATGTAAGTTGCATTTGGGGTCATGCAGCCAGGGAGTGGCGTTGGGCATGGCATTGAGGGAGAGGAAGGGGAGGGGTTGGGGGTTGCCTGCAAGTAGTTGATTTTTGCTTAAAAGGAAGACACCAGAAAATGTATTGAAGAGATGCCTTTGCACACTGGTCCTGAAGGACATGTATTGCAGTGTCAGGATGAACATGTTCGTCAGTGATCACCAGGTAACGATAGCAGAAGGGTGACCAAATTACACCACAACACTTTCTTTCATTACCCACCGATGAAATTAACTGGCCCTTTAGAAAACTGCCTTTTTTCCCCACTGAAGTTTATGCCAAGGAGTTCCACTATCTATATATATTCAAGAACACTTAAAAAATAGTTGTGTGAATTTTTCTTTGTTATCTCTTGTAGGAGTGTTGCTGCATAAGTTATACAACAGAACTGCAAAGGGATCTAAGGAACAAATTCCTCCAGTATCAGAATTGCAGCCACCTGCAGCGACCCTGGCTTAGAATAATATCTTATGAACACTGAGATCCTTGTAACTGATTCCGTCTTTGGCCACCAGGATAGAAAGCTTAGATCAAACTTTCAGATCACTGCTAGCAACTGCAGAGAGCTGTGGGCTTGCATTTCTGCTTTTCTCTAACTCCCAGATTTACCATTTTGCTACCCACTTTCCCTTTTGCTGTGATATGCTTAGTTATTTATAGTTTAGTATTTAATTTTTTTAATTACAACATTTTTCAAATTAGCTTTAAATTGACATATAATAATTGTACCTATGGGGTACATAGTGATGTTTCAATATATGTAATGTTATAGAGATCGGATCAGGGTAATTGGCATTTCCATTTAGATAGAAGGGGTAAGTTTTAGTGTTCTATCCCATTGTAGGATTCCAACTACAGTTAACAGTAATACATTATATAGTCTCTAATAGCTAGAATTAAGATATTGAGTGTTCCCAACACAAAGAAATGATGTATGTTTGAGATGAGGAATATATTTTACTCTTTTGATGAGGAATTTATTTTTTAAGGTTTAGCTTGCTTATTTTAAGACAGTTGTAGATTCACATTAGGTGGTAAGAAATAATACAGAGAGATCCACTGTCTCTTTTACCCAGGGTCCCCCAATGATATCATCTTGCATAAGTATGATACAATATCACAACCAGGAAACTGACATTGATACACTCCACTAATCTTACTCAGATTGACTATATTTTTAAAAGCTTCTCCAAATCACTTGTGGAAGGGGATAGGAGATAAGTTAATAATATAAACATTTATTCAATAATTAACATATAGAGAGTATTTTTATGATGTATCTCATAACTATTCAATGCTTCTTTTAAGATAATTTTTTTTTAATTTTTGGAAGAGAAAATCTATGATAACCCCCAGCTGCTGCAATCTAAAGATGGAGGAGTCTATCAGGATCTTCGTGCAAATGGAACAGCACAGCCAAGACCAGCCTCCTCAGCTGAGGGTCCACACTTGGGTGGGAGAAGCTTTGCTAGAACTCCTCACTGCCACCCTGCCGAACCCTGAGGCCACTGGGTGCTCTGTGTGGCAATAGTAGGTGTTTGGGTTTAGTTTGTTTTTATTAAGAGTCTGGATGTAACATAGCAATCTAGTACAAAGTAAGAATAACTTTGCTTTGATGGAAGGCCAGCAAGCATACAGGGGTTTGTTTGGAAGTGAAGTTGTATGTAGCTGGAATCAGTTGGCATAAAGGTTCTGGAAACAGATTTACAAAAGTTTGAGTTCTGGCTCTGTGATATTGTGCATTTTCCTAAATCCACTGGTTTCCTGTTTCAGAGTCATTTTTTCCTCCTTTCTATGTTTATTCTAGAAATAAGCTCAGTGGAGATGAGCTTTGGGGATGAACCATGATTAGGTTAAAGCAAACTAAATAATCCCATTCTCTTTTGCTAGTGAGTGTTGCAGTGGTGGGCCTGTGACTCAGTTCTACCCACTAAGGCACAAGGGCAAGTGCTTTTAGGGAGAATCTGCCCCCCTCCCTGCCTGTCAAGTTTTTACAAAAGAGAATACGGCAAGTTGGCTTGGCACTTCTTCCTGAATTGAAAATGTTTGTGAAATGATGGGATGATGCTGGAACCGCAGCTCCCATCTGTGTTGCAGCCTTGAGTTGAAAAGCCAGTGTGCTGAGAAGCACAGGGCAGAAAGATCACAAGATGCTAGGTCCTCCATCGATGGCACTGCTGAGCTGCCCCGCACTCTCCTGGGACCACCTACTTTTAGACATCTTGCTAAATGAGTGGCAGTGTCTATATTGTTATAGCATACCGGTCATAGCCAAAGGTGTTCTAACTAATAATAAGCACATTTAGTGTTAAATCTTGTGATTCTCAGTAGAGGTGTCCTGCATATATGGTGGCCATACGAACATCACATATTTCTAAAGATCCCGTATTTCTAAAGATCTAAAGTGCCCTGCTGTCTTCATAAGCTATAGAAATATGACATTCTGGTGTTTTGGGCTTCACATTTTCTTCCCCTCTGCTTTTGCTGTTACAAAAGAAAACAGTGCAAATTCCTTTGTCAGTCATGCAACTTGGTTTGGGGTTTGGAGACCATGATTGCTCGGGTCAACAAGTTGGTTAATCTCAGCCTTGCCTGGTGGTGGGCTCGCTCTAGGAGACCTGTTAAACTTGCACATTCCTGCACTCATAGCAAACCTGGGCTTCAGAGATTTTAAAACAAGTCCTCTCCCTACCCCCATGAGTTTTATGACCAGACAATTTTGGGAAACATTGACATAGACAGGAAGAACCTAGAAACTGGGAAGAGAAAGGAGATCATATATGTGCAATTTAATCAGCAATGACAACAACAAGAGTTGAAACCTTGAAGCACTTGAGCTCCTCAAGAAAGTAAATATGGGAGAAGTTGTAGAGGCTGCAGGTGGGAGGGAGTCTTAGAGGAGCTGCGCCAAGGGGAAGAGCAGAGGAAAAAGACGTGGGGCTCCCGGAGGGATGACAGGGAAGAGGTAGCTTTTGCTCTACCTGTCTTCCAATTCCTGTTTCTGTTTTAATTAGGTCAATTCAGTCATATGGTTATTTTCTTTAAATTAATCATGATAATTGCCACTTCATTTATGCTGGACCTTGCATTAAGCTTTTTGTTATTTATCTTCTCAGTGTTGCAAGGTGATATTCCCATGCAACAGATAAGGAAACTAGGACCCCGAGAGGTTAACTAACCTGCACGAAGTGATGCAGCTAAGACACAGGTGAACTGGATTGAAACGAGGTCAGTCTCACTCTAGTGACAGTACTTTTAAGCATCAAACTATACATATATGCCACACAATGTGCCCTTGCTATGTAATGTTGTTCTTTCTACCAAGGCTGTCCTTGTTTCCATGAGACCAGAGAAGGTGCCCATAGTTGAGAGACAGGAGATTTTAGCATAACATCTCTATGCTTGAGTGTCACTGAATGGCTCGGTGGTTCTTGGCAAGTCAGATAAAGTCTTTGCTCAGGGATTTGCTCAGCTGTGGGCCAGTGGAGAAGAGCTTCCCTTGACAGGTGCTGAGAGAAGCAGTAACACTGGAAAAGTAAATGCTCTGTACAGAATGTTATTAAATGCTCCAGGTAGAACTAAGTGATTAGAAAAAAAAAATGAATCAGGAAGCAGAACCTTGGGGGACTCTGGGATGGAGTCTGCCCTGTGCCCAAGGCGCCCTTGACTGGCATTTGTGGGAAATACATGAGAAGATGGTTATAGATCTGAACCAGGGTAGAAGGGAAAGGAGGAGGCAAAGCAGCTCCAAAGCTACTGTATGTCCCAAATGCTAAAAGAGCAAGGGCACGGGACAGAGTGAGTATGAGGCTGGTAGCACAGGGTACCCAAAGAAGGCATCCGTCTGTGATGTGTGAGTGTGAGGAGCATGCCCTGATGGACTTGAAACTTCCTCACTTCAGCCATGGCTGTGGCCGAGCCTCTCCTCTGTGGGGTGGAGGCAGGTGTGGAATGAGCACGAGGAAGGCACGCTGGCTGCTGAGAAAGGAAGGGATGCCCCACGAGCAATGATCCAGCCAGAGCACACTGTAGGGGTTTAGCAAGAAAGACAGTCCTTAAGTGGCCAGATTTGGAGGGGACAGGGGACAGAGGGATCTATAGACACCTTTGGCTTACAGAGGTCATGGGTACAGGGTCAGACAGATGCCCAGACTCAGCCAGGGCAGGGACCCACTCCTGGACTACTCACTTTTGCCTTTGCTGAGCCAGGCCCTGCAGTAGGCCCAAGGGTCCTCAGGAGGGAACGATACCTGCTCCCACTTTGGTGGCTCACAGCCTGGATGGGCAGGCAGAGAATAAACCAAGCATGTCAGTGTGGAGTGGGTAAGCTGCAACCCAAAAATGACTGACATCCGGGGCAGAGGGGGGTCCCTAACTCACACTACTGTCAGGTCTTGAGAGAGGTGTGCCAGCTACTGACTGTCCTTACCAGCTGTGTATCGCTGGAGAAATCCCTTATCAAAGCCCCAGTCCTCTCTTTGGGAAAGAAAAATATTAATCTGTGCATCCTGCTGGCTGCATCTAAGGCACCTGGACCCAGTAGCCACGCCCTTGCCAGTGATGGGGATTTCCATAAGAGCTATCATCCGGCCATGTCCAGTGGATGGCTTCTCTGCATGAAGAGAAGGGAAAGTACCTGTTCCAAAGTGCTCTTCAGCATTTCTCCCTGTATTTCCAACATCTCTTTCCTGTTGGCTCCTTTCTAGCAAGTAGTTGCAGAGATTTCACAAAGGGAAGAAAGAAAAGTCCATCTTGTTCTCATGGTAGCTCCAACACTGTAGGTATGGGCTGTCCTCACTTTGCCTGGTGGTGTGAAACCATGAAAATGACTGTGCAAGCTGAAACCATGCAAAGCCATCTTAATAACAAAAGAAAAACTTACACAGAGGAAGGAAAGCTCTGGAGTTCCGGAAGTAAGTTTTGAGCTCTATTTATCTAAGGAATTACAGCACAAAAGCAAACCACTTGCATTTAATATGTCTCGCAGCTCCCTTATGTTTGCTTCTTATTAAAAAAGTCCTTTGTTTTGGTGCATGGATGAGAGAATCTGGGTCTTCGGCTCGTGTGGATGATTATTGGAGGAGTGTTCCATCTATTAGGATAATAGTTCCGTGGAATTCCTTTTAATATAATTGGATACTCCAGTTGGTGATTTTGCAACAGATGCACGTGGTAAAGAGGTCCTCTGCATTTGAATAGACTTTTCCATTAAGAAAGCATGCTTTTCTGGAGAGAGAGAGAGAGAGAGAGAGAGACTACAGCCCACACTGAGGCTTCTTAAGATCATAATGAATGAAAACTGATAAAAGAATGGTAAAAAAAAAAAAGGAAGATGACCACAGAGGCAGAAAGCAGTCTTAAAAAACGAAAGAAAGAAAGAAAGAAAGAAAATAATGCAGGCAGGAACAAGAGCAAGTGAAAAGGAAATGACATCGTGATTTGCAGAGGACATTGTGAAAAAGCCACCCCATAACTCCTCTGTGAACTCGTTTTAAAGAATAATTCTTGTTGGGAGATGGTACAAAGATTTCTGGGATTAGTGGCACTGATTTTTTCCCCCAGGACTTCAATGGTTTTACATTTTTGGCATGTGGTTCCTCATCTGTTGGTTGTAAATGTTACTGAAATACAAGGGGTTTGGTCTAGGTCCTGCTGCTCACTGCACAGAAAGCCAATCACAGAGATGACAAGTATTGCCAAGAAAGAAAGCTTTAATCAGGTGCTGCAGCTGAGGAGATGGGAGCTCAGTCTCAAATTCATCTCCCTGAGGGACTAAAGCTAGGGATTTATGTAGCATAGAAGAAATGAAAGAAACCAAACAATGTGTAAGAAAATAGAAACTAGGGAGGGGCAAGGAAGCAATCATGATGAATGAGGGCCCCCACATCTCATTGTCTGGATGTGGTGATCTGCTGAGTTTCAGTTCTTTGATACTTTTTTTTTTTTTTTTTTTGGAGGCAGAGTCTCGCTTTGTTACCCAGACAAATACAATGTTGCGATCTCAGCTCACAGCAACCTCTGCCTCCCAGGCTCAAGGCATTCTCATGCCTCAGCCTCCAGAGTAGTTGGGATTACAGGCATGCGCCACCACGCCTGGCTAATTTTTATATTTTCAGTAGAGACAGGGTTTCGCCATGTTGGCCAGGCTGGTCTTGAACTCCTGGCCTCAAGTGATCCATCTGCTTTGGCCTCTGAAAGTGCTGAGGTTACAGGCATGAGCCACCGTGCCTGGCCCTTTGATACTTCTTTGAGAGGCCTGAAGGTCATTTTCTGAAGAAGGAACTCAGATAAAACAAATGTAAGTTTCCAGCTTTAAGACCAGAACGATCAATTTCTGTGTTTATCCCAAAAATTATCTATAGAACTGTTGATTAGGTTTCATACGAAGGGATGGAAATGCAGCCATGAACTTTTGGGAAGTTGTTGCCTCCCTTAGTTCTGAAGGGGTGGGGGAGGAAGGGTGTACCTTGGGGAGAGGAGTCTTGATGGGGGTTGTGGCAGCAAGCAGAGGACAACAGTCATTGCAAAACCCTTCAGCCTCCTACTGGATCTCCCATAGAACACAGGCTGAGAAGCTGGGTTTCAGTCATATTTCACTGTAAGTTAAAATAGTGTCTTGGGTCAGGCCCAAAGAGGCAGTGATGTGGTTGTTAAAGTCATACGCAACTAAAAACTGCTTTCTTGGTTTGCAAATAAACCAGTGAGCAAATATCTCAGCTGTTCTTTCTGGAAGCCCTTCACATTTTCCCTTTGCATCAAGATAGCCAAGTTGAGTTAGCACAAGCCATGGAAATCCTTCGGCTGCATCTGTGTTCTGGGGCTGCTTGTTTCTCACTATCATTTAGTGCAGGCCCTTCACAAACAGAGAAAAACATATTGATCCCTTCCTTCAAAGCCATACATTTTAATACAGTTTAACATACCGAGTTGTCAGGGTTTGATCTCTGGGGTCACAGTTCAAACTCCTTCTAATTCTATTGCCTATATTTCTAAATTTCTTGGGCAGTTTCAAGCACAAGCCAATCAGTGTCAATAAAAAAAAAAAAAAAAAAGGAAAAAGACAGGGTCATACTCTGTGCAGGCTCTGATGGCTTTTTGGATGGTTTCCTTTGGTGGTAGGAAGGTGGTTATTTTTGTTGTTTAATTAGGCATTTCTTTTCCTTACTCCTGTATCAGAGAACACAAGTGAATACAAACTGTATCAGAGGACATAAGTGAGTTCTGAGCCCTTATAGCTTTTGAAGTAAAGAGAAACCTCCTTGCCCCAAAGGAAACTGAATCCATGTGGTGGATGGATGTGATCGTTAATTTTATGCGTCAGCTGGCTAGAGGACAGTTGTTTGGTCAAACACTACTCCAGATGTTGCTGTGAAGGTATATTTTAGATATAATTAACATTTACATCAATTGACTTTAGGTAAAGCACATTTCCTTCTATAACATGTCTTTGTTCATAAGAACAAAGACCAAGATTCCCTGAATGGAGACAGAATTTCTTCTTCGACTGCAACGTTGAAATTCTGCCTGAGTTTCTAGCATTTGAACTCAAGACTGCAAAATCGACTCTTACCTCAGCCTGTTGGCTTGCCTTATAGATTTTAGATTTGCCAGCCCCCACAATTGCGTAAGCCAATTTCTTAAACTATGCTGTTAGTTTTTCTTTCTCTGGGGGAACTCTGGGAAGGGATTTGGGGGTTAATACTGACCATGGTAAAGATCTGCTTGTCCATGGACCATAGCACAAAGAGCTACTGTCTCGCCACATATGTGCGTGGCTTCTGCAGTGAGGCTCATGGAATGGGAAGTCACATAGGAGGGTTTCCCCAGCAGATTCCTGGCAGGAAAGAGATGACCCATTCCAGGAGTTCATTGAAGAAGCTATTTCAGAGGTCAAGGGGTAAAGGAATCAAGGCAGTGGTGTACCCAGTGGGGAGCATCAGTGAAATCTGTTAGTGCCCTGGGGCCTGAAGGGACAGGGCGAGTAGATGAGATGTATGGGAAAGGCCTCTCCTGATGGGGCTTGGGGCTACAGGCAGAGGAGCGCAGCTAGGGGCAAGACTGAGGGTTGGCACAGAGGATGTGGAGGAATAAGTGTCCTGGCCTTTCTCCCCTCCAGCCCCAATCTCCTGACAGTGCCTCCCTTTGGTTGAGCCCAAGCAGAAGACTCAGAGCAAGGAGGCCCATTGGTGACATTTATAGGGCTAGACTCCTGGGACATCAAACATGGAAGAAAAGACCAGAGAATTTGACTTGTTGGGGGAACAAAGAAAGAATAACCAGGTTGCATGGGAATCTATCTCTGGAGAATATACAATAATATATTCACTTTCAATACATTATAATCTTGAGCTTATTAATCAAAGAAAAGGAAATAAGTTTTCTTAGTGTGATCCAGTTACTCTAACTGGCAAGTTAGTAGGGGAATGTAAATATATATTATTTGATGAGAGGAAGACAAGCCTTTGCCTCCCCAGACTCTAGGGATAAGGCACTTGGTTTAACTGTGATTCTTAGCCAATTGGGGGCACGGGCTCTTAGATGTAGATCCTGCCCTTCTTCCTCTTTCTCCTCTAAATAGCCAGGTCTGCATTTCTGCCCATAGTCACACAGCAACACAATGTGAACAATTTCAGAGTCGTGCTCTGGTATAAAGGTTTGTCATTGGTGCATCACCTCATGCACAGAAATCAGGCTCCAGTTTTCTGTGCTTAGACAAGGATTCAGCCTTTTGAGTGAGCATTTGATTATATGCCTATGGGTTACCAATTAATAGCTTTAGAGGACATGGGAATATTTTATGATGCTAACTTCATTTGACTTGCTTTAAAGCAACTGAAAGTGTGGCTCTTCAATTTAAATGTTTGTTTAAGTTATCATGAACACCGTGCCCTTACTGGCTGGGGTTTTTACAATCCTTCGCTGTGTTATTGATTTTCTGGTAAGTCCCAGTATACCATCTCTATGCATATGAAAAAGTGTGTGAGTCAGGATATGTTTGGTACTTATTGAGCAGCTACTAGATGCAGGAAATGCAGTAAATCCTGGTCAGAACAGTCCCTGCTTTCTGGGCTTGCGCAGATGGGTCAGGGAGACAAATATGCCAACAGTAGCCACAGCGTGGTAAGAGCAATGGCAGAGGTGTGTGCTGAGGGGCGGTATCATCCCGGACCTGAGATGCAGGCAAAGCCACTCAGACGAGGAAGCACACTAGAGCAGCCCTGATGGAAGAAAGAGTTAGCCCTGTGGCCAAGGAAGAACCCAGGGCGTGGCATTCTGGGAAGGACAGGTGGTCTAGCTTGGAACAGCAGAGGGTTTGTGAGTGGGAGCCAAGAATTGAGCAGGAGCTAGTATCCCATGTTACAGTCTAGATCTTATGGTGAGTTTAGGAAGGGTCCCCAATGCCTTCCAAGTACATAAGTGACATGATAGGATTTTAATTGTAAAAAGAAAAAAGATGTGTGTAGTAGATGGGTAGAGAATGGATTGGAGGGTGGTGGGGTAAGACTGCAGAAAGCAGGCTAATGAGGAGACGGTTACACCAAATACAATGAGGAGGATAAAACCTGAATTAAAGCCATGTTCAGGGGGATATGGAGGGACAGATAGGAGAAGGGGACAGAGTATAAAGACATTTCCAAGATCCAATAACAGGATTTTGCCAGAAGGGTGCATATGTTTCTGACCTGGTCAGCAGAAACAATGAAGGAGGAGAGCAGGCTGGTGAGTGGCAAAAAGGTCAGCTATGTTGAGCAGCCAGTGGCACATCCAGTGGGGGTGGCAAGAAGGAGCAGGACAGAGAGACTCACAGATCAGGAGATGTGGGGATGGTCTTGCAGTGAACACTGTTGGGGGTAAGGGGGACAAAACAGTGGACAAGGTCACCAAAGGCAATTATAGAGGGTAAGACAGTAAGACAAAAGAGGGTGAGAAAGTAAGAGAAAGATAGACATACTGTTCTCTGTGCTTTTGTGAATGTTTGAAATAGTTCATTTAAAATCTAAATAAAGTTAAAAAAGAACAGATGTCAAAAAGAGAAACCTTTCATGGAGTTGGGAGTTCATGGAATGAAAATGTTACAAAAATGAGACTTCATAGCCACAGGGGATAGAGATAAATACAGACAGACATATTCAACGGGATTTAGAAATTAATGGGGCACTGGGGACTTTGGCCAGAGCAGTTTTATGTGGTGGTAAAATTGAGCAGTGAGAGGGAAGGGCAGAAGCAGAAAGAAGTGTAAGCTATCCCTTCAAGAAATTTCCCTGAGAAGGGCAGGAGAGAGATAAGCACTAGAGAGGAAACGGGAGCCCAGGGAACTGCCTTTGTTTTTTAAAGGTAGGTAGAGCTTGGACATGTTATCAGGATGAGGGCAGAGCCAGGATGAAGGGTGAGATTCTGGAATCTGTGATGATGCAAACTAGCCCTTGAAGAGGTGGAAATATAAGGGAACTTCAAAAAGGTCGTGAAAAATGGAATTAAAAGATAAAAATAAAACTAAAATTTTTATTTCTCAACATAAGCTCCATCAGGTTCAAGACACTTTTGTAAGTGATGATACCAGCCATTCAGTCCATCTCTAAAGAACTGTGGGTCCTGGGAATTTATCCATGTTTATGCACCATATTTTACATTATTAACTGAAGATAAATGGGTGCCTTTTACAGATATGTTCAAGATTAGAAAACAAAAAGAAGCCAGAAGGAGCCAAATCAGGATTGTAAGGTGATGTCTAATGATTTCCCATTGAAACTCTCCCCAGATTTCCTGTGTTTGATGAGCAGGAGCATTGTGGTGGTGGAGAAGGACTGTCTGGTGATGCTTTCTCTGATTTCTAGTTTTATTTTTTGCTAAAGCTTTGGCTAACTTTCTCAAAACACTCTCATAATAAGCAGATGTTATTGTTTTGATCCTCCAGAAAGTCAACAAGCAGAATGCCTTGAGCATCCCAGAAAACTGTTGCCATGACCTTTGTTCTTGACTGGTCCACTCTTGCTTTAACTGGACAATGTCCACTTGTTGATTGTGCTCTGCATTCAGGATTGTACTGATAAGCCATGTTTCATCTTCTGTTACAGTTCTTTGAAGAAATGTTTCAAGATCTTGATCGCACTTGTTTAAAATTTCCATTGAAAGCTCTGCGCTGGTCTGCAGCTGAGCTGAGCACGATAGTTTTGGCACTCATTGACTGGACTGGAAAGCTTGCTTATATTTAACTTTTTGTTCAAAATTTTGAACAAAATTTATTTATTTTTGTTCAAAATGGAACCAGTTGATTTGTCTATAGTGTTAGCTATTGTTTCTGCTGTTAATGATCACTTCTTTGCAATTAGGTCCTGAATAAGATTAATTTAATTTAATTTTTTTTGCAATTTGATGTGAATGATTTGCTGCTATGGGTTTCATCTTCAATGCGGTCTCATCCCTTCTTAAAAAACAAGTTATCCATATGTAAACTGCTGATTTCTTTGGTGGCATCGTCTCCATTTTGTAAAGCATCAATGATTTCACCATTCTTCCACAAAGGTTCACTATAAATTTAATGTTTGTTCTTGGGTCCATTTTAGCAGAATTCACATTGTTCTGAAAGGGGCTTTTTTCAAAATGATGTCTTGTTCTTAGTGTCTCAAACTTGATTCTGTTCAGACATGCCGTAATAAGTTAGTACTCATTTATTTCAGTGCAAAATATGGTTTGAAATCTACGCATAGTTTCCTCATAGTATGCATTTTCTATGAACTTTTTGAAGATCCCCCATAACAGATTGGAAGCACAAGTGAGAGCCAGTGAAGTAGAGGATGAAAACAAAGAGAATCTCAGGGTTTCCAGTTTCAGAGGCAGAGCAGCTCCTGTTGGTGAAAGTGTCAGGTGTGGTTTGTAGAAAGAGTGTGAAGAACCTCAAGGAACAGTGACTTGTACATGTGGATGCTTAAGGATCCAAACACCAAAACCAAAGTCTGAAGTGAATGTGGGTCAGTTAAGGAGAGGAGGGTAGAAAACACTGCAGAGGAAAGTTAGAGGGCAACAGAGCCTGAAGGCCTGAGTCTCAAAATATTTAAGAGACTGAGAAATCAGGAGGTAAAGACAAAGGCAAGCGCAGCCCTTCTCCATGTGGACAACCCTTTAGTGATGTGGAATGGGCACCACCCAAATCCAACAGGCTCATGAGGGAGGCAGGTAGAACCAGATTTCAGATTAAAATTATTGAATCAGTTAAGGCAGGTTAAGAATTGGTTTTATCTAAAAGCAAATTTGCAGTTATTTAAAATTGAGGATTCCAGAGGTATGGCAGAAAAGAGAGTAGCACCAAGAAAACAGGTAATAGATGAAGAAAAATGCTTACTGTTATTTGTTATGAACCTGTTTTAAATTTGTATTTTCTAGCATGACCACTTATTTATTGCAAATAACTCTATTTGCATTTTATAATTCTGCATTCTTACTAGAGGTGAGGGTCATCTGATGGGTCTTATTCAAGGTGTAAGTGAGGTCTCACTAGAAGTAAGAATACGAGCTTTGACAACAGAAGTATAAATAGATTCATATAGTTCATTAATTCATTAATTCTTTGTTCCTGCTGCAGATATTTGCCATGGTGAAATCTCACTGTGATATCATTCAAAATGCAGAAGAACTTATTAAAATTTGCCTCTAAAACGCTATATGAGTTTACTTAATGCAAAATTTAAAAATCTTATTTTATTTATATATAAACATGTACACTCTATATTATATTTCATATGTGAAGTTAAAGGTAGCATTCCAGTGAAACCCTATCATAGTCTCATTAATTGGCTTGTACCTATGTATATAGTTATATATTTATACCTATACCTGTATCTATAACCTATACCTATCTGTCGCCGCCTCTGTGTCTTCAGTTTTTATGTTGAGGAATAAAATATTCTACAATCTGTATTAAAATATAAGGTAAAATCTTCAGACTTACTAAAGTTAAGTTATTTTAAAATCTGGAATGTAAAAATGAAAGTTTGGGCAAAAGTCCATTTGCAAATAGTTGAATGTAATCACTCAGCCAGAATTTTTACCTAAATCACAAGACTATGTTGCTGGGCAAAGACCTTGAAAGACCAAGAAATGACATAAAATTTATGATATAATTTTCTAAATGACCAGCTATCGCTTCTTTAAGAAATGCTATCTTCATTTGTAACTCTCAGGATACCCTGAAATTTATAATACAAATAAGATTTCTGTGGGTATTGAGTCCACAACCCACACATAACAGCCCAGTATATCTTCATTAACAAGAAACATTTCTATTGATTTCATTTTGCGATGTTTCATATTACATATAACAAATATGTATGGTCACCTAAATGAATTATTACAATCCAATTTGAAATGATTGCATAGGGTTATTATATTATCTCTAGGATGCTTTAGTCTCTGGGTGTCAAAACTGTTTTTATTTAATGGAATAACATGGAAAAGTTAATCAGAGTAGGTTAACCTCTGTGGAACTGAAGGTCACATGCATTTACTCTCAGTTGGAGGAGGTTTCAGTTTTGAACTCTGACTGGGAGTGGGTGAAGGTGGAAGAGGGAATAACCAGGAGAGACTTAATGCCTATGCTTCCTCCAGTCTCACCAGCATCGGTTGGCTTATGGGGCTCTTCAATAACTGGATTTTTGATTAAAAAATTTCCTGCAAGGAAAATAAAATTAAACAGGCAATACAAACATAATAAAAAATCAATACGGCAGTTAACATTTCTATTGTACATTATTGAACAGCTCAACTTCAGGCTCATTCAGCTTTGCAAACACACACAACTGCTCAGAGTTTCTGACCAGAGTTGGGGTGAAGGGGAGGAATTGCAAAGAAAGAGTGCTCTTCTCCAAATTATATTTACAAGAAAAATGGTGCTTCCTATATTATGAGTTCTTTCGCTTTTGGGCCAAGGACACAAAGGCAGAAACTTTCCTTTTGCTTAACCAGCATCTTACCTTTGATGAGCATGTAGAAGATACCAAGACTAGTGTTCACTGAGAACATTGAAACTTGCTTATTCACATGGTGCTTTCTCTTTTAGAGTAGTTTCTGTAAGGTTTGGCTTTTGCTTTAGTGAATATTTTGTCTTTTTTTTTTGTCTTGTTATGAAGGCACTTGCTTGCTCTTGTGGGACTTGGATGCAGAGATGTATGGCTGGAAAAACATCCAATTAAAGGCTGAGGGGAAAGCATTGCCTGTGAATTATTTCCTCTAAAGTTCCAAAGTTCCTTTAGACTTCTGGTAAAGATGGCCAACTGAGATAATTGGGAAAGTCCCCTTCTACTACAAAAATAACAAAAACAGGAAAGTCCACAGATGAGCTGGAGGGTTGGAAAAGGAAGATCTCTAGGTGCTGAAACAAGAAGCCAGAGTTAGAGCAGAAGGCCTGGGGAATTTGGGTTAAGGCGTCTACCATGAATCTGGGCTATAAACTGCACCGGGAGGGAGTCTAAGCTGCAAGATTCTTGGGTGGTAGAAGATGGGACTGAACTTCCAGCAATAAAGATTGTCCTGTTATTGAGATGGGAATTAAAAGTTCTACCCACCAGCGCCAGATGTGGGCTTTATATTCGACATCTTGGGTAGAAAAAGAGTTACTTGAGGGAAGTCAGAATGCACAAGCTTCCACAATGTGTGAGCATGAGAGTAAATGCACACAGCCAGACTCAAGCCATGAAATCTCATTAAAAACCAATTTAGGCCAGGCGCGGTGGCTCACGCCTGTAATTCCAGCACTTTGGGAGGCCGAGGCAGGCAGATTACCTGAGGTCAGGAGTTTGAGACCAGCCTGGCCAACACGTTGAAACCCCATCTCTACTATAAATACAAAAATCAGCTGGGCATGGTGGTGTGCACCTGTAAGCTACTCGGGAGACTGAGGCAGGAGAATTGCTTGAACCTGGGAGGTGGTGGCTGCAGTGAGCCGAGATTGCACCACTACACTCCAACCTAGGTGGCAGAGCAAGAATCTGTCTCAAAAAAATCAAAACAAAACAAAAACCAGCTTAGCGCAGAGATGATGTAAAGAAAAAAAAACGTGGAGCTGGTGGACCCCAGGGGGTCTGCAGAAGCCAAAGTTAAACTACCCCATGGGATCACCCTCATAACCCAGGGTACATGGGTGGAATTTCTTCAGGAGCCAACATACAACAAAGACAAGCTTACATCATGCACACTGAGCCAAGTGGTACATTCTTATTTCCCTCAAGTAACCATCAGCATTACAAACACACGAAGGCATTTACCACTGAGAGAGACAGCCTACAGATACAACAAATGAGAGTGTTCAGAAAGAACTGCAGATGAGAGTAAAGTCCACGGAGCTGAAAATAAGCGTGATTTAGATGTCCAAAGTGACCATGTGAGGAATAGATTTCATAACGTAAGACGAAAGAAAACAGGTGGATTTGCAAAAGATACAGAAGATTGCTGATGCAATTGGAGAAACATTTCTGAAGATAGAGCTGACAAATCCACTTAGAATACAGCTCCAAAAGGTAAAAAGATACAAATACAAATTATAAATTGAGCTGGTAAAAGTAAAACAAGAAGCTCCAAAATACGGCTAACAGGATTTCCAGGAGGAATTTATGGAATGAGTGGGAGATACTATATAAATACTGTATATATATATTTAGATGGTGTCTTGCTCTGTCACCAGGCTGGAGTGCAATGGCGCAATCTCGGCTCACTGCAACCTCTGCCTCTGGGGTTCGAGGGATTCTCCTGCCTCAGCCTCCTGAGCAGCTGGTACTACAGGCGCCTGCCACCACACCCAGCTAATTTTTGTATTTTCAGTATTGACTGGGTTTCACCATGTTGGCCAAAATGGTCTTGATCTCTTGACCTCGTGATCCACCCGCCTTGGCCTCCCAAAGTGCTGGGGACAATATTTTTAAAAATTAGTGGAGAATTTCCATAGTTAAAAATAATTAGACCAGTTTGCAGTAGCACCCTGAACCTTGAGAAGGATACATATTATTAATCCACACCTAACACATTGTAGTGAAACTGCAGAATATGCAAGATGATATAAAAGTCTTTAAAAAGCGTACCTAAAAAAGGAGCAGCATTCAGACCGACAGCACACTTCTCATTGGCAATGACAAATGTTAGATGGTAAGTGAATATTATTTTCTAAATGGTAAGGGAAAAAAACTATCAATTTCACGTCTCTATTCAGTTAAATGATCACTCAAGAGGGAGTAGGGCTTTCCCCAGCGGATAGGAGCCTGAGCTGCCTGAAGAGATTCTGGCAAAGAACCTCATCATTTCCCCTCTTTTCAGTCCCCTCAGAAACCTCTCAATAAAACGGTTTCGCTCCTTGCTCTATAATGAATGAAGGTAAAATAAAGATACTTTTAGACATACAAAGACTAAGAGACTCACTACCTGAAAGGTCAAATGCAATAATGCAATGTTAAAAGGAGGAGGTGGAAGCTGGAAGGGAGCCAGTGGACAGCAAGGAGCAAAGGCAGTTAAGAAACTGGGGAAAACATTTCGCAAATCTACTATAAGAATAATACTAATATCAATAATATTTTAAGAGTTTTTAAAAATGAAAATGAATATGATACTGAACAATAATATCAAAGATGATAGGAAAGCAGAATTTGGGGGCAAGTTAAAGAGGGCTAAGATCTTTACCTTGTAAAGATAGTAGAGATATTGATTAGCTTCAGAATATAAAAAATAATAGTAAATTATGCTTAATATATATTCATGAAAGTATAGAAGTATGGATAAATAATTCCAAAAGAAGAGTAAGAAAAAAGGAATTAAAAAAAAAAAGAGAGCAGAAGGCAGGTAAGGAAAAAGAAAGAAAAAAACAGAAAAGAAAGGAAAATTGTAGCAAAAATATATCCCAAAATAGAGCAGAAGGCAGGAAAGGAAAAAGAAAGAATAAAACAGAAAAGAAAGGAAAATTATAGCAAAAATATATCTAAATAAATGATCAGTAATCAGAATAAATGTAAATGGAGTAAAGTACTTTTTTAAAAAACAGCAGACTTTCAGACTAAAGTTTTGTTTCTTGAGTATGCTGAGAGAGCCCTGTGTTTCTTCATTATCCTGAACCAGCATAGGAAGTGGTCATTTTTGTAATGATGAGAACAATTATTTATACATCTACTCTCTGGAAAGAAAGTGTTACCTGGTGTGTCTTTACGAGGGTATTATCACATCCCATACCAGTGTCTCTTCTCTAATATGATGGTATGCCTCCAGCAATAGGGGTCAGACAATTGATTTTGATAGCTCTACCCAGGTCTAGTGAACAGAGGAAGGCTGAAGACGCAATGCATTTCTTTCTACGTGGAGTACATGGAGAGATGCCAAAATGCAGGCTGAATAGTCAGATAATTCACAACATGGTTGAGTGGCTTTATTCAGAGTGCTGATAACTGGATCAATGGCCACACACAGAGAGGTTTCCAGTGACAAAAGACTCCAGAGGTTTTAATTGAGTTTTGGCTTAATAGGATGTGGCTACCAGATCAGCTAATGTGATTCTAGAAGGCAATGATGGAGGTAGATTGTCCATAATAAAGGGTGTGATGGGCCCTCTCTACTTTTATCAGAGCACAGCTGGAAGGATAAATTTAGTACCGCATTCTCAGAGAAACACTGATAAACAATGATAGGTCGAGAGGATGTCAACCCAGATGCTTAAGAGTTCATCAAACCCTATACATGGACACTTGAAGAAATAAGGGTGCTCATCTTAGAACTGACATGCCAGTTATCCCTATATATTCCACTGGGTATCATGGTACATGAGGATTTTACCTAATTCTTACAGCATCATTGAACAGAAATGGAACCACTAAGAACTTTGTAACCAAACTATTCAAAAATGAATGAACAGTTACAGGAGGTAAAGAACTTCCCATAACAGAATGTGTTCAAGCAAAGATGAGAACAGCCTTCTGTTGCCTGCATTAGAAAAGATGTATATGCTGGGTGTGGAGTTCAATTTTTAGGCCCCTAACTTCTCCTCCCAGTCTAGGATGTTTATTTTATTTTGCCCATAACGCTTTCAGTGCATATCCAGGGTGGGGTTAATGCCTTTTACATCCCGCTTCTGACTCCCTCTTCAAGCAACTTGTGTACTTGTGATGCTGATGCAATAAGATGAATCCTGACAATAATCTAGAGGAGGGAAGAAAATGCCTATTTGAAGGGGATGCCTTCATCTCAGCTTAGAATATCACAATCCCTGTGAATTACCCAAGGATATTACATGATTCCTGGGAGTTCCATTGAATTAGACTCTTCTATTAATGGTAGGGAAATTAGTATTTTTAACAAGCTTATAAACTTCCCAGGTGGTTTTTATTCTTCCTAAAGCATAAGAATAAACCCCGCCTCTGGTGAGTAATTGACACTTGTTTTTCTCAAACTCTTTCTGTTCTGACATCATTAGTAGATGTCATTTTCATACACATCATCTCAGATGTGTTTGGTGCTGGTAAATAGACAATAAAATAAGCAAAAGTTACATGCAAATCACATTTAAGTTGTAACTTCAGCCTTGTTCTTGCTAAGGCTAAGGCTACAGTAGGCTCAGACATTCATTGTGGACTGATATGGTCATCCATCCATTCATCATCCATCCATCCATCCATCCATCCATCCATCCATCCATCCATCCATTCCTCCTTGCATCCATTCATTCATCCATCCACCCATTTATCATACATCCATTCGTCTATCCCCATCCATTAACTCATCCATCCATCTATCCACTTATTATTTCATCCATCCACCCATTTATCATTCATACATTCATTTATCCCCATCCATTAATCCATCCATTCATTCATCCATCCATCCATCCCTATCCATCTATTCACTCATTCATCATCCATTCATCCATGTATCCATCCATCTGTTCATCCATCCATCTGTCCATCCAACCACCCATTCATCATCAATCCATCCATTCATCTTTCTATCTATCATGTAGCTATTGAACACCACCTACTATTGTTTGTAGCATGTGCCAGGAGATAATAAGGGAGACTTTGTGGGAGATGAGTAGTAACTCCAAGGGTTACATGGCTCTGCCATTCCAGCACTTTTAGCTTTTACCAAGAGACACTCTGACTATAAGTGAGCTCTTTGAAAGTGTGGCCTTTTGTTGATTTATCCTCCACTGGGGTAGCATAGATGCAGTAGAAAAGCCAAAAGCATTGATAGCAGCAGGTAGTGGCTTTGAGCCTTCTATATGACTTTTGGTGATCTATATTCACCTCTGTGAGATGGTTTCCTCATTTTAAAAAATGGAATGATAGAAACAATAACAAAGTTGACGTAAATATAAAATAAGATGGTATAAGTAAAGGGTGTTGTACAATTTAAAACTTTCTATGAATAGTAGAGTACTGTGTGTGTTTATGTGTGTGTAATATACATCCAGGTATCGAAGTTTAGGTTTCCCCAGAAACAGATTTTGAGACAAGGATTCAAGCTCAGCAAGTATTTTTGTGGGAAGCTAGAGCCTCACTCCCTCAGGGGACTCTGGTAAACAGTGTTGAACATGAATGTCAGATTTTTTCCACCTCAGGGTGTATTTACCTACCAACTCCCATCAGTCACTGGGTAAGGTTTGGCCCTGGAGGCATTAATTTCCTGTCAGTTCCAACCCACAATATCTATGAGAAGATCAGGCTCTGGTGGCCAGAGAAAGCCTTTTGACAGAGGTGCAGGTGCTGGAATTTGGAACTGGGGCCAGAGGCACTGAAAAGAGAAGGTTCAAAGGAATATGGATGGGCACTTGTTGTGTCTACTGCAGTTGATGTGTGAGTGTAGGTATGTGTTAGCCTCAGACGGGGATTGCACTACGTGGCCTTTAATCACACAGAGCTCCCAGCTGTAGATGATAGTCAGGCAATAGGCAGGATACGGGTAAACAAATGCTGCAGGGTTGGATGCATATTTGCCATGACTACTTTGGACTGTGCACTGGCCCTGACCTGCTTCTCTCAGGTTTCCAGGTATTTTGGCCACTACTCAAGCAGTGACAGCACATTTTCCAACCCTGTCTTTGCAGCTTGGTCTTTCTTCCTGAACTGATAGGTTTTTATAACTTCTATTAGGACACTTAACCTCTCCTCTCTCCCTTCTTTGAGAGCCTTGTTTAGTGTGGGCCTGACAGCTATTTCCAGACAGTGTTGACAACAGAGGCACATCTCTAGGTGGTTCAGATATGTTTCTGATATTATTAACAATCCAGTGCAGACACACAGCTGCAAACCAGATATGCCAAAAAAGATCAAATCCTCTTTTCTTGTGTGCATTCCTAGTATAAATCTTAAAATTAGCTTTTCCCCCAGACAGCAGGGTTGGGAATCCATTGGGATCAGGACATGGCACTTGTAGCTACAGCCACTTGCGGTGAGTGGTCTATTCAACACAGACCCCCGATTCTGCTCGTGTGCTTTCTGGCCCCACAGCCACAGGGTTTGGGGTTAGAGCTTACATGGAATTCTGTCTCATGAACACGACTTCATGTCACCCAGCTTCTGGAATTAAGTGAAAGAAGACATGAGCCTGTGTCACTGTCATAGCATAGAAGATTTCCATTGATCCAAAGGCCTGATGGAATTTCAGTCCCAAACCCTGAGTTCAACTGCTGTGCCTCCACCTCCTCTAGGGACAGGTACAGCCAGCAGAACAAAGGGCAGCCAGGGTCATTAATATTCAAAAAGGTGAACATGGAAATGACGTTGCAATGATGCATTGCTCCTCCAGGGTCACTCTTGTGAGGCCAGGAGTGAAGAGTTCAGGGCTCCTCAGGAAGTTCCTGTGGCAACTTGGTGCATATCTGGTGCTCAGTTCTCACACTGTGTTGTAGAAATAAACACATTCTGCTTCCTACCCTCGTCTTCCCTGTCCAAGTGCGCTCCTCCTCTAGGGCCTGTCTTGGTTCACCATGCCACCATCCACCCACAACCATGAACTCAGGAGTCGAGCTTTCTCTTTGTCCTCATACCACATTCTATCAGCTAAATCAATAGATTATATCAGAGTAGGATGCACTGCACGTGCCCCTTCTTATCCCTACATTCCACATTCATGGATTGAAACAACCGCACGTGGAAAGTACAATACTGTATTTGCAGGACGTGGAACCCACTGATAGAAAAGGCTGGCTTTTCATATCCTTGTGTTCCAGGGGGGCCAGCTTTAGGACTTGAGCATCCTCGGGTTTTGGTATCCTCAGGGTGTCCTGGAACTAATTTCCCTTGGAATCCGAGAGATGACTGTATATGTAAATGCAAGTGGTGCTCTGGTTGTAATATTTATTGAATTCTACTATGTGCTCCTGAAGGAGGATATCAATATATGAAGATAGTCTCTGACCTCAGAAGGGTAGTCATTTACTTGGGGAGATGGGACAATTCAATAAAATAACAGGGACCAACACAAAACACTGTGACTATCACCTAGAGCCCCAGATTGGGATGCATGCAAAAGTAGGGGGTGTGGCTGTTGGTGCTGACTGAGAGAAGTTTCAGGAAATAGTGGATGCAGAGTTGCTTCTTGAAAGGTGAATTGAGGGACAGTGTCACAGAGGCCTGAGGGTGCTGGCTGTATACACTGCTTGCTAGGGGAAGTATGTGAATAATTTATGTTTTATGTCTTTATGAACTTGGAGGTGGCAGTACCTGGTAATGGTTAAGAACACAGGCTCTGGAGCCAGATATTGGTTCTGTCATTTACCAGCGGGGGGGGGGGGGGCACTCTGCCTCAGTTTCTCCACCTGTAAAATGGGGATAATGAGAGCACATATATCATGGGGACTGAAGGGGTGAGTAATACACTCTGACTCCTGTCCGGCACACATTAAAGGTCAAGTTCCTGCTGCTGTTATTGTTGTGATTATTATTAACTATATAACCACACAGGAAGAACCTTAGAGGTTGTCTGATCCAGCTGTCTCATTGTCCAGATGAGAAAACCCAGGCCTGTGTGTGTGGGAGAAATAATTTTTTATTAAAGATCCCTCAGCCGGTGGCCAGCAGAGATGGAAGGAGAGCCGTGGGCTCCTGACTCGCAGTTGGTCATTCGTCTATGTCAAGCCTGGGGAGCTGTGACCCTTTACCTTATTTTTAAAGGAGAAAACAGAATTTGGTCTGAAAGTATCTAATATGTAACCATATTGTTCCCAGAAACCAAGATCAATAATTCTGAACTGTATCAAAATGCCACAAGAAAGTAAATGATTCCACAACTTCAACCACAACACTGTGAGCATCTAGCTTTTGCAGAGCACCACACTGTGGGCTGGGGAAAGATAACCGCTGGTGGTTTTTCCCGTTCTTCAGAAACTTAAAGTTGATAGAGAAAGGACAAAGCAGAAAGAGCTTCAATAAAACCAGGATGGGCAGGTGCGGTGGCACATGCCTGTAATCCCAACACTTTGGGAGGCTCAGGCTGGTGGATCACCTGAGGCCAGGAGTTCGAGACCAGCCTGGCCAACATGGTGAAACCACGTCTCCACTAAAAACATAACAAAAATTAGCCTGGAGTGGTGGTGCGCACCTGTAATCCCAGCTACTCAGGAGGCTGAGGCATGAGAATTGTTTGAACCCGGGAAGGAGGGGTTGTAGTGAACCGAGATTGTGCCACTGAACTCCAGCCTGGGCAACAGAGGGAAACCCTGTCTCAAACAAACAACAAACAACAACAACAACAATAACAACAACAACAAATCAGGACAGCAGAACTAGCAGAACTTCTGTAGCGTGTGCTGTTTCACACACTGTCCTAAGTACTCTACATGTATAAACTCATTTAATCTCACCACTACCCTTTGAGGCAGATTGTATTATTAAACCCATTTTCCCGATGAGAACGCTGAGGCTTGGAAGTGTGTTATTTAGCCAAGGTCGCACACGAGGAAAAGGAGGAACTGAGATAGAGCCTCGATATCTGCCTGGCGTCTGTGTGTTTCACTCCAGCGTGACAGCGTCTTTAGCTAGAAGTGTCAGAACATTGGATTCTGCTTTTCCAATTGTTGCTAAACGTTCCTCTTGATGAAGTGTGCCTTACATAAAGCGTACAGATCTTTAGCATGTGCTTGTGGATTTTCAGAAGGCAAACACATCGATGTAACCACCAGCCAGGACAAGACGTAGAGTATTATCAGTGTCTCAAAGCCTCTCTCTGTTTTGACCATGAACTATTATTGTCTACACCAGTGTTTCTCCACCTTTTTTCATTATCTTCTCCCTGTTTTAAGCTTTTTAAGACATTGTTTTCTTGTCTCCCATGAAATTATAACACCACAGATATACTGTAAATCTGTTTATGTATCCTATGTTTATTTGTGCTACATGCATAAAAATAATAAGATATTTTTATTTCCCCCCCCAAAACCGCTTCTCATTTCCTTGGGTACCATATGGCCCCACCTTGGGAAAGCATGATCCAGAGTGGGGGTTCCTGGGTATGGAAGCAGAGGACACAAGGGGAAATTTCAGGGGCCTGAAATCTGCCTGAAGTGTACACAATACTGCCCATCTGTGCATTTTTCGGAGGCATTCTCCAGTGCTCTTAAGTCTATACAAAGGCTAAAGAAGATATCAGGTTTCCTGGCACAATGGGAGCCGGATCAGATTTGCCCCCATAGGCTTGGTTAGCTGCAAAATAAGCCCCTTGTTTGGCAGGGTGTGTGGTGGTCCTGTTTTGGTAGGTTCTTCCCTCCTCTGACCCACCCCACAGGAACTGTCCATCCAATCAGGGATGTTCATGCTCTGTGCAAGTCCTGTCCCTGTTGGTGTCATTAAGCAAGTAAACTGAGGCACAGTAAAATTTTAAAGCACTTATTGAGCAAACAGCAATTCATAGAGCAAACAGCAACCAAACCAGAGGTGGTTCATGAGCTCCACTGAGGGAAGATGGAGAAGGCTTTTTCTCCATCTGTCTTGCTCTGTCACCCAGGCTGGAGTGCAGTGGTACGATCTCTGCTCACTGCAACTTCTACCTCCTGGGTTCAAGTGATTCTCCTGTCTCAGCCTCCTTAGTAGCTGGGACTACAGGCGCATGCCACCACACCCAGCTAATATTTGTATCATTGATTTATTTTTCATAGAGACGGGGTTTCAGCATGTTGGCCAGGCTGGTCTCGAACTCCTGACCTCAAGTGATCCACCCATCTTGGCCTTCCAAAGTGCTGGGATTACAGGTGCGAGCTACCGTTCTCGGATGGGGGAGGCTTTTGAAGATGAACACAGAAGTAAAGCAAAGAGAAAACATTTGATTGGCTACAGTTACACAGTTGCCTTATTTGGTCTATCCCGCTAGAAAGTCCCTCTTTTTATAAGTTTGTTAGCTTTTTCTGATTGGTTAGGCTTAAGTTCTGTTTTTCTTTAATATAGGCATTTACAAGAAATAGCTTTAATTCAGTTTTGCTTATGTTTGCCAGTCGATGAAAGTTAAGGCTTGTCTACTCAGGGAGTCTTCAGGCTCAGTCTCCATTTTAATTTAACAGTGGCTACACTAGGTTCCCTTACTGTATAACAAACTGACCAAACTTAGTGGCTTAAAACAATACATATTTATTATCTCACAGTTGTCATGGTGCTGGGACCTAGACCCGGCTTACCTGGTTCTCTGCTTAGGGTCTCAAAGGTGGCAATCAAAGTGTTGGCTGCAGTGCCCATCTCAGCTGAGACCAGGGTCCTCTTCCAAGCCCACTGGTGGTTGGAAGAATTCAGGTTGTTGCATTTGTAGGACTCAGGCCCTCAGCTCTGAGGGGCCCCCACCATTCCCGGACACACGGCCCTCTCCATGGGTAGGTTGCAGCATGGTAGTTAGCTCCTGCAAGGCCAGCAGGGATCTCTGTAGTTATACTGGCAAAATGGAGTCATAGACCTCCATACATCAAGGGCAGGGGATTATATGAGGCATTGCATCTCGGGAGAGGAGCAGAGAACCATCTTAGAACCCTGCTAACCACAGTGTCTGTCTCCTAGGCTCAACCAATTTAAGGTCTTCTTCAGAGAGAGTCTCTCAGGTGAGATATTTCTGGAACATCTGCATTTCAGATGTTTCCATTTGAAAAAGAATTACTTCACAGGTCGTAGTGAAAAACAGGAGTTAATAGATAGCCGTTAAGATGAGAAGGGCAACTGGTACATAATAAGCACTTGATAAATGTTAGCAGTAGTAATAACATCATTGCTAGTCTCGGTGTCCATTTTGCACATGGGTATACCCTAAACCAGCACCTGTTTGACCCTGATGACAGATGACTTGGGCTCAGTCTCCTAGCACATTCTTCTAGGGACAATGTGAGTTCTTAGGTGGGAGAGATTTTTTTTCCTGGGCTCTATCTCACTGGTAAGTGGACATGTGACCCTGTAGTACCTATAAGTACATGTACCTATAGGTTGATGGTACCTATAGGTTGAAGAATGGTTTCCGCATTCTCTCAAGAGTATGGAAACTTTTATCACACTGTGATAGAAGGCAAGCCAGAGATGAGTCAACATCCCACAATGCCTGAGAGAAAGTTCCAGCATCTCCTCCTAGGGTCCCAGGACTGGGCTTGTGCTTTTGAAGACCCCTCCTGATTCTGTGAGTTTCCTTCTACTAAACCCCACACTTTGCTGAAATTGACCAAAGTCAATTCCTGGTGAAAAAAGCTGTAAGTTTCATGTCATAGGAGTCTCACTGAACGCTGGCCATAATAGATTGACAACTGCTGGAAGATAGGAAAGATGAGTGTTCCATTGCCCAGTCTGGTTTGTCCTGTAGGAAGGACCTAGCAAAGCATGAGTTCAGAAGAGCTCTCTGCACAGGCCAGGCAAATCATGAATAAATATTTCTGCCTTGCAGTGGCTCACACCTGTAATCCCAGCACTTTGGGAGGCTGAGTCGGGCGGATTGCCTGAGCTCAGGAGTTTGCTACCAGCCTGGGCAACTCAATGAAACCCTGTCTTTACTAAAATACAAAAAATTAGCCGGGCGTGGCACCGTGCGCCTGTAGTCCCAGCTACAGCTACTCGGGAGGCTGAGGCAGGAGAATTGCTTGAACCCAGGAGGTGGAGGTTGCAGTGAGCCAAGATCGCACCACTGCACTCCAGCCTGGGTGACAGAGTGAGACTCTGTCTCAAAAAAAAAAAAAAAAAAAAAAAGGAAAAAAATTCTCCCTTTATTTAGTTCACTCAATCCTGGAACTTTCTAAATAAGTTAATTGAAAAGTGGATTATTTAGGCTCCTGGCATTTACACTGGTCTAGTATTATGATGATGCTGAGGTGTATAAGGTATCAGTGAGCCTTGAGGTATTAAATGTTAAAAGTTAAAAAATCGATTACATGAAAAATATAAAAGCAGGACTGAGTTCTCATCAGAAATATTGATTATATACTTTGTCAGCTTTTTAAAAATAAATGTCCAAATTCAGATGCTCAGGTTAAAGAGTTGCCTATCATTTGTGCCCAAATGTTTTCAACTAGAACAATGTCTTGAGGCCATCTATGTGCCAGTCACTGTGTCCAGTGGTGTATATTAGAAAATAAAACACATGTGCTTCTTGTCATTGGGGACCTTACAGTTTGATGATGAGATGTCTTTTAAAAGTTCCTGAGTATTTTAAAAACCTTTTTGTGTGTGTGAATATTTTTTGTCTCTTTAGACAAGATTTTTGATCTCTGGCAGCCAGTTATTAGCAACTTTCTGTAGCATCTTTGAATAATGTACAACCAAATGTCAACAGAAAGAATGAGACCATGTCAAAGTACTATTTGTGCCTGAAAGTTCACGTTCTGTGTTTCTACTTTGATTGCTTTTTGAAAATTTACTTACGTCTATTTATTTTAAAAAGTGTCCTATATTAATATTTATTAATAATTATATGTATGTCACTTGTAAGACATTATCTCATTTCAGTGGAATTCAGCCTCAATAATATTTCTCCAAGCTATAAAAAACTGCTAAATACAATTTTCATTTTTAATTCTTGAGTATGATGCATTATCTTAAATAATTACTTTTAATAGCTGGTGATATAGTGTCAAAAATATTTATCAATATTTTGGGGGATGGGTAAAAACTGTTTTAATTTTTTGTGTGTATTTCCAATATATATAAGGAACTCATACAACTCAATAACAAAGAAAAAAAATCTGATTTTAAAATGGTCAAAGGGCCTGACTAGAAATTTTTCAAAGAAGACATAAAAATGGCTAACACATAGATGAAAAAGTGCTCAACACCAGGGAAGTGCAAAAAATCATGAAGAGATATCACCTCACACCTATCAGGATGGATATTATCAAAAAGACACTTGGTAACAAGTGTTGATGAGGACGTGGAAAAAAGGGAACCCTCATACACTCTTGGTGGAAATGTAAATTCGCACAGCTATTATGGAAAACAATATGGAATTACTCAAAAAATTAAAAATAGAACTACCATATGATCCAGCAATTCCTCTCCTGGGTATATACTCAAAGAGATGAAATCAAGAGCTCATAGAGATATCTTCACTCCCATGTTCATTGCATCGTAATTCACAATAGCCAAAATATGGAAACAGCCTAAGTGTCCATTGATGGATGAATGAATGAAGAATATTATTCAGCCTTTAAAAATAAGGCAATCTTTAGGGGGATGTGGAGATGGTTAACGAGTACAAAGAAAATAGAAAGAGTGAATAAGACCTAGTATTTGATAGCAGAACAGGGTGACTATAGTCAGTAATAATTTAGTTGTACATTTAAAAATAACTGAAAGTATAACCTTGGATTGTTTGTAACACAAAAGATAAATACTTGAGGGGATGGATACCCCATTTTCCATGATGTGTTAATTGTGCATTGCATGCCTGTATCAAAATATCTCATGTACTCCATAAATATATAAAATATATACACCTACTGTGTAACCACAAAAATTAAAATAATAAAAAAAGGCAATCTTGCCATATGTGACTGCATCAAGGAACCAGGAGACATTGTGCTCAGTGAAAAAAGCTGGGTACAGAAAGACAAATACCATACGACCTCACTTATATGACGAATCTAAGAAAAAGTTGAATATATAAAAACAGTAGAACGGTGGAAATGGGGAGATGTGAATCAAATGGTACAAACGTGTAGTTAATGCAGGGTGAATACGTCTGGAGAGAGAGCTAATGTGCGGCAGGAGGACTGTAGGCAATTATTGTATCATATACTGGACAATTGCTAAGAGAATATATTTTAGATGCTCTGAAGACAAAAATGAATAAATATACTATGAAAGGTGATACGTTAATTTGCCTACCTGTGGTAATCATTTCACTACATATGTATATATCAACATCCTGTTGTACACCTTAAAAATACACAATAAAAAATATTAAAACATTTTTGATGACAATTTATATTTAATGATGAATAAATGATGAATAATAGTTTTCCTATATGAGCTCCTCAACCTTTAATACACCTCCTCTGGCTTGATATGTCAAGTTGGACATGTCTGTGTTTATTTCTTTATTATACAAAAAATCTTTCCCCAATAGTAGTAATAGAGGGAATCCCCACCTTATGAAAAGGCACATTTAGAAGTTAGTTTTGGGCATTAGAATATTCTTTCTCAAAGAAAGAAGGGCAGGATCCCAGGACAGCTAACTAAAGCCCAGCTGAGCCATGTCCTGTAATACCAACAGGGCCAGAAGATGTAAGACCAATGGAACACTGACTTTGTGGGAAAATATACTGAGAATGTCACTGTGTCTCAACAAATAGCTTCTCTTTTCAGAGACAGGAGAAGGCTTCTCCTCCCCCTGCTAGGAGCTGGTTGTGAAAGCCAGGGTGGCCTTCAGGGTCCCTGCACCTACAACATGGTAGCTGGAGGGAGTGGAGAGTCAGGGCCTGAGGAGTGAGGTGCTGGGTATTCCTGGGTCCAGGGTAATTGAAGAATCTAGGGACACCTTTCTGAGCCAATAATCTGCATGACTTTTATTGCCAAATAAATGACAAACAGAGTTTATGCAGATGTAATGGATGACAATGAGGTCGTATTGGATTAGGGTGGGCCTTCTATTCAGTTACTTGTGTGCTTATGAGAAAAGGAGAGGACACAGAGGCAAAGAGAAGAGGCCATGTGAGGATGGGGGCAGAGCGTGGGTGTGGCACCTGCAAACCAAAGAATATCTGGGGTCACCAGAAGCTGCAAGAGGCAATGAAGGATCATCTCCTGGAGACTTCAAAAGGAGCATGGACCTGCCGACAGCTTGATTTCAGACTTCTGGCCTCCAGAACCTGGAAAGGATAAACTTCTGTTGTTTAACTACCCTGTTTGTTATTATCTGTGATGTAAGCTTTAAGAAACAAATGCAAAGAAGCTTAGTGAGACTCTTTAGGTTGTCCCATAACTAGCAAATACAGGCTTGACTTGAAACAAAAGCCATCAAGAATGCCCACATTCTAGAGAGGGCATCAAGATCTGCACCACAGAGAACTTCGTGGAACCAAAAATGCTGCCACCAGCCACCACCCATCACCTCTTCCTGTCTTTATAATGAAGTCTCACCATGAAGACAAGTGGGATGATACCTGGGGAAGCAGTACTAAGAAATTGGGGGTGCCCTTGGGGGAAAGGAAGGGAGTCTTGCCTTTCCAAGCTGGACATTGGCTTAGGTGATAGACTTGCTGATTTGCCTATTGGAGGGAAATGGAGCGGGGAGCAGGATGGGTAGGGGTTGGAAGCCCACATACCAACCACATGGCAAGGATGGCTGGGTTTCCTGTGGGTCAGTGGACACCCTGGAATGACAGCTGGGTTTGAGTCATCTTGCTCGTACCCAACAAGGCGGGATGTTCACTGGGCACAGGGAACCTAGCAGTAGAAGGCTATGGGATTTGCACCTGGTAAAGGGAGCTATGGAGAAGGGGTTGGAGAGGTCAAGCCAGAACCAGGAATCCTATGTCACAGAATTGTGCAGTAGGTGGAGATAGGGAAGGGAGATGACAGAGCCTTCAGAGCCTGCTGGAGAATTCAAACTTGTTCCCATAAGAGAGACAGTGCTTAGATGCTGCCCCTCAGAGAAGTTGCAAGTCAACCAGCCAGTACAGCTGCAGCAATCATCTGAGAGAGAATGCCATCAGAGGTCACATAAGTGAATAGAGACACGGCCCCTTCCTATCAACTGGAGGAGCTCAACCGGGAGTAGACAGTGGGCATTGCAGAAGCAGAGTTTGCCTCACTGCCCCACCCTTCAGCATTTAAGGTCCTACTCAAGTCTACACAGAGGGCGTACGACTGAAAACAAGATTGAGACTGAAGGTTTGCAATGGCCCTTCATTAATTGCCTTATCACTTTCACATTTTAAACAACTAGAAAGGTACGGAATCCACCCAGGACACTATTAAGGAGTATAAAAAGAAGACTCAACAGAGCAAAGGGCGGGGGGAAGTAATTAGAGAAATACAAGCATTTTGTGTTTCTAACCCAATGTCGTAAGACTCCTTGATGAACTGCTTACAGTCCCGAGTTCTTTCTTTAATTTAATGGTTATTAGGTTGGTGCAAAAGTAATTGTGGGTTTTGCCATTACTTTTAATTTAATATTTTGTTAATTTGCTCAAGTTGATAGCTACACAGACAACGGTGAGTGGGCTTGTCTGCTCTTCACCTGCTCATTTTTTATCTGTGAGCCTGTTGGGAAAGGCTAAGTTCAGCAGGACTTCCCTTGAATACTCTTAGGATCACAGGTTTATATCTCTGTCTGCCATGGCTTGCAGATGTCAGACTGGTTTTTTGAGTGCTGCTTGAGAAAGGAAGGGATAGATCAAAGAATAAATTGGGAATAGGTTCTTAGGACATCTCACCTACATTTCAAAAGGGACCCCTGCAGCTCCACTTTCTAGACATCTTATCTTAGAAGTAATGCCAAAGCTTGGTGTGAAGGAGGAGGAAGGTCATAGAATGGTGGTGTGGGAGACAGAGGAAAATACAGTCTGAGGATTGCGGGGCTGCGGCTTCCCCCAGGGCCTTACTCTCACTCCATCCTACCGCTATGCTACTGGGACAGCTGGCTCTGCCACTGGGCTCCCTCCTGGATGAACACTAGGGAGGGGTAAGGAATGTGGGTCAGGGTTTGGGGAGACCTCTGGTGAAGCAAGAGGGAAGGGGACCTTGTGTTTCTGGGCTCTATTTAGTACACACTAGAGTAACAGCTTTTAAAGTTGAATACAGCTATTCTATAGATATATGTCTATTAAGTAAAAATGTTCGCCAGTGTATACATTTTTTGAAATGTCTTTTGTTTCAAAATGTTTAACTGTTTTTATTTTGGAGAGGCTTATGATTAATGCAGCTATGAATTAAGAATTGGGAGACAATTGATCGCCACGTCTTTAGCCTTTTGCATCTTCAGATGAACTTGGTTTTCAGACAACCCATTGCAGATCCCGTCTTGAGTTATCCAGAGAAGTTTTATTTCAGCAGTCCGATGCTCTATTCTTGGAGGGCATTTTAGGACAAAAATTTTCAGTAGTAGCCATGTACTGGGGTGAGCTTCAAGCTAATGGGAGTCTTAGATGTAGTGGTATGCTTTCAGTAGACATCAAACTAATGATAAACTCTGCTTAGTAAAAGAAAAGTTATTCTACTGAATGCCTACTCAGAATACGATATCTTTACTTATAGCCAGTAAGATTTTTGTTGATGTTTGGGGAGGTGGAGGAATCATCATGACAGTATTCAATGTATAGATAATGGAGAGAATGTGTATTTTCACACCGGCACACTCAGAAGTATGAAGGCTTCATTTGAAAGAGTAAAGTGATTAGTTAGTGAACATAGTGCATTTCACAATTTTAGGGAACCAAATAAGAAATCAGATTTGAAGTTCTACATCAAAAAACAAGAATACCAGGAGGCTGTGATTACTCTTCAACTAGAAGAAATAAAATTGCCCATCTTCAAAATATGCAGAGTATCCAACTTGCAACTAATCCTGAGTTTCAAATCAATAGGGTTTAATATTTCAGTGGCAATCATAGGTTGAAATCAATGCTGTCGTGGCTCTTTGGGAGAATAGAAGCTTATGAAACAAAGGAATTGAAGGCAACCATCCAAGGATGAAATAAAAGAAATATGCTTTGCAAGGACTTTTGTGAAAAGGAAAAGTATGGCAACTCAACCCATCCCCCAAGACCCTTTCCTTCCAGTTTCAATGTTAGGTCCTGGAGCCTCAAGAAAATGGTTCCAGAAGATCAAGTGAAGGAAAAAAAAATGGGGACACCATCACCCTGCTGAATGTTTGAGATGAGTCAGGTGGTGGCTTTTTTGAAACTGGCGATGTGGAAGTTTATACTGATAAACCATGGAGCCTGCATCAGATCATACTGCATAACAAACCACCCCAATGTAGAGTAGCTTAAAACAATAGCCGTTTGTTTCATTCATGAGTCTGTGGGTTGGCAGTGTGGGCTAGGCTTAGCTTGGTGGTTTTTCTTGTCTCAGGTGACTTCATTCATGTGTTTGTATTCACCTTCTGAGTCAGCTGGGGGCTGGCTATGCTGGGATGGAGAATGATGGATAGAGTATGATGGGATAGCAGGTCTCTGTTCCAAGCAGTCTCTCCTCCTCCAGCAAGCTGGCCTGGGTTTGTTCTCAGGGAGGCTGAGTACATTCGAAGAGAGTGAGGTAGAAGCATGCAGGGACTCTTAATACCTAGGCCCCAAACTGGCAGACTTTCACTCCCACTTCATTCTCTTGCCTAAAACAAATTATAACAATAAGCTAGATTCAGGGTATGGAGAAATAGACTCCACATCTTAATGGGAAGAGGCACAAAGTCATATTGCAAAGGGTATGACTACAGATGGAAGAGAGAAGGATTGAGGCCACTTAGACGTCCACCTACTCTTACCATTAGTCAATGCCCCAAAGAGCATCAGACTTACAACAGTTAGCCACTGTTGGAAACACCCCCTCTCCTTCTGTGGGTGGAGGAGAAGTGCCTCCTGATGACCTTCTGTGTAATTTTCACACCACTTTATAGAGGAAGAAAATGATAAGTCATATGGCTCTTTCCATCAGATTTCCAGGAGAGGATCTGAAGAAGAAGGAGAAATAAATAGAACAGGAGCTTCTATGTGGAATGAAACATGGTGATTAATTTTTAAATAGTCGGCTCTCAGGGGAGGCCACAGCTGGCATTATGATAGAGGAGAGACAGAGATGCAGCAACAATCTCTGAGTCCTGGTTGGGGTTTAAACCACTGGGAGTGAACTGTACGTCTAAGCAGCTGGTAGTGTCTGGGAAGTGCCCTGCATAGACACACAGCCTGGGGGATAATGTTACTTAGCCATAGGCTGGGAGCCTGTGTGATGGCCGAGACCTGTCAATCCTGGTGATGTCAGCAACTACTGCTGTGTGGATTACTACCTCAAGGGCTAGGAGGAATACTCACAAAATTGAAGGGGGAGAGCTCAAGGAGGGTGGCAGATGGTATCATCTTAGCTCATCTTGCTGAGTGGGATGTGCCCTCGTGCCTGAAAGGTAAAGTGTCTTTTTCATGACCAAGGATGACAAGCCATTTGTCTAGGCAAGAGGAGAGAGGAACATAATTGCACCCCTGAAGGAATCCCCAAGGTTGAGTGCCCAGCTCTGAAGTGCCCACCTGCTTCACACCTGCCCTATCTTTCCACCTTCTTGTTTCAAGTGTCTAACTGACCCCCACCTGGCACCTGTAGCAGACAGACCTGAAAGAGGCGTGTGACCTCTGCATTGCTCTAACCAAAAATACGGCAATGGTGAGGGAATGGCCTTCCTGTGATCAGGTTACCTTACATGGTAAAACTGATGGAATGCGACTCCTGTGCCAGGGCTGTGTCTACAGGTGACCACGGGCAGAAGAATTGAAGGCTAGTCCCTCATAACAATGAGGGTGACAGGGAAGGCAGGAAGCAAAGGAGATCTAAACTGTCAAGTTGCCAGGTATGGGCAGAGAACAAAATCTCTTTGAAATAACAGCACAGACAAGATGGCCGTTCAAATGGCTAAATACAGGAAAAGATGCAGGGTGGCCACGTTTAGAGTTTCACCAGGGCTGTACCTGAGCTGCCTGGATGCTTGAGCTGGAAACCCAATATGCATTCAGGTTGAATGCTACCTGTTTTGTGAAGCCTTCTTTGATCAGCCTCTAACTCAACTTAAAATTAATTCTTACCCTTTCTTTATCCTATAGCTCTTTCTTTCTTTCTTCTTTCTTTTAGAGACAGGGTCTCACTCTGTCACCCAGGCTGTAGTGCAGTGGTGCCATCATAGCTCACTGAAGCTTTGAATTCCTGGGCTCAGGCAATCCTCCCACCTCAGCCTCCTAAGTAGCTGGAACTACAGGTGTGTGCCACCATGCCTGGCTAATTTTTAAATTTTTTATTATTTTTATAGAGATGAGGTCTCACTATATTACCTAGGCTGGTCATGGACTCCTGGCCTCAAGAAATATCCCAGCCTCGGTGTCCCGAAATTCTGAGATTACAGGCATGAGCCACCATGCGTGGCTTCTCTTTCTTTATTATAATTTATTTTATTATAATCTGTTAAAATAAAATATAATAATCTATTTTATTTTGTCTTTTATTTAAACGAAATTACTTATATGTCTTTAGATTTTTAAGCTCCTCCAGGGAACACAATGTGATGTGGTTATTTTTACTTTTTCGTTACACCTTCCCTATGTATACAAAGTACCTTGAAATCATAATTGGCTAAGGCATATGTGTTGGATTTAATCAGCAGGCAATACTTATGGCAATTTCATTGTCAACACTTCTGCACATATCAAGATTATTTTGTCCTGTAGAATTAGGCAAAACAACTTTTCACTCTGAAAAGAAATGCTTCTCCCACCAGCCCAGCCTGTGAATCCCCTCAGTGCTGGGAACTCAGTTGCTTGTGTGGCAACTGCATGTTTAGGTTGCCCTGAGACTTACTCCACAATTCTGTAACTCTTAATCCATGTAGAGCAGTGATGATTTTGTTTTCTCATTCTTCCTATGTCAGCTCTCCAAATATTAGAAGATTGCCACCTTGCCTCTCCTTGGCTAAATGTCACCAATCACATGAACCGTTTCTCACCTTGTATTAAAGCCACATCTTCTCTAGTATTTTTTCCCTTCTCTGAATTTTCTGTTTGTCTTAAAATGCAGCACCTCACCTGAAACCGGGTGTTTACCAGTCCATCATGTAGTGGAATTATAACTACTTTTGGAGGAGGCGCTGGGCTCCTACTAACGCAGTCCAAAATCCCTTAAGTTTTGTTAGTGACTGCAACATGTTAATGGGAGCACGTTTTGCCAGGGGGCTAGGTCTTCGCTCCATGAACTGCTCCTAAGCCAAGAATCTCACATCCTTTTTTGTGTTATTGATTTTGGAATCAATTAAAGGACTTTACATTCATTCCGATTACATTTCTTCTCGATGGTTTGAGGTCATTGGTCTAGCAGGATGAGAACATTTTGGATCCTGACTCTTTTGTTTAATGTGTTAGCAGTTCCTCCCATACGGATGTCATTCACTGTCCTAACAGGCATTCCTTCTACTATTCTGTTCAAGCCACCCATCAGCTTGCTGAACAGAACAGGGCCCAAAACAGAGCCCTGTAGCACAAGGCTCATTTTCCTTCCAGGCTGACATCATTCTATTATTCAACACTTTGATGCATTTGTTCAGCCAGCTGCAAATCCACTTAGCTGTGTCCTACTCCCATCCCCATTTCTCCATCTTGTCTATAAGAATATCCTGAGCAACTCTGTCAAGTGCCTCGCTGAAATTCAGATCCATGATCCCCCTGCCTGATAACCCTATCAGGAGAGGAAACGAGATTCAATCGGGTAACTGTGGAAGAGCCTCTTGGCAGTCACCGTTTTCTCCTCCCCGAGCTCACAAAGATCAACCTGCAACGATTAGTTCTTGTGTTCTCCCAAGGATCAATACTAAGCCCCCTGGTTTGTATTTCACAGAGGGCTTGTATCTCTTCCTCTGCCCCAGCTCCCTCTCTTTCTCCAAACCCTTCACTTACCCCTCTTGGAAAATTTGCCTGCCTCAAGTTTTCAGGAATATTTCTTTTTTTTCCTGCCCCCCCCTCTTTTTTTTTTAACTCATCCTTGAGTCTTCTGTCACTTTTCACATTGCTGATAATTTCTGGGGACATCTCTTACTGGTTTCTAGCCTTCATTTTCTCCTTCGGGGACAATAATGCCAGTCTTAACTAATCCCCAATGTCACTGTAAGAACCAAATTTAAAAATATATATGAAGGCCTCTTACACAATACCCAGCATGTAGTGGATAATTGTTATTTGAATAAACTGCAAAGAACCATATCAACAAGAAATCTTACTACAGTTACAAGTAAAATACATACAGAGCATTTTTCTCCAAAGTCAAATAAATTGCATTTTGAGTTACATTGTATGCTGTCATAAATTTGGAAAGGTATTTTGTTCATCAAAGAATTTAAGTCTTTGTTCTGATTATCTCTTTAAAATTAGCCTTCCCTAAAATCATATTTAATAAGAACTTAAAGTTTTGTTATACCCTATTGCTTAATTATATTTAAGGACATTTATGATTTTTTAAACACAGTTTATACAAGTTTTTTTTTTTTTTTCTGGTTAAGGTGGGTAAATTGAAGCAGATTTTTTGAGCCAAATATTTTGAACCAAAATATTTTAAACCAAATAGTATGGTATCTGAGACCTGAAAAATAATTTCAGCTACAGAGAGAACATTTATGTTTCATTTACTTTTTTTGAGACAGGGTCTCACTCTGTCACCCAAGCTGGAGTCAAGTGGAACAATCGTGGCTCACTGCAGCCTCGACCTCCTGGGCTCAAGTGACCCTCCCACCTCAGTCTCACAAGTAGCTGGGACTACAGGTGCATGCCACCACACCCCGCTAATTTGTGTGTATGTAGTTTTAGTAGAAATGGGATTGGCTGGGCGCGGTGGCTTACGCCTGTAATCCCAGCACTTTGGGAGGCCGAGGCGGGTGGATCACAAGGTCAGGAAGGAGTTTAAGACCAGCCTGGCCAAGATGGTGAAACCCCATCTCTACTAAAAATACAAAAAAATTGGCTGGGCGTGGTGGTAGGTGCCTATAATCCCAGCCACTCGGGAGGCTGAGGCAGAGAATTGCTTGAACCTGGGAGGCGGAGGTTGCAGTGAGCCGAGATTGCACCACTGCACTCCAGCCTGGGCAACAGAGCGAGACTTGTCTCAAAAAAAAAAAAAAAAAAAAGCAGGGTTCCGCCATGTTGCCCAGGCTGGTCTCAACGAACTCTGGGGCTCAAGTGCTCCTCCCACCTCAGTTTCCCAAAGTGCTGAGATTAGAGGCGTCAGCCACTGTGCCTGGCTAAGAACATTTAAAAGGCGAAGGAGAGCTATTGGAAAAACACTTCTTAATGGAAATATAGTTTGGATGATAAGTGTTAATTATGGTGTTTCTACTGTTAATTGGCAAATTGCCCAGAAGTATCAACGATGTCTCTGATCGCTATCAAACTGACAGACATCTTCACCCATGCTACTCAGAGTACAATCTTTTTTTTTTTTTTTTTTTTTTTGAGACGGAGTCTCACTCTGTCACCAGGCTGGAGTGCAGTGGTGCAATCTCGGCTCACTGCAACCTCTGCCTCCCAGGTTCAAGCAATTCTCCTGCCTCAGCCTCCAGAGTAGCCGGGACTACAGGCATGCACTACCATGCCCAGCTAATTTTTGTATTTTTAGTAGAGATGGGGTTTCACCATGTTGGCCAGGATGGTCTCAATCTCTTGACCTTGTGATCCACCCACCTTGGCCTCCCAAAATGCTGGGATTACAAGCGTGAGCCACTACATCCAGCCAGAGTACAATCTTTACTACGCTTGAAGTCAAATAAGTTTTAGGTTGGAACAACCTAGGTCAACACTCTTACTTTACAAGAGAGGAAAATGAGGCAGATAGAGGTTAGGTGACCCAGCACGGAATGGCCAAGCCGGACCTCACAGCCAGGTCTCCTGACTCCAGGCCTGTGCTGCCTGCAATGGTTTGTAGCTGCACTGACAGGTTTGGGAGCTGTCCACATTCTTATTTTTTGGAGTCTTCCTCTTTGAGATGACTTGTTGTAGGTTCTTTGCTTTTTAATTCATTGGATGGCCACCAGGAAGAAATCCTTTGTGGAGCTGTCATCCACCCTTTTCCTGCCATTTAACTTAGTCCTTGGAAACATGAGGCTTCAGCTCTGTGTTGTCTGGTGCCCAGGGCAACGTGGATGCTGAGATGACAACACGCATCTCTCTGATGCACAAATTAGAGTTGATTGATGGAAGGCCACTAATAAAATGTCACATCTTATAGATGTGGATGGGCCATGGGGCCAGTGATAAAGTGAGACCGGTGGGCTCTGACATACACACATCCCGGCCGTATTATTGACAGTGGGAGATAGTATTGATCTAGCTGCCAAGATTATCCTATTATGCAATTAGAATATTAGATTTGCATTTTTAATTCCTTTAGAAGAAATTGGCCTGGGGCAATTATGGCAAGAAAATATTAAGATGGATTCGGCTTCTTTGAAAATAAGAACTCAGAAGAAGCTTTTAGGAAGATGCAGTCATTATCAGAGAAAAGTTTTACTCATAAAAAAGAAGTAACAGTAAAGCAACAAAAACACAAAGCTATGCCAGTTTAAAGGGCCCATGGAAACCAAATTTTTCCCTAAGTAGGAAAACAAAACCAACTTGCCCTAGAACACAGTGTAGACCCACCAGCGGTGTCCAGTTACATTCCTCGTGAGTATACATGCACATTACACTTTGGGTTTCTGGTTTGGGCAGATTTCCATCTTTTTTTCTGACTGAACGGTGCTGTGTTCTGACCCTTGTTTTGCAGCTTCACTTCCTACACCAACTCAGCCTGGTTACTGGTTCCTTTTTAAGGAACTTGCTTTCTGAAGTGGTTTTGGTGAAGGCTTGGCCCCACAAGCAACTGAAGACAGTCCTCCTTCCTCCTGACTCATAATGTTTTAAAAATTAGAGACTCAACTTACAATGACTGGAGAGGAAATGTTTAAAATCTGAAGTACTAGCAGATGCTTTTAAAACACAAAACTGCCTCCCTTTGGTGTGCGGATGCATTAGTCCCATCAGGGCTCTCCAGGCCCAATCTAGGGTCCAAGCCATTTCTGAGCCCTTGGTAGAATTTCTGGGTAAGCGAATGTGAGGTCATCGTATAAGAAATTAAAGCCACAGTCAAATTACAAGCCAGATGCTTCTGTGTTTAGTGTCCAGTTCAGCATACTTTTTCTGTAGCGGGCCAGAGAGTAAGTGCTTTGGGTTTTGTGGGGCCACCTCCAGTTCCTCTCTTAACATCTCTCTAATTCTCTCAGCACACTGTGCAAAGCCAGACCATGGTTGGATTTAGTACACAGGCCAAACTCTGCTGTTGCCTGGTTTGGTGGACAGTACGCACAAACCATATTTTTCTTTGAGACTATTATTATTACAGTGTCTTCTGCCTAATGGATACTCATGATTTCAAGGGGAAAACTTGGCTTCCACCCATTGGAGCGTCTAGTGTAGAGGGAGAAGAAGACATGCAAATAAATTACAATAAATCAAGATAATTGGTATAAATAAGGGAAATACTTCAAGCAGAGGGAATCATATTGAAACCACTACCTCCTTCACCACCAACAAAAATGCCATAGTGACCATTATTTACTGAGTGTGTACTAGATTTCAATGCCAAGAGTTTTCCATAATACAATGAGAGAAGGAGGTAAAACCTGTGTAGGGAAATTCAGAAAGGATTCCCAGTGGTCCTTGCATTTGAGTTGAGGTTTGAAGGAGTGGGAGTTTGAACAAAGAAGGTATGTGCAAATGCACGTAAGACGTCATGGTCTTGTCTGTCTGTGCCTCTGCTCAACAGTGGCCTATGTGATGAAGTCTATATAAGTCAGATGATGGACTCGACGCCCAGATGTCATGTTGGCAGTGGAGAAGCACAATCAGTAGACTCTTGAGGAAAGAACTAGGACTGAGACACAAGTATTACTGGGAGTTCATTTTTAATCATAGATTAGTTCTGTTTGTTCACTTAGCAAACATGTATTAAGCCCCTGTGTGTGCTGGATATGGCCCTTGGTGCTGGGACCACTTGGAGGTTGAGAACACAGTTCTTGCTCTCCAAAGACTCGCAGGGGAGCCCATAGGTGGATGCCATTGTAGGAGGAGGTGAACTCCCTAGAGGTTCATGGGTACAGACAAGGAGCGTGCGTGAATGTGTGTGTATTTGGAGGGATGGAGGTGGGAACCGGATTCCAGCGCTATGTTAGAATTATACTAGACAACTTTTCTGGTCCTACTTGAAAAGGAACTGAGCTTCTGTTTTTAATCCATTTTGTGTTGCTATTAACTGAATACCTAAGACTGGGAAACTTTTAAAGAAAGAAGGTTAATTTAGCTCATGGTTCTGCAGGCTGTGAAGTTCAAAGAATGGCTCTGACATCTGTTCAGCTTCCGGTGAGGGCTTTTGAGCTTCACCATAACATGGTGGAAGTCAAAGGGGAATTTGGTGTGTGGGAAGGGGACCCAGATGTGCCCACTAGGCCCCACCTCCCAACACTGCCACATTGGGAATCAAGTTTCAACATGAGTTTCCATGGAGACAAACCATATCCAAACCATAGCAGTGTCAAAACTCCCTCTGTCTTTCCCCTATAAGGACACCCGTCGTTAGATTTAGGGCCCATCCTAAATCCGGGATGATCTCATCTTGAAATCCTTAATTATGTGCAAAAATGCTTTTCTCAAATAAGGCCACAGTCACAGGTCCTGAGGGGTTTGGAAATAAACATATCCTTTTGGAGGTCGCTATTCAGCTTAGTACACCTGATAAATAACAGCCCCTGGGATTTTTAAAGACCATGATGGTTGCATCCAGGTTACATACTATGTGACAGGGAGAAGATGAAACTTCCAAAGCCTTGGAGTTCATCCCTTTAATTCTCTGAGAAAATGAGAGCACACGTGTGAAGCGTAGCTTCAGAGTAACTTCAAGGTGAGGGGCCAGGGCTGAAATGTAGGAGCTCACAAGAGTCAAGGAATATCAACATTTGTTCCTGAAGCCACCTTCTTCAAGCAAGGCTGCTCATTCAGCTCGTAGTGGCACTGTCGGCAGAGTCACCCCCTGGAATCCAAAAGACAAAGATGAATGGAGTAAAAATGTAGTACTCCTGGTTTAGCAAATGATTCTACCTAACGAATCCATCACATTCAATAGAAACCACATTAGCAATTCCTGTATTGGTCTCATCCACCCAAAATCCCTGGAGGTCCACCCTAGTGCCCACATGATTCATTCAAGGAAAAAAGAATACACTCTTTAAATATGTGTATATATATATTTGTAAGTGTAAAATGCCTAGACAAAAGAACGCAAAGGAATACAGACTGTGGTGGTGAAGAGACGTTTTCCCCCTGAAAGTACTAGCCAAATGGTTATTATACCACCCTGCAGAAAACCAAGGTCCTAATTAGTTATTAGAAAGGCATGGTGGCACTCTGTGGCTCTCCAAATATGTTTGATTCAGCTTTCCATCCTTTTAATAGCTTTGGCATTTTTTTTTTTTTTGAGACGGAGTCTTGCTCTGTCACCCAGGCTAGAGTTCTGTGCCGCGATCTCTGCTCACTGCAAGCTCCGCTCACTGCAAGCTCCGCCTCCCAGGTTCTTGCCATTCTCCTGCCTCAGCCTCCTGAGTAGCTGGGACTACAGGCTCCCACCACCATGCCCGGCTAATTTTTTGTATTTTTAATAGAGACAGGTTTTTGCCATGTTAGCCAAGATGGTCTCGATCTCCTGACCTCGTGATCCGCCCGACTCGGCCTCCCAAAGTTCTGGGATTACAGGCGTAAGCCACCGTGCGCAGCCAGCTTTGGCATGTTTTTGGAAATTTCTGCAACTGTATTTCTGAATTTCTGGAGCTGCGTCTTTGCTTCCTTGTTTTAAACGGCATGACTGGATCCCGAGTCCCAGTAATTGTAAAGCTTGTTAGGTTGTGCGTTTAGTTCAGTTCCACAAACATTAAGTACACACTGTGTTACCAGGGTCCATGCCAAGCCCATGGATTGAGATGATGAATGGAATTATTTAGATGTGAGGTAGAATATATATATGATATTCTCCTCTGAATGTACTAAGGCTTTAGCCTTCTGTATATTTGTAAGACATATTTTACATGTACACTTTTTTGAATGATCATCAAATATGGGAGCAAAGGGCCAATTCAATTCTCTGAAACTTTAATTCTGAGGTCCTTACTTCCTTCAGCCTTCAGTCAATAAGAATAAAATGCTTTAAGCTCTTCTGTCTTGGACATTTGAAGGCAGCACACGCTATTAACACAATAATGTTTCCAGTGTACAGCACTATTAATTGGGTCTTTGTTATTTTCTCTATAGGCCAAAGCTTGATTTGGGTATCAGCAAGTTAAAACTCAGGCACATCCATCTTTCCTGTAAGTTCTGCCATTCCCCCACCCCCACCCCATCAGTGTATCAATACTGCTCCTCTTCATTAAGATTCTCGTAAAAAGGCAGAGAATGGTAGAAGTGCCTTTTCCTTTCCTTAACTTGTAGAATCAGTGCTGTCCAGTAGAAATGTGATGCGATGCAACTTTAAATTTTGTAGTAAAAGAGACAGATGAAATTAATTTTAACAGTATATCCCAGCATATCCAAAATATTATACTTTCAATATGCAATTAACATAAAATTATTAATGATATAATTTATGCTTTTTTCACATCGAGGGTGCAAACTGTGGTGTATTTTTTACATTTCTGGCACAATGCTATTTGGAGCAGCCACATTGCAAGTACCCAGTCGCTACATGTGTTTGGTGCTACCATAGTGGTCATGGAAGGTACACGTGAATAGTTCAGGATTGGCTTTTGCTTTTGATAAAAGAGATCAATTTTTTTAAGAGGCAGTGAGGAGTTAAAAGAAAATAGAATATTTTGGGTGAACTTTAGGACTATGTGGCCTGAGAAGAAAGAATTTATGATAGTTTTCATTGTAGAAATATTTTCCAAGTTGAGCGCATGTTTGTGTGTGTGTGTGTGTGTGTGTGTGTGTGTGTGTGTGTGTGATGTCTGAGACCCATGCATATAAAAATAGTCTTATGTTTAAATGTTCTTTCAATAAAGGGCATGAATTGATAACTGACTTAAGTATGTACTGATTGCAGCTGGGCATGATGGTGCATATGTATAATCTCAGCTACTTGGGAGCCTGAGGCAAGAGGATCTCTTGAACCCATGAGTTCAATAACAGCCTAGGCAACAGAGTGAGCTCCCATCTCCAAAAAAAAAGTATGTGCTGATTGCAACTCTGGGTTAAAATCAATGAAAGGCTAATAGTACAACTGTTATGGACATTAATATCACATAATAATTATTCAAAATTATTAATTATTAGAAAAAGTTAAAAAGATCAGGTTACAGATAGCACACTGGGAATTTTACATGGCTATGCTCCTGTGTGGCCCATAACTAGTCATACTGGAACTGCTAGTTTAGAAAAGAGAAAGAAAACACAAATCTACTTTCTGAGGCCCTGAATTTACCATATTTTCATGTTTATTATCCAGTGTTTTTATACTAATTTGGTTGGGGTATTAATAGGGATAGTATTAGCCTCAGCAGTCCTTATTTTGTAATGTTAATGTGCTAAACTCTTTTTAATTCTAAATGTGAAAAATTAGGGTGAAAATCATGAGTACAGAGGAAATTATGTACCTATGAGTTCCCTGGGAAATTACAAGCTCATATAAGACATACAAACACATACGCAGCAATGACCCAAGCCCCCCTGCAGTTCTTCCCTCACCCCCAAAACAGATTGGATCACCTTGTCCTGATTCTGCTGTTAATGTGAAATGGCTTGCCCGTGAATGTGCTTGAGCCAGCTCAGGAAACTGAGGCACAGAGAAGCATGCTTATGGTCACACAGTCAATTAGGGGCAGACCTGGGACCAGAACTCAGGACTCCTGACTCCTACTCCAGTGCTTTTAACACTGAAATCATGGAGGGAGAATGACACATAAATACAATTAATGGCTTATTAGTCAGAGACCCCAACCCTTCAGGAAACAAAAATCCAACCTAGGCTTTTCAAACAGAGGGAATTTAATAAAGGGAATTGGTTATACAGGTGATGTAAGAGCTGAGAAACCACCAGAGAACCACGAGGCAATCAGTAATTCACAATAAGAATATTCTACTGCCACCTCTTGGACTGGAGGAACAATGGAAGGATGAGATATCAAAACTAGGGGACTGCTCAGTGTGGGGTCGCCCTGCCCCAGAGTGGGGGCTGCCTGGCTGGAGTTGAGAACCCAGAGTGAAGGGCTCTCTGGTGGGAGCTCAGCTCACAGAGGAGATGTGGGCACTGTTGGGGGTCCTGTTCTATGTAGCGTAAGACTCTCCAGTCTTACCATTGCCTTCTATTGGCCAAAACTACTTAGAAGCCAGAGAGCAAGGAGTGTGGGGAATGAAGGTTTCTGTGACACAGAGCAAAGTCGGGCAAGAACTGGGAGAGCAAATAGACACCTGCTGCTACAGAGGAATAGCCTTAAAGAAGCGCTATGGTTTGCAACAGATTTATCCTCTACTTATGTTTTAAAACTAATTTTGGAAATAGTTTGTGCATCAAATTCACAATCACTTTGACAAGAGGAGATGCCAGCCTAAGAGGCTACCTTGTTGTAGATCATCAAGAGCTGATCACGTGTGTCTTCACTTTGGCATGACGTTGGTCCATCCACATTTACTTCTGCTGGAGAGGTGGGACTTCTCAATCTCTGTTCCAGATCCACAGGCTTATTCTTGGGCAATAGTTACTGTCCAGGGCTTCCTAAAACTTGCTTCTATTTGTTTCATAACTTGGAACAGCTGAAGGTGGACCCTTGGGAATAGGATGAACCAGGATTCATGACTGAAAAGATGTTTGTTTTGTTTAGTTTTTGTTTGGAGCAGTATAATACATTTAAATATTATATTTAACATTAAACAATGCATTGGCAGAAAAGAGTTAATCTATCCCAGGCTTGTGGAGGGGAAGCTACTGAAGCCTAGGGAAACATTAGCCTTTTTTGACTGGGGCTTCACCATGTATTAGGAACTCTCTTAAATGCTTTGCCTTTTTTTTTTTTTGAGATGGAGTTTCACTCTTGTCGCCCAGGCTGGAGTCCAATGGCGCGATCTTGGCTCACCACAACCTCCGCCTCCTGGGTTCAAGCGACTCTCCTGCCTCAGGCTCCCGAGTAGCTGGGATTACAGGCATGCGTCACCATGCCTGGCTAACTTTGTATTTTTAGTAGAGACGGGGTTTCTCCATGTTGGTCAGGCTGGTTTCGAACTCCCGACCTCAGGTGATCCGCCTGCCTCAGCCTCCCAAAATGCTGGGATTATAGACGTGAGCCACCGTGCCCAGCCAATGCTCTGCATTTTTGACTCACTTAAGCCTCACAATCAAGCTACATCTTAGAAACAACTATTTCCCCCAGTTTTCAGATGATGACACTGATGATCAGAAAGGTTTAGGTAATTTGACCAAGTTGGCAGACTGCTAGTGGTGGAGCTGTGTTTGGAATCCAGGCAGCTTGGCTATAGAGTCCATGCTCTTAACCACTAATTTGTGCCTCCACCCAACCTATGTTAGCTGGTGTGCAGGTCAGCCTTGGGATTCCCTGGGGTCCTAGCCCTGATGTACTGGGCTTTGATACCCAGAAGGCTGGTGGTATTGGCAGGGGAAGCTGCTGTGAAGAGGTCGCGAGTGCCACATTATTGCAAGGCACTTAGTTGCTAATTGCCATTTAATCACAAGATGAATATAGTTCTCTTCTCCTTCCACCCCAGTGCCAGTTAGATGGTAATTACTCCTGAACTAAGTGCTGAAGATGTGGCTTTGTGTGGAGCTGGAGCTAAATGCTAGGACTCTCCTTTGAAGCACCACATTCCTGGCAGGACTGGTTTACCGACGTGGCTCACTAAAAATATCCCTTTGACATCAGATGCTCCTATTTCTTCCTATTTTCCTTAAATGATTATTTTTTTGTCAGAAAATTTTTCAAATTTGGGCTTTATATTTGAGAAATTAAACAACCCACACTTTTCTAGAGGTGACGTTATGTTTAAGTCAATAACTGAAGTAGAAAACTTTGCATTTGGATAGTTCTACATTGAATATGAGTTTACTTAGTTTGTTTCTTCAAAGTCTCCTGTATACGGCTGTTGTAAGGAGTGGAAGAGGAACCACTTGGTGTTTTCTGTTGTTTAAACTTTGATGAATGTAAAAACGATCATATGGAATATCTCTAAATATGGAAATGCAATCTATTGTCTTATTCTTTTTTGAGATTTTTTCCTGCAGGTGATTTTAAAGCAGGTCTGTCGGGGATTATTTGACTTTTCAGAGAAAGCAATAAAAGTGAGCAGGTTAAGTCACTTGTCTAAAGTAGCTCAATTAATGAACACAGCCCTTGTTTTCTGGCTTCCAGTCAAATGTCACAGGTGATATCTGAGGTTAATAAACCTTCAACCTTATAGCAACCTAATCAGCTTGATTCAGGCTTAGAACAAATGTGCAGATCCGAAATAGGTAGTATGGGCAGTAAAACAGTGAAACATCGAAAAGCATGAAGTCTGCAACACCAGTGCTGTCTCTGCCTGGTCTATTCAGGGGTCTTGTGGATGTGTGGACTCTTCAGGGGTGTTGTGGATGATGGAGCTATGACAACAATCCCTGGTGAGGTGGCAGACACATTTTGTTTATTTATTTATTTATTTATTTAGAGATGGAGTTCTGCTCTTGTTGCCCAGGCTGGAGTAATGGCGCACTCTCGGCTCACTGCAACCTCTGCCTTCCAGGTTCAAGTGATTCTCCTGTCTCGGTCTCCCGGGTAGCTAAGATTACAGGTACCTGCCACTACGCCCGGCTAATTTTTGGTATTTTTTAGTAGAGATGGGGTTTCACCATGTTGGTCAGGCTGGTCTCGAACTCCTGACCTCAAGTGATCCGCCAGCCTCAGCCTCCCAAAATGCTGGGATTACAGGGGTGAGCCATCGTGCCCAGCCTATTTATTTATTTATTTATTTATTTTTGTGGGAGACCAGAGTTTTATTATTACTCAAATCAGTCTCCCCGAGCATTCAGGGAGCAGAGTTTTTAAGAATAACTTGGTGGGTGGGGGGAAGCCAGTGAGCCAGGAGTGCTGATTGGTCAGTGATGAAATCATAGGGAGTTGGAGCTGTCTTCTTGCACTCAGTCAGTCCCTGAGTGGGAGCCACAAGATCAGATGAACCAGTTTATTGATCTGGGTGGGGCCAGCTGATCCATCAAGTGCAGGGTCTGCAAACTATCTGAAGCACTGATCTTAGGAGCAATTTAGGGAGAGTCAGAATCTGGTAGCCCGCAGCTGCATGACTCCTAAACCATAATTTCTAAGCTTGTGGCTAATGTTAGTCCCACAAAGGCAGTCTAGTGCCCAGGCAAGGAGGAGGTCTGCCTTGGGAAAGGGCTGTTACTGGGCAGACACATTTTAAGTGGTTATTAAGTTCTTTGTTTAAGGTTTTTATGACGAGGGTTTAGTTTGAGTTTTATGTGATTGGTTGTCTATGTGCCTTAAGGAAAAAACCCTCCAAATTTAGTGTTTTTGCACAATAAGGCAGTGACTGTTGAACTTTAGAACACCCAAATCACCTAACTGCTGGGCCCCTCACTCCCAGAGTTTCTGGTTAAGTCTGAGGTGGGGCCTGAGAATTTTCATTTTTGACAAGTTTCCAGGTGATGCTCATGCCACTGGTCTGGGAATCACGTTTTCAGAACCAGGGCACGAAGGGCTATTGCTTCCTCTCCTCACAATCCAATTAGAATATTTCCAGCTGGGCAACTCTTCAGGGAGGCCCTCCTCCAGGTGGTGACTCAGAAACAGGCTGCTTTCCTAGATGCTCTGCTCTTTCCTGAGATCTTCTCTGCAGTCAGTGTTTGGGTCCAGGAAAAGAGAAGGCAGGAGGGATCGTGCCAGAGGTCTTCTAGGGGACAGACCTGGAAGTGGGATAGATTATTTTTGTTTATCTTCCGTTGGCTAGACCCAGTCATGTCGGTCTACTTTAACTGTGAAAGGAAGATAGAAAGTCTGTCTGAGTGCTCAAGAGGAAAAGAAAACTGAGTTCAAGGGAGCACGCCTAACTTTACGAACGTCCTCCTTTTGACTTTTTTCCTCTACCTAAGACATTGTGAAAATATTTCTGTTACCGATTTAGAAAGTTTAGTGATGTTCTTTGACCTGCCCGGAAATACCCTTGAGTACTGGCAGCTGGAGTTGGGTGAAGCAGGCTGTCCATGTTCCGTTCATGGATGAAGACACTCTGATAACAGCTCACTGGTGCGAAGGGTTTACCTACACTGGAAGTGAGATCAGAGGGAGAATGGCAATCCCCATCTATGGCAGGTGTCAATTTATTGTCTCTCAGCTTCAAATTCATCCTTCCCTGCTCTGCTTTGTGATACTGGAAGTGGACCCTGTAAACATTTCTTCTTAGCCAGCTGGGTGAATGTAAACGTCATCAGTAGAGGGTGCCAGAGTGGTGTAGTGCCAGGAACATCCCTGCTGAGTTCTGGACTTGGCTAGTTATTATCATTCAATGCAGTAGCACCTGGCACATGCACCTGAGCCCCAGCTCTGCCTCAGGCCATGCTCTCCCCAGCACTGGTCACTTCTCAGAAGCTCCTTCCTGCCCACAGCCTCCTACAACAAGAGATGGCCTGCTTCTGCAGACCACCCCGTGCCTTTGCTTTCCAGAAAGCTTCTCCACCAGCCATTTGTGAGTTCCTGTGGCAGCAAATAAAAATTAGGAAAAAATGTTGGCCCAAAAAAATATTTGGCAAAAAAAAAAGCAAAAAAACTTTTAAATAAAAGTCTCTAATAATGAGTTTACCAAGAGTCTTCTCCTTGGAGTTCAACTCTTACAGTTGTGTGGTGCCCTCCCTCACGATGCAGGGGGAAAGAACCACTTTGCAGACACCGAGGATACTGACCTTTCTGCCATGCAATCTAACTGATCAGTAATAAGGGACAGGAATGGTGATCTGTCTTATTCATTCCCACAAGGCAGGCTTGGCATGAACAAGAATAACATTTGGCAAAAATCTCTGAAGAGATCTGAACCTCAGCCTCAGTGGAGGTAGAAGGTCCCTCTGCCCATCCTTGGTTCCTTTAATTTTTCACTGTCCTTCAGCCTAGAGGTAATAGCTGCTCTTTTGCTGCTTCCTTAAGGTCCTTTTAAAGTTCCTTTTAGTAGTTGTATTAGTCCCTTTTCATACCGCTATAAAGAAATACCCGAGGGCCGGGTGCAGTGGCTCACACCTGTAATTCCAGCACTTTGGGAGGCCGAGTTGGGTGGATCACAAGGTCAGGAGTTCAAGACCAGCCTGACCAAGATGGTGAAACCCCATCTCTACTAAAAATACAAAAATTAGCCGGGTGTGGTGGTGGGTGCCTGTAATCCTGGCTGTTTGGGAAGCTGAGGCAGGAGAGTCACTTGAACCCGAGAGGCGGAGGTTGCAGTGAGCCAAGATCGCGCCACTGCACTCCAGCCTGGGCAACAGAGCAAGACTCCATCACAAAAAAAAAAAAGAAAACAGGAAAAAAAAAGAAAAAGAAATTCCTAAGACTGGGTAATTTGTAAAGAAAAAGAGGCTTAATGGACTTACAATTCCATATGGCTGGGGAGGCCTTACAATCATGGCGGAAGGTAAAGGAGAAGAAAAGGTGCATCTTACGTGGTGGCAGGCAAGAGAGCTTGTGCAGGGGAACTGCCATTTATAAAACCATCAGATCTCATGAGACTTATTCACTATCACAAGAACAGCACAAGAAAAACCCACCCCATGATTCAGTTACCTCTCACTGGGTTCCTCCTATGACTTGTGGAGATTATGGGAGCTATAATTCGAGATGGGATTTGGGTGGGGACCCAGACAGACTATATCAGTAGTTAACCACCTTTAATAGTTAACAGTTATTTGTGTTACATTTTCCTTGTTAAAATAGCTGGAGTGATGGCTGCCTCCTGACTGGACCCTGAGAGATATGCCATGTTTCTGGTTTTATTGTAGAAAGACAATGTTGAACATACTTCTTCTCAAATTTAAAAAAAGCAGGACAGAAAAACTGTACATGCCCAAAGCTCATTTCTTTATTTTTCCCTTTCGCAATGTCAAATTCCTGCCCTGAGAAGGGCTGATGTTCATATCAGAGACCCAACAGGAATTGAGTGAGATGGGTTTCAAGTCTCAGACTTCTAGATGCTGTAGTCTAGAGTCTCAACAACCAGGGTCTCCTTGGGGAAGGCACTGGGTAGGACTCTGTTTTGCTGGGAGCATGAGAAAGGAAGAAGAAACACATGTGTCATCAGAGACCAGAAACCAATGTTGCTTTTTCAGCTGCGTGCCTTGGTCCCTGTCCTTGGGTGAAATCATAAAGCCAACTGTGAGTAACACTGGGCCTTTTGCCTTGGCTTGGTCCTGCTGCTGCCACAGCAGCAGAAAACCCACGTAACCTAAAAAACATTCCCAAGTGAAAGTTTCATAAACAATACACAATCTAATTTTAGGCCACAGAAAGTAGAAGGTCAGCATAGAATATTGACAATAATAATAATACTGGTTAGCATTAGTTGCTTATTATATAATCTTTTTATTTTTCTTCACACAAGGTGGATACATCCAATGAAAGGCTGAGGCCAACCTGGCTTGGTTTCTTTGCACTAACTGGGCTTTCCAGAAGGGCCCCAACAAAGGTGAAACATCGGAGGCAGGCATACCTGCGATTTAGAGACCCTGTGAAAGCATCTTAATAGGAAACTTCTTTTCTATTCCCACTACTTCTGAAATTTCACCATCAGAGACTCATACTTGGTCAAGTATAGATTCCCCCACTTCCCTCACCTTTTAAAATTGAAGTGAAATTTGAATAACCTAAAGTCAAGCATTTAAAGTGAATAAGTCAGTGGCATTAAGTACAATCACAATGTTGTGAAACCATCATCCTTTGTAGTTCCAAAACATTTTCATCACCCCAAAAGGAAATCCCATAGTCACTGAGCAGTCACTTCTCATTTCCCCTTTCTCTAAGCCCTGGTAGCAACCAATCTGCATCTATCTCTGTGGATTAGCCTTTTCTGGGCATTTCATATAAATGGAATCATACAGCACATCGTCTTTTGTGTCTGGCTCCTTTCACTTAATGTCATGGTTTCAAGGCTCATTTACGTTGTCCCATGGGTCAGTCCTTCATGTCCACCAGTTTATGGATGGATAGACAAATTGTGGTATGTACATACCAAATCCTTTCCAGATGATTTTTAAAATTATACTTTAGGTTCTGGGATACATGTGCAGAACGTGCAGGTTTGTTACATAGGTATACACGTGCCATGGTGGTTTGCTGCACCCATCAACCTGTCACCTACATTAGGTATTTCTCCTAATGCTATCTCTCCCCTAGCCCCCCACCCACTGACAGGCCCTGGTGTGTGATGTTCCCCTCCCTGTGTCCATGTGTTCTCATCGTTCAACTCCCTAATGGAATCAAAAAAGAGCCTATATAGCGAAGACAATCCTAAGCAAAAAGAACAAAGCTGGAGGCATCACGCTACTTGACTTCAAACTATTCTACAAGGCTGCAGTAACCAAAACATCATGGTACTGGTACCAAAACAGAGAGATAGACTGATGGAAAAGGACAGAAGCCTCAGACATAACGCCACATATCTACAACCATCTGATCTTTAACAAACCTGACAAAAACAAGCAACGGGGAAAGGATTCCCTATTTAATAAGTGATGTTGGGAAAACTAGCTAGCCATATGCAGAAAACTGAAACTGCACCCCTTCCTTACACCTTATACAAAAATTAATTCAAGATGGATTAAAGACTTACATGTAAGACCTAAAACCATAAAAACCCTGGAAGAAAACCTAGGCAATACCATTCAGGACATAGGCATCAGCAAAGACTTCATGACTAAAACACCAAGAGCAATGGCAACAAAAGCCAAAATTGACAGATGGGATCTAATTAAACTAAAGAGCTTCTGCACAGCAAAAGAAACTTCCAAATGATTTTTAAGCGATCTCCTCCAGTGGAGGAGATAACACATAGGACCTCCAATACCTTAGTTTTAACAAGGTTGTCTCACAAAGTTACTTTGTGTTAAACAGACTGGTGAAAATTTCAGGGTAGAGAAGACTCTCAAACTAGAGAGAGATGATGAAGGCAAAAAGGGTGGGGAAGCCACCTGCAATTTAACAGAGATCTGACACCAGTTTGAGTTCTAGAAAATTATTCTTATGCAGCCTCTGACTAAATACAACAGTACATTGCTGAGCATAGAATTAAAACATGTACACTTCTTATTCTCAAAGGTCAGTGTGCCAGAGAGGATCTGGGTGAGAGAAGAACTGCCTTCTCTTTATCTAAAAACAACTCTGGACCAACTCATGACTGGATTTGCAGAACACTGGTTGCAGAGTACATAACCTTGTCAGCCCCAAGTGGGGATACCAGTGTCGCTGGCTGAAGCTGCTCCTATGTGACTGCCTGGTGATCATTCTTCAACACAGAAGCACGGCCTGTACTGAGTTGAGTTCTCACTCCTAATGTGGGACAATAAAATCCCTTTGGAAGGAAATTGTCCAAGAGTCAAAGGAGACAGATATCCCTCTGCATCTTCATTGGGAGTTAATTTGCTGGCAATTATTGTGTCTTTACCATACACTTAGAATCACATTCATTTACACTCCAGGAAGAAGGATGACTCTTTATGAGTTTTTTATTTAAATTATTGATGCTTAAAATCATGAGCCATTCATTTCCTGCTTTCTCAACGTTGGTAATTGACTAGTTCAGGGCAGGTGTGGGCTGAGAAAGCCGTTTACTTGGCATGAGGAGTGATCGCTTCAGAGGCCATGCTGTTGCTTTTGCCCACGGATGATTATCAATCATAGAACATTCTAGTCTCTACTTTGGGAGCACAGGTGGTTCTCTCTGCATAGCTGTTTTCTCTAGAAGCCAATGCCAGGGTTGGGTTGTGGGCTATCGAGGTACATGCCGAAGTACATATAGATCTTTTACCCTATCCGCCCTTTCCTCTGTATGTCATTTAGGCATCCAGCCAGGGGTAAAATCTTGTACCAAATTCTGCATGTAAGTGGTCCATTCTTAAGAAGACCAAATAGAAACACCTACAAAAGAAGGTTGGGCAAAGGTAATTTACATGAGGCAAGATGTGCAGCTATGAAAATTTTAAAAGCTTAAATTGCAAATGATGACATTTTGGATGAGATGCATCACTTTACTCAAAGGAGAGTGTGGTGAGGGTGGCATGAACCCCCACTCGCTAGAAACTCGAAGAAGAATAACACACGGTCCTGAACCCCAATAAATGCACAAATGTATCAGAGGACACAGATTGTTTTTTTTTTGTTTTTGTTTTTTGTTTTTTGTTTTCAAGATGGAGTCTTGCTCTGTCACCCAGGCTGGAGTGCAGTGGTGCGATCTCGGCTCACCACAACCTCCACCTCCTGAGTTCAAGCAACTCTCCTGCTTCAGCCTCCCGAGTAGCTGTGATTATAGGTGCCCGGCACCATGCCCGGCTAATTTTTGTATTTTTAGTAGAGATGGGATTTCACCATGTTGGCCAGGCTGTTCTCGAACTCCTGACCTTGTGATCCGCCCGCCTTGGCCTCTTAAAGTGCTAGGATTACAGGTGTGAACCACCAAGCCCAGCCAAGGACACAGATTCTTAAGCATTGAGTCATAGTAGAAATGGGATGAGTGTTGTAATCAAGAAAGAACACATAGGAGAGGGAATGTAGAGGAGGAAACTGTTCATTCTTTTGGGAAGGAAGTGGTAGATGATGAGAATGCAAGGGAAGTGACATTGGAGTTCAGGCTGGAAGGGTAAGAGAGGTTTGTCCGGTGGAGGAGGGGGAAAGGGGATTCCAGGAATGTTCAGATTAGAAGAGACCAGCTGGCTGTTGGAGTATTGGTAAGAGACTGTTTAGGAGGCAACTGAAATCTTTTGGGAGGTTGATTGATGGTAAGGCATTGATGGTGAGAATGCTGAGTGAGCCTGATTCAGACAGACATTTTGGAGATAAAAGTGATGAGTATTAGGGAACCAATGCAGGGGTTTAGGGAGAGAAAAAGGAGACAGGGAGGATTATGACATTTCTAGCTTAGGGGAACAGGTGGACACTTACTCCCTTAACGGAGACTGAGAAGATTTGGGGAAGATAATAATGCATTCAGCTTTGGCCATGGTAAATTTGAGCTGCTTTAGAGATATCTTGGAAGTGACAACTGGTCAGCTTAGGGGCTTGTGACATACTGGTCAGGATAGAAGGTGACTCTGATAATCTGTAAGTATTGATACATTTTATTCTAATTTTAAGTAAGTTAGCATATTTGGAAGTGGCATTAAAATTTCTGTCATTTATGCTTAAAACCCTCATTAATGCATTCTTCATCATTGTTTTCGTTTTCTTTGGTTCAGAGAAATGAAGTCTTTTCATTAATATGTTAATATTTAATCTGATGATGTATTATGCTTTTTTTCCATCTCTGGAGAAAGAGCCAACACGTTAAATCGTACACTAATATTATACTAATATATTGTAAATCTCTAGAATGTCATTTATGTTTGTTAGGCCAGTATAAAGTGTTACTTAAAAATTGAAAGTGTGTGAAAGGGAAGCACCTAAAGAATTACTTGTCAATAAATTGTTTTTTCTTAGTGAAAGACAATGGGGGTGGTCACTAGGAAAAATAATTAGTAGCCTAATGACATTCAATGGTGTGTGTGCTATTGGGGGAGTGATTGGTGATTCCAACTGGACTGTGCTTTTATCTGCCTCTTCTGCTTATGAACATTCTATGGCTCCCCATGGCATGAGGGATAAAGTCAGAAAGTCTCAGGCTGAGCCTTTCAAGTCTTCACTGATCTGGACCCCCTTCACCTCTTTGAAGTTATCTTCTATAACCATCACTTATAAAAAATCCCTTTTCGAGCCAATTTGGTCTTCTTACCATGACCCAAGTATGACGTAGGTATTTCTTCTTTGCTGCCTGCCTGGGCTCTTCTTCCTCATCTCTCCATGTAAAGCCTCGCTGGGGTACTCAGTGCTGATGACTGTTTTATCCAACAGGCGGTGTCAAGCCCATGGTGGTTTTCCATATCATTTGACACCTTTTTTTTTTTTTCTGGAGGCTCCCTCTGATTGCAGAGGTTGGGGAAGAGATACTGGTTGGAAGCCCTTCAGGAGGCCGTTGCCATGGTCCAGGCGAGCAAGGAGGAGGCAGCATGCTGGATTCTAGGGGAGAGGAGGCAAATTAGACTGAAATTTCCTAAGCTGTGTCCACCAAGCCAACGATCTTTGGTCGCTTTTTGAATTTCTCTTGTAGATGGCAGTGAAGATGGGAAAATGGGAAAACAGCAGGAACAATTAGCAGGAGTACAAAAATCAAATCCAGTCTGGAGCATATGCATTTATGGGGTCTGGAATATCCAGGTGGTCTTAGTTGTTCTCCTGGCAGCTGAGAGCACCACTCTCCAGAGAAGCCAGAGACAGAGATATAAAATAACCATTAAAAGCACCACAAATATTTTCATGCTAATTGTGGCTTCTAGATTCTTTCAGGGATTTGGAAATAGTTTGTTTTTCACATATTTTCAGCATTATTCTTGCCATCTTATTTTTAAAATATGGTTTGCAGTATCTATGAAGAAAACACTTGCTTAGCAAAAGCCTAACCCATCTTAATCATGAATTCCAAATTCATGGCATCAGAATTATAAGTAGTTTTATATTATATAATTAGAAGAAGATTCCAGTGTTTGGTTCATTGACTCTGGAGCCATGTTACAGTCTTGTTATATTTGATAATGACACAACAGACATTCTATCAGAAATTAGATATCTGGAGAGAGATTCCAAAATGCTTTAATCTTGTCACAAATCAGAAGCAGCTGTTCCTTTTTTTGTTAAAAAAAAAAGAAAGAAAGAAAAAAATACCTCAAGTTTGGATGGTCCTCAAAAAAGAAAATGTGACTTACAATCTTAAATAGCAGATTCTGGGATTTTCAACTGGCAGGTGTTTTCCATCAAAAAAACCTCCCCCCACCCCACGTTGATTTTATTTCTTTAGACTTCTCTCAAACTGAAAATTGCATGTGTGTAATGAGCTTCATCACATGCACTTAGGCGTTTATAACTAAGGCTAAGCCATATCTTGAGACTTTTACACACCAAGGAAAACAGATACCATGGAAAATAAAATTTAAATACTACTTGCCCGCTCTGAGTGGCCGGAATAACTGAAGAGAGAAATGTTATGCTCATCAGTCAGCAGAGGACTCCAAGCCTTGAGTGCTGAGCCTACAAACCTCCCGTAGGTTCTATGGTGACATGAAACTGCTGTCGTAGAAACTCTAAAACTAACAAGAGTATTAGCTTCATTGATTTTTTTGAAAATGGAAAAATGAAAAAAAAAGTGCTCAGCTAAATCCAGGAAAGAGATTTAATACAACTGTCTTTTAATAATATTAAGTTTCCCAGAATCAATATTTTCTCCCCCTCATATTATACTATGGGTTGCTACACACCAGTTGCTATGTAAGGGAATGGAATCAATATAGACTTACCTTCTTTGGAGACTATTTCAAAGACCTGCATAATGGTGCATAGATTAGGAAGAATGAAATTGAATTTTAAGTACACTGACATGCTGTCATCTTCAACCGGGAGAATATAGATTGTTCCAGGGCCTGTGAGACCCAAGGGATTCAGGATGAGAGGTGTCAGCCATGGATGAACCCACAGAACCCCAAGGATGGCAGCTCCTCTAGGATTGTTTAACAAATGCCAAACACAGGCATTTGGGCCACTCATAATATAATCTTCAAACACTCTAGGGTGTACTTCATGGGGGGTGGGGGAATGGTGGTGTATTCTTTACAAAGTTTAGCATAGTGATTTTTCAATTATGCCAGAGCAAGTTTGTGTTAACTCAGACTCTGATGTGGTGGTTCCTTTCTACTTAGATTTTAAATTTTACTTTATTTTGGGAAATTGAATGAGTATTTCTAAGTCAATAGGAAGAACTCTTGAAAGCATCACTGCAATGTTTTTACAATTGTTAAAATGATATTTTTCATTAACATTTATGCAAAATAGTAATACCACAAAAAAATCAAATACCACAAAATATATCAAAACAACTCAAATTTTCAGATGAGATGGGGTGTGTTCAGAGTGGTATGGCTGTAGATGAAACAACTCAAATTTTCAAAGGGGTTAGGGCATATTAGTTTTTGAGCATTGATTAATAGTGATATCAGTCTCTTATATTATGAGGATGACTTGAATAAAATCTGGATGTTTAATGTGATGTTGATATTTACAAGTCACTGTTTAATAGCAATCCCACTCTTGGGGTTTATCCTGGAGTAACGAAAACTTATGATGACACAACAACTGATACATAAATGTTTATAGCTGTTGTGTTTAAAATTACCAAGATCTAGAAATAAACCAGATGTCCTTCAACAATTGAATGATTAAACAAACTGGTATATCCATACCATGGAATACTATTCAGCAATAAACAAGAACAGATGATACATGTGATAACTTGGATGATTTTCAAAGGCATTATGCTGAATGGAAAAAGGCAGGTTCAAAAGGCTGTATACTGTATAATTCAATTTATCTGACCTATTTTGAAAATATCAGAATAGATCTAGAGAACAGATCAATGGTTTTTGGAGCTGGGGCAGGGGAAAGAGTGGAACTATAAAGGAAGAGTCATAGGGAATTTTTTTAGGGTGATGGAACTGTTCTGTATCCTGATTGTGGTGGTGGTTATACCAACCTACAGCTGTGTTAAAATATATAGAACTCTACACCAAAAGGGAAAAAAGTCAATTTTACTGTTTAACTTATAAAATAATTTTTTAAAAAATGCCTCTTACCTTGGCTTGACTTATTTTTTAACCTGGACACAGCTGCATAAATATTAATGGGTGTTGAATGTCATAGAGAGAAATCCATTTGTAGGTAGGCTATTAGCACACACATGGTTAGGTTATGGGAGGAAGCTATGTAGTGGATTGGATAGGAAGTTGCTGATTTGTTACTTTATAGGTGACTTGAACATACATAACCCGTACGTCTTCTAGTGATTATTGTGGGCAGAAGTCTGTGTTAGCAGTCATAAGACCTCATATTTGAATGCTTTATAATTCTTAGCACTTTCCCATTTTCTCATTTTGGTATTGTGAGCTATGTAGGGCAGAAATCCTTACCAGAGGTTTGTCAATGCAGGAAACTGATGCACGGGAAATTTAGGTAACTGGCCTCAGCTCACACAGCTGGAAAGTAGCTGGGACTGGCCCTCAGAGCATTTAGCTCTTGGAAAATTCTGAATTTAGGGTTTATTTTTAATTTTTTATATTTAAAATATTTTTTTAAATCTAAAATTTTTGTTTGCATCATTCTAGCTCCAGGTATATCCTGCAAAACTGGAAATCACTGAGACCACTTAAGGAGATGCACATATGTAGCTAAAGAACCTCACATCATAATATGCCTGGAAAACAAACAAACAAATGGACAAACAAACAATACGCCACCTGATTACTGATCAGGGGTCTAGTATAGGGAATTCTAAATCCTTGCTGGTCTTTAAATTTTTGGTTAGCTGAAGACACTTGGTAACCTTCTTAGACTTACGTTATCTTTTCAAAAAAATTAATAAATTGGGGGTTTGCTTTATTGCAGAAACCTGGGATGCAAATGAAACAGATGCAATGCAGGGAGAGTGTAGATTTTGGCTGTTGCTGCATTTAAAAAGGACAGTGGTAGAAATCAGAGGGGGTTTCTGCCAGGGCCCTGTGGGCTTGTAGCAAATGCAGCACCAGCTAGGAAATGGTCCACCCAGTGTGTAGAATGGTGGCACATCCCCCTTTTCTAGGAGAAAGTTACTATTTTGAACGCATAAATATGATCTGGAGTCCCAGAAGACTAAAAGTTGGGCCTTTCTTTCCATTTCCTTTTCCATCATTATAATTTCAAAGCTCTATGCTTCCTGCAACTTGTGTGAGGAAGGTGCTAGAAATTTTGCAGGAGACCTGGGGAAAAGACAGGTTCCTAGTCACATTATAGAGAAAGTACTGATTTTGTTCTGAAGAGTGTTGCAGACCTGAAAACACGTGGAAACAGCCAAACAAACAAACAACAACAACAACAACAAAAATACCTCCTCTCTTCTTGAGAGTATAAACTGCATTCCACACAGTTCTATTATTTATAAAGGTTTGCAGAATATTTGGACATTCAGATATAGGTGAGTGGATGGAGGTATAAATGATACACCCTGGGGCTGGGGGAGATGGAGACTTGGCTGGTCTCCTGGTTTCCCAAGTCCTTGGTAAGTGGGTCAAGCTCAAGATAATCCAAGTACACATCTTTCTCCTTTCATGATGACAGAGTGTCCTTTTGTGCAATTTATATCAATGGGGCAGATTAGATGAGTGACTCAGGCATGCTGTGTGTTCCTGGTCATTTTCCTTGGCAGCCCTTTATGGTGACTTGTTGACATTTGGCCAATGAACAAGCAGACTCCGCTGTGTTGGATCAGAAAGAACAAGCCAAGGGGCAGGACAAAATGAAAAGGCAACCACGTCCTCCCTCCTTTCCTCTTAGGTGTCCACCTATGACAGAATCTCCCATTACTCCATTGGGCAGCAGAACATTTCAAAGGATGAAGTGAGTCTTTCTCTCTTGGCATCTTTCTCGTTTTCATCTCCTTTGATCCCTCCTTTGATCCCACTTTCTCGCTTCCCATTTTTGTTTCTTTCTCCCTGTTGTTTGACTTCCTTTGTGTCTCTCTGTGGAAATCTGCTTTTTAAATTTACCCCTTTCTCCCTCTTTAGATGCTGATTTGCAATTCTAACCCATGGTGTACAATAAGCCCTCTCTGAAGAAGATTCCTGAAGACGCTCATAGGGCAACATGTGTCTATCTGTGAAAGTCATTTCCGAATCATTTATTATATTTTTATGCTTAAGGCTAGTGGTCCAGATGGAATTTTTCCAGTCCTTCCTCCAAGTCTGCCCTCACTCCGAGATGCTGCCACTGTGCATGAGATATTCATCATTGGATTTGGGCAGTTTGGTTTATGAAATTATTACTGCCTGCTAGTCTACGAATTTCAAAATGACTACCTTAGAAACACCTAAACAAAATACATTCTTAGGATGCTAAATATCAACTTTAACTAGGAAGTGAGCCTGACTGTACCTGTCTGGGCCTTTCCCTTACTCTCTGGGTCATCTTAGCTATGCATTCTGGCTGTAGCTTGTTAGTTGACCTTATCAATGTAGTTTTCCTCCCAAATAAAGGGCTTTTCTCATTCAGAGAATTACCTCTCAGGTCGCAGCTGCCACTCTGCTCATTGGTTCTGGCTGACAACCTGCCATAGTAGGTCCCTGTTTTCTGTGAGCATAAGTCAATGGTTATTTTATGCCGTTCAGTTTTTTTTGCAGTAATAGTAACTGGAATGGACATCATCATAACATAAGCCATCTACTTAGATAAAGGCATCTTTTACCTTCCTTCTCCGATAGGCACCAATTCATGCTCTGTCTTCTAAATGGCAAAACCGTCAGCTTTCCCTATTTGTGGGGAAGATATTGCACAAAGATTCAAATTTCACCACACATTGAAATTTGGGAAGATAATGAAAATGGATTTCTATCTACCAAGTTTATTAAAAGTTGGCATTAAGCACCCCAGTGGTTCTGGGATAGGACTTTTTTGCCTAAATGAATTATGGTAGGGAATTATGCAGAAACACTATTTTGTCATTATCCTAATAGAACCTCTATGGGTAGGTCAAACAATCTTAGATAAACCCTCCTATCCTTGAATATTATTGCTGCATCTTGTCCAGTGTTAATCACTCTACATCTAGTCACTTTTTGGCACAGCATCTCTTTCTAGGCTTCTTATTATTTCTATTGCTCTTTAATTTCTCAGTCAGTCATTTTTAATATGACAGATCCACACTCCACCCAGTAATCCAGTAAGGGCCTTAAATTCTGAGTGTAAGGAGGAAGTTAGTTCTTTGATTTTGTATGCTATTTTTCTGTAATATGTTTGGATATCGTATTAGTTTTATTTTTGAGGTAAAATTTACCATTTTAACCATTGTAGCATATAAAATTCAGTAACATTAAGTCCATGTATAATGTGGAATAATCACCACTATGTAGTTCCAGAACTTTTTCATCATCCCAAACAGAAACCCCATATTTTTTAATCAATCATTTCCTGTTCCCCATCCCTCCATCTTCTGGCAATCCCTAATCTGTTTTCTGTCTCTATAGGTTTGTCTATTCTGGTTATTTCATATAAACAGAATCATACAATATGTGACCTTCTGGGCCTGTCTTCTTTCACTTAGCATAATGTTCTCAACATTCATCCATGCTGTGGCATGGATCAGTACACCTTCCTTTTCTTTTTGGCCAAATAATATTCTTACATCAAGTTTTTAATTGCAGCATATTCTACTGCTGACTCAGGACTCACAGACCCTGATTTATCTACAGATCCCCATCTTCCATGAGCATAAGTCAATGATTATTTTACGCCATTTAGTTCTTTTGAAGCAATAGTAACTAGATTGTCATTTTATGACATCATGACCTCCCCAAGGGGCTTTGGGGCTTGCTAACAGGGGAAGACATGGGAGGAGAGCTGAGTAACAGTCATGAAATGCCAAAAGTGACACACCTCATATTTCATGAACCATGACTAATCACATAGCCAAGCTGAATTTCAAGGGAGTGAAGACATGTAACCAGCACTTCACCAGAAATAGACAAGAACTGGAAATTGGTGAACATCAGTAACAACCACCTCCAAAAACTGATAACCACGTGCCTCCCAATATGGGCCGAACTGTGTCCCTCTGACTGTCAATTCATGTGCTGAAGACCTGACTCCCAATGTGATGGTATTTGGAGATGGGGTCTTTGGAAAGTCAAAGGTTTAGATTGAGGTCATGAAGGTGGGGGCTTCATGATGGAATTAGTGCCTTTAGAAGAGGAGACTTTAGAGAGATCTCACTCTCTCCTTTCCCCTACGTCAAGTAAATATCTGTTTACAAGCTAGGAAGACAGCCCTCACTAGAACTCAAACTCAGCAGTGCTGGCACCTCAATCTTGGACTTTCAGCCTCCAAAACTGAGAAAATAACTGTCTGTTGTTTACGCCATGCAGTCTAGGGTGTTTTGTTATGGCAGCCTGAGCCGACACCACCCACCCTGCAAATGTATTCAAATGTACACTTATTTCCTACGTACCCACCTTCCGCAGTAAGTTTGCTGGGATTGTACACAGCTAAGGAAACAGCCGTCCATATGTTTTTGTGCTTTCTCTCCCATCATGCTATTTTCTCTGAGGGGTGTACATGCTACACATGTTTTACAGGTACAACCCAAATACATTCTTCACATTTCTCTGACTTCCAGGGTGCATTTCTGTGCTTGAGGAACTTTAGAGAGTCCCAGCATTTTGCTAAGTGGCATTATTTAAACAGATTGATTGATTATGATATGAACAAAGCAAATGCCCGCACACCATGATATTCTGTGGGAAGCAGAGTTGTACTACTCAGCTCCTTCTAGAGGCAAGCCGATTTCTAGACCACATTCCATTCCCGTCTGGTTTCATCTGCCACATCTCTGCGGGCAAAAGAAAAATGCCTTACACGATCAGAAAAACCATGTTAATTTTGGAGCTCTCAGTATAGTTGCCATCAATCCTGATTGGCCTCCCAAGTCACAGTTAATGGATGGTAGTGTAAAGAAAAAAAAATCGCATTAAAAATGACCCCGCCAATGATAAATTGTACCCAAATTGTAATTTTGGGTACCCGTGATTCACCAACGATATCTTATTTTTGGAACAGTAGCATAAGTTCCTCAATGGTAAACTGCTGCTGATAAAGCAATTTTCCATGCTTTGTTTTGTTTTTGGTAACAGGCAAGGTCCATGTAATTCTAGTGGGTGCTAATGGACCATGTCCCTTTGAAGGATTGAGAAGATTGTTGCAGATTTTCTTTAGACAACTGAAATTCTGCATCCAGTGAAGCTTCCATTTTTAAAGAATGAACTCTCTGCTTCCAACAAAATTTTATTATAGAGGAAAATGTTGATGGTCAGGTGAATCCTAGGGAGGTTTGTCCTGGTCCCCACCCACGCCAGAGTTCCCTCTATGCTCTGCCTAGAAGTGCACTGCTACCAAAATCAACGATTAATGGTTGAAAAAGTCTGAAAAATGGATATCCCTTTGGCCTTTCTAAGGTTTGTCATTAGTTGACATACCCATTACCTCAAAAATCAAATGTGTTTGTCTAAACATTATTCTGATGTTTACTTTGGGCACTAAAGGGCAGACAGCTGACCACGGACGCGCTGACAGTGATCAATTCAGCCTCGGATCTTGTCACTTTCCCTGTTTATTCTGCTATCAATCTCCCCTTGGCCTGCCATCGTGGCTGCTTTCTGCTGCTCAGGCGCTTTTAAAACTAACAATAATCCAATTTAGAATTGATCCATGAGAATGTGTGGTCAGTAAGCAAAATGACAAAGTCTGCGTGCGACTGCTGACCACAGTCAGGGGGTCTGTCTTACAGGAGGCTGAAGGCAAATTTTAATTAATTAATTAAATGCTAACAGCACTTAGGCCTCTTCCGTGGGGGTTCTTTAAGTCAGACCCTCTATGTTTCTGTGTCTTAGAAAAGGAGAAAACTAGGCCCACTCAGCATCTGCTAGACCAGGTACCTTCTACAAGAGTGCTGTGCAGGGAAACATTCCATTATGGCGGAAATGGTCTGTATCTGTGCTGTCCAATGCGGAGCCCCGAGCCACCTGTGGCTCAACTTGAAATATGGCTTGTGCAACTGAGAAATTGAATTTTTAATTTTATTTAAATTTAATTTATTTAAATTTAAAGTTAAATAGCTACATATGGCTATTGGTTCCAGCACTGGTGGTCATTGCTCTTCTAGAATGTTGAGGTGTTTGTGGTGAGGTAAAGCCTGGTAATGTTGTTTAGGATGTCATAGTGATCAGGAGGCCACAGCCTCCCCCCGATCCAGCACAGCTAGAAACCAGGCAAGAGAACTGAAAGAAGCTATTCAAAGGCTCCCCTGCATCCTAAAGGCAATAGCATGTTTGACCAGGGCAGCCTTCCTGCTCTGTGGGAATGGGGCTCCTTCAGTGGCCAAGACGGCCTTCAATTCAGTTTCTCAGTTGCACAAGCCATGTTCCAAGTTGAGCCACAGGTGGCTCGGGGCTCCTCATTGGACAGCACAGATATAGATCATTCCCACCATGATGGAAAGTTTCGCTGCACAGCACTCTTTTAGAAGATACAATCGGGGTGGCTCTTGCCCAGCAGAAGGGAGAGGGTGCAGGACTGGACATCACCAGGGAACAAAAGTGTGTTCCTTTTCTTAAAATCCCCCAAGCAAACCTCATTCTCAGCTGTATTCCATGTCTGGTTTCCAGGACAGAATGCTCCATTGGGTTCTCAACACCAACTGGCTCCCTGATTCAGGATCCAGGACTCAGGATATGCCTTGGCACCTCCTTCTTGAATTTCTCTTTTGGTTTTTGGTTCCCAAATTGGCGAGATCCCTAGATCCTGCATTCCTTGCCCCTTCCCTCAACTTTAAACTCCATTTTTGCCAAATCCAACAGTGGGGAGTCATTTGATGAATTTCTTCAAATGATTTGCAAATGTTACCTTCAAAGAACAAACAGTTTAAAAGCTAATTGCTAATAAGATTATACTCATAGATGATATTAATATTGGGGAGTGTTTTAAAAATCGTGAAATCAACTTAGCATTTATCTCGAGATACACATCTGCCAAAAAGCATGATTAGATTTTTTACAAAACCACATCATTTCTTATTTGAAACTTAAAGTTTATGGGGGCTATTATGAGCAAGTAGAAACACTTTATGATGGCTGTGATATAATCAATGCAGATTTAAAATGCTGTAGCAGATAACAATTTTCTTAGAAGGAAAGAGGTCTGGATTTTCTCTTGAGAGAAATCTCAAATCTATAATTCTTGCATTATTAGATACCAGCAACAAAAAAGTAAATACAAAACCCAGTTATTATTTACAAAAAAGAAATAAAAAATTATTTCTTGAACATCTTATGGAAGGAAAAACTTTAATTTTGGTCATTTAAAAAATTTAGTTTTAGATAAAGCTTTATGTAACATACTGTAAGCATTTGACAATGACAACAAAAGGATAAGAAAGCCTTTGAATTAAAAAATGAGAATTTAAAAAGCATATGTAACATTTATATAATCATTCATGGTTTCACTATCTAGAGACAGACATAACACAGTATTTTCTTATATGTGCTTCTAATATTTATTTTACAAAAAATCTAAGTAGAAATATTATGAATACAATATTTTTTCTTGCTTTTTAACATTGACATATATTTTCCATATTTGCACATTCTTTCTAAATATAATTTTTAAAAAGTTAAATAATAACCAATGGAGTGAACATATGGGATTTGTGTAGCTATTACTTTTTTGTCTGGGATTTAGATTACTTCTGAATTTTTTTGCTATTAAAAATAATGCCTCTCAATAGTCAGGATTATTTTGGGCTCCATTCTCAAAAGTGTAAGTACTGCATTGGAGAAAATAAACATCGTAAGGCTCTTTGCCAAATTGCTTTCCAAAAGGATTATATCAAAATATTAGCAATATTGTAGAGTACCCTTTCACAGTGCCCTCAGCAGTGGCGGTGATCATGATCTTTCTAAAAAAATATCTGGTTAATTTGATAGAGGTCAAATGTTACTTCATTTTTATTTTAATGTGTCATTCTTTGATTGCTGGTGAAGGAAAGTGTTTTCCACACATTTGCTGATTGTTTAGAGTTTCCTTTTTGGAAATTGCCTATTCACATCCTTTGCCAGTTTATCTATTGAGGCTTCAGTATTTTAAAACTCAATCTGATTAAGCTTTTTAAGAATATTAGTACTTTGTCTATGTAATATCTCCTCTATTTCCCCCCAAATAAAATGCCTTTTAATTTGCTTCTATTTATTTTTGGAAGAACAGAAGCTTACATTTATAACACAGTTAAATATGTTAATGTTTTTATTCTAAGTTTAATAAATTGTACCTCCTCCAGTGATGGTAAACATATCTATTTTTTCTTGATTTCTTATATGTTGATGTTTCACATTTAATTTTTAAATTCCCTTGGAACTAATTTTGTTGATTGATTCTAATCTAAATATATGTATGTGTGCATATATGTGTGTGTGTATGTGTGTGTATATATACACACATATATACATATGTGTACACACACATATATATACATATATGTACACACATACATATATGTATACACACATATATACATATATATGTATGTGTATATATATGTATGTGTATATATACATACATATGCGTATGTATGTGTATATATACATACATATGCGTATGTATGTGTATATATACATACATATGCGTATGTGTGTGTATATATACATACATATGCGTGTGTGTGTGTATATATACATACATATGCGTATGTGTGTGTATATATATACACACACACGCATATACACACACACACACACACACACACACACACACACACACACTAATCAGTTGCCCACTCCAAGGCTGTTTATGAAATGGTTTACCCCTTTTTCATTCGTTTGAAATATTTCTTAAAAATAAAATAAAAACCATCCATTATATTTATTTTTTATTTATAAGATACCTTATTTCTTGATTATTTTGTTCTGTTGATTCCAGAATTAGAGCATCTTACTTACTATCAATTTGCACCGTTGGTTACCGGCTGACAAGTCCACAATTCTCCCAACATCATTCTTTTTTAAAAAGCTGTTTTGTTTTATTTTGGATGTGTGTGCCTCATGGGAGGGGTGAGTATTGACTATCGATTTTTTTACTTAATGTTTTGAGTTTTAATCTTTCTGAATTCTTCCAGTCTCTCAAAACCAGATGATGTCCTGTAGCCCTCAGAGCTTTCCCTGACCCTTCTTGGTGGGAAAGACTCATCCTCTCTCTCACTTCCACGTGGTTCCATCTGTACTTCTCTTAGAACATCTTTACTTCCAGCCTTGTATTATAGTTATTTTTGGCACACCTTATTTTTATCTGATGATGTGTCTGTAATTGGCTGAATAATGGCCGTCAAAGATGTCTACACCTAATCTCGAGAACCCATGTATATTACCTTGCATGGCAATAGGGACTTGGGATTTTGCAGATGTGATTAAGCTAAGGATCTTGAGAAGGAGAAATTATCCTGGATTATCGGGGCGGGCCCTGAATGCAATCCTAAAGGTCCTTGCAAGGGGGAGGCAAAGGAAGACTTGACTCCAAGAGAGGAGAAGGCCGTGTGACCATGGAGGCAGAGATTGGAGCCATGTGGCCAGGAGCTCAGGACTGCCTGCTGCCCTCAGTTGCTGGCAGAAGCAAGGAACGAATTCTCCCCTGGATCTTTCAGAAAGAGGCAGCTCTGCTGACATCTCAATGTGAGCTACCTGAGACTTACATTGGGCTTCTGATCTCTAGGACTGTAAGGGAATTAATCTCTGGGATGTTTATGTTCTGGGTTTTTTTTTTTTTTTTTTTTTTGCCACTAAATTTGTGGTCATTTGTTACAGCTGCAATTGGAAGGGAATACTGCTATTTTCCATATCCCAATGGCAATAGCATGGTTAGCCAGAGTACCCTTCAAGCACGGTATACAGTATTCTCTCTTTTGGGGCAGTCTGGGTTTTGCGTCTTCAAGACTTGGCTGCTGAGTTAGTATCAACAGTGCCTTCTGATTTTGTTTTGCTCTTCAGAGTTTGATCCAGCTCAGGATCTAGGAGCAGGACTGACTTCTCACATAATCTTTTATGTGACCCTCTGGGTGCACATCTTCACGTTCCAGTCTCATTCATAAGTGAAATGAAATTTAGCTCATCATTTATCTGTCTCTGTGAGAGGAATTCAAAATCGCTACAGCCAATTCTACTTTATAGAAGTTACTTCCAGGATGATGGCTGAAAGCCATACATTGAAAAGGAATGAGTTCATGAGAGAGGCTTGAATGAGTAAATTGATAAAAGTTTTTACTAAACATCCTATCTGCAGCTTTCCTATTCGATCACATGAAAGTGAACATACCTTCTTAGAAGTTAACAATACTATTGCTCTATATGGCATACATTTGTTTGAAAAAATGCGTTCCTTAAACGCAATTTACTTTTCCAATATCTTTGTGGGTAGGAGGAGAATATATTCACTTTTCTGAATAGAAAACAGAAGACTAGTAATGTGGAGCCATTTATTCAACATCTTACCCCTTTATTTATTTATCAGGATATTGACGGTCTGCAAAAGGCTGGGCTAAGTTTGTAGTGATTTAAAGATCAGTCTCAGCCTTGAAAGGTGTTGCAGAAAGCAGGATATGCAAACTAGGGAACAAACAAAATACACTTGGAGAGGGGCTCACTTAGGGAGAGGCATATAAGGATTCCGGAAAGGCTGGAGTCAGCAGCATGGAATGCTATGGTTTTCAACCTTATTGCACTTTAGAATAATCCCTAGGAGCTTTCAAAATATACTCTAATATGGGTGCCACCCTAGACTATGGGAATCACTATGGCTGTGTGCAGAAGCTGGAATCTGCTGGGATCAGATAAGATCAGATAAGCAAGAGGAAGAAGCTTGCAACACATAAGTGGAACTATATACCTGCATTCGTGCAGCTTCAGGGAGCAGCCATTGTGGGTGCTGGCCTAACGTAGGATGCATGGACTTTGTAGTCCACCGTCTTTTTTGCAGTAGAGCTTATTGGATGGAATCCTGGAGTAAGTAGAGGCATGGCGGAAGCTACCATTTCTGTTTTTTCCAAGCGACTTCGTATGTAGGGCTTTCCTAGCTGGGGGAGACACATGATTGGGTGATACCAGCACGAATCCTTTAGCTTTCCAATCCATGTGGAGACTTGTTTCTTCTAACTGTTTTAAAATAGAATAGGGGAAATTGAAAATGTGATTACTTTGAGAGATGCTCTATTTAATTGCATTTTTGTCTGCCATTTTCTTTGCTCAGTTTCAATAGTTAGTCTGATATGGATAAAAGTTCTTGCACAGGGAAAAATTTATTAATGTAAGCAAATTCTGTATTTCTATGAATAAATATTTTATTTTATCTTAGGAAAACATGAGTAAATCTCATGCTGTCTTTGGTTCCAGCCAACTCGGTCATTCCCAGTTTTTCAGTCATTTTTGAATCCACACATGTACACAAATCTCTATATACATACTTCTAGCCCACTCAATGGACATCACTTTGTTGTTAAGATAATAACCTCTCAGCAAGACGGCCTCCCCTGATGGCCTGGTCAATACATTTATAGAATGTAATTAAACCATATCACATCTGTGACAGAAAATTGATGACCTTTTAATTATTTCAAGATAACGGAATATGTAATCATTTTCTTCTTTAACTGGAAAGAACAGTATATTTTGAATAAATTGAAAGCAGAATCTACGTATTTCTTTATTTTCTTTGTAAGCTGTACTTCTGTGTTCTCTTTCTGCAAGACATCCTTTTTGGAATGCTTGTCACATGATTTAGGAAAACAATTTAGAAAAATTGGCATTAATATTAATACAAGACATAATATTTAGCATAAGGTATTTAAGAGGCACTTGCTGATTATTGGGATTAGGAAATATCTATCAACACTACCACAGAATTTTATATTGTAGGCAAGCTCACAATAATCTTTAAGACTGCCTGGTGGGAAATACCTGGTTAAGTAGCTTTTTAAAAGAGTTAAAGTAGAGTGAGGCTGCTTATAAAATCAGAGTTAAAGAACAGAACTAACTCCCAAGAGGAAGGTTGTGTTGTAACACCCATTTATTGTATGTCACTTTGGGTGACACAGTGTGATCATTACAGGGTCCTTATTATCCAAAGCAAATACCAAAACTCAATGTGTGATAGGTCTGAGTATTCTTGTGGGGAAAATGGAACATAATATTTCAAATCACAACTATATCTCACAATTAAGATGGCATGACTTACATATCTCTAGTATAGCAGATTTTCCCCATATATAAATACATAATAAACAAAATACATATAAAATATGTATTTATTTCTATGTATTCCCATAAATAAAATACATGTAAAATATATATTTTATAATTCCCTTGAATAAGAAAATTCTCAACTTCTACAGATGGATATGGTAAATAAAGAAAACCTATCCAAATAGGAGCATTATTTTTGCAACCTGGTAAAACCAGACTGTTTCTTCTCCACATATAGGCCAGAAATGTGGAAAACACTTTTCTCTCACCATCTTCCATTAAGAGAAAAGAGAGCTTGTGCTACTACTTGAAAAATTAACTGCTTAATCTTCCACTGAAATTCCGGTCAGCAAAATTAATGGGGAGTGGGACAATTTCTATAGAAAAACTCTGTGGTGAGTGGTTTTGATTTATAGCTGGACATATTAAATGTATAAGTTATGCTAGAAGCCACTCTTTACTAGACATATTTCCTAAGTAAATTAGTATAGTGACTTGCACATGCTATATTTAAAATTTTCCTTTCTTTAAAAAATGTTGCAAGCCTGTTCTTTAGCATTACTTGAATCAGATTCTTGGGTTAGAAAACGGTTTGGAATTTCATGGACATTTTCTTTAATTTTAAAAGGACTTTAGGAGTAGTCAAGTTTTGAGACGATGTGACACAATTCCTTGTTCTTTATTATTAGGACTGTGTGTGTTGACTTGGAATATAAGCAACTTGTGCCAGAGAAAATACAGGCAGGTTGCTATTATGCTCCTGACAAAGTGAGGTGGGTGAAGGCAGGGTTATAAATGGAAAGCAGGCCCCCTCCCCTTTAGAACCCAGAACCAGAGCATAAGGTATTTAAGGGCAGGAATAGATTGGATTAAAAAAATTATTACTAATGAGACAATGATCAACACTTGTTATATAGGAGATCCTCACTTAAATACGTGTTTACTTTGCTTTTTCAGTAAATCTTTCTTGAATGCTTGACACTATTGGGAGCTGGGGATTCAAAGTTGATTAAAAAAGGTTTTCTGTTTTTAAGAAGCTGACAGTTGAGTGTGGGAGACTGATTTATTATCTAATGAAGTGTGTATAAGAATAGAGATTTATACATTGATAAACAGGGAGGAATGATAATCCTTCTTAAGAGGAGTAGCAAGTGTTCACATAGAAGGTGATATTTGAGTTGGATCTTGATTGCTTGCGTAGATATAGGGTTTCATCCACACTTTTTTGGCTTGCTTCCCCAGAGGTAGTTTGCTTCGTAAACTGAGTGACTTTGACATTAATGAATATTTCCTGCATTACTGTAGTCACCCATGAAGTCTTTATTTTTTATAGACAGAATCTTGCTCTGTCACCCAGGCTGGAATGCAGTGGTGTGATCATAGCTCACTGCAGCCTCGAACTCCTGGCCTCAGGCAATTCTCCTGATTCAGCCTCCCAAGTAGCTGGGACTACAGGCATGTGCCACCATGCCCAGCTAATTTTTATTTTTATTTTTTTGTAGAGATGGGGTCTTGCTATGTTGCGCAGGCTGGTCTCAAAGTCTTGGTCACACACGTCTTAATGGATGGCAGTCACCATTTTTTTTTTCAAGAAAATAGCTGTGCTCAATAGCTTAAATTTACTGTCATTAAAATGCTAGTAGCAGAAACAAGCATAGCGATATTTTTCGAATTTTCCATTGTTTGTAGCTTTTAAGTAGTCAGTGCAGGATAACACATCACCAGCTAAATGATAAGGAACACTGGCTAAAATGGATTAAAACATCATTTTATTCTGGGCTGTAAATTTCTCGATTGAAAAAATTATTTTCAGTGACCTAATTTCCTATGTATATATATCAAATGACATCTGAATCAAGTTAAAGCCTTAACCTTTTTCCATTTCCTGTTGTAAAACTGCCTGAATCTGACATCTCTTTAAGTGGAGTTGAAGTTGTTTTCACTTGTGATGTCAGAATTCGGATAATGCCCAAATTGATGCTTAGTGATATTTATCTTAAAGACCTCATTTCCTAAGATGTCCTCTTTTCTTTTAAGGAAGACTTGAATTCTGTTTTTGGATTTCCCTAGAGTTTAGAATAGTCACTTATTACAATATTCCCCACTGCTTATTTGAGTCTCACAGTACTGGTGACTAAATTTCAAACAAGAGGCAACTGCACTGCAAGCCTTCAGCCTGACAAGGAATCTTAGCTCAAAGGCTGGAGAAGTCAAAGGTAATGACAGTGTCCATGTTCCTTCCTACCTGACTCTTTCGTTGAGTACTTAGGCACCCACCTGTTTCTCACCATCCCTTAACCAACACAGGCTCTGCAGCACATGGTCTCAAACTATTTTCTCAAACACCTGTCACGGCCCGTCATGAGTATATTCTCATGTCCATTTATTAATTCTTCATTCAAGCCATTATAGTGAGCATCTATTGTGTGCCAGGTATCATCCTAAGCTAAAGCAGTGAAAAATTAGTCAAGACTTTTGGCTCTTATGGAAACAGGTTATAGGAAAGTACAACAAAAAGACATAAGATAATTTGGGGTTGCAATAAGTACAATAGAAAAAATATAAAATAAACAGTGATGTAATGAAAAAAGGAGATGCAGGTCAGGTGCAGTGGCCCATGCCTGTCATCCCAGCTACTTTGGAGGCTGAGGCATGAGGATTGCTTGAGCCCAGGAGTTCAAGGCCAGTGTTGGCAATATACCCATCTCTAAAACAATTGGGGACTGCAGGAAAGGAGTTCATTTTAGACTGAATGACCAGGGAAGACCTATCTGAGATACAGATAAAGGAAAAATGTTTGGTCAAGAACCTTCTGGGCCAAGAGAAATTTGGGCATAAAAGGCCCTAAAGGATTTGTATTAAAATGAAAAGGACAGTGTGGCTGAAGTCTAAAAACAAAGAGAAAAATCATGCAAGGTGAGGGAGACAAGGGCCAGTTCTAATGGGTGTTGGTAAAGGGGTTTGATGGGCTACACTTGGAGGTTTTAAACAGGACAGAGATAGGGTCTGGATGATTCTACCCACTGTGGGGAGAATGAGTGGTGTGTGGTAAAGGGAGAGGCAGGGACTCTAGCTGGGAGGCAAGGCAGGTATGTTGGTAAGAGGTGACAGGTGTTTAGACCAGGATGACCACAGTGGAGGGGGAAGGAGGGTGAACAGGCCAGGGAGATGCTGTAGGGCTGGAGGTGACAGGACTTGTGAGTTGTAAGTTGTAAGGATGAAGGAGAAAGGAAAAATTGATTATGGCTCCACATTTTTGACAAATGGGTGATTGGAAAGAAGTAGCCTGAGGGAAAGGACCTTCTGAATAGAAATCAGGCATGTTGCTTGCCATGAAGTCTGTGAATACTTATTAGGCATTTGGATGCAAATATTAAGTAGGATGTTTGATTTACATATCTAGAGCTCAGGAGCTGAGGGTGTGAAATTAGGGATCATTGGCCTTTAGTTGGTGTTTAAAATCAGGGTGTTGGATGAGATTTCTTCAGACGAGAGTGTAAAGGAATAATTATGGAAATTAAAAAAATGTTTACAAAATCAAAGGGTTAGAAAATGAAACAAAGAAAATGCTGGAAAATTAAAGTATTTAGAAAACAAAAATACTCCATCATAAAACTTGAGGAAGGCAGCTAAAGCAGCATATCACTAGAACAATATCACTTACTATTGTCTTAGAAAGAAATAATACTTAATTATAAATAATTCTAAAAACATAAAAAGCGGATATGAAAAATCTTCTTATGCAGAAAATCTTCAGGTTATTTGTAGAACTTATAGGTAAGTTCTACAAATAATTTTAATTTTACATTGTCTTGAGATAGAGTTTTTATTATTATTTAGGTATGGCAAGGTCAACAGGTTAGGAGGTGACTGCCATTGAACAGATACTTTATTACTCACAGATCTCAAGAGAAGGGGTCATGCCACACTGTTGTGGGCCACACAGGAAAGCACAGGGGTTGGTCAGGAGGCAGAGGAAGAGGGAGAAACTTCAGCAAGAACCTTTTGTGGCTTCTGTAAAAAGTAATGGGTGAGGCAGGGTGAACAGGTTTAGAAGTGGCAAGTTTGAATAATTTCAGTGGGCTCTGAAGCACAGGGGCTTCCCTACTTGTTTGGTGCTTAGCTATGGGGTGATCAGGGGAGATGGATAGTGGCCTAGAGCGTGAGAGCCCAGCCAAGGCAGCAGTGGTTGGGGGTTATGGGCTCTCGATTCGTTGGTTTGCATCTGAAAGGCAATCTCATGGATGCCTTGTTTACTATCTCTAGGAATAGACAAATTGGGGGAGGAGCAGTCCCTCCAGGCTTAGCAAAGCCTCAGATGTCAAAACATCAGGACACAGAAAATGAGAGACATGGTTAATATAGACATAAACTATTCCATAGAATTGAAAAAGTTAGCTATTATAAACTTGATATTAGATCTAACAAGAATGAGAAAGGAAAGTTCCATCCCAAATTTACTCATGAATGTAGATGCTTAAATCATACATAACATACAACCTGGGAATAATAAAAGTTGTGTTTTTTTTGATAATAATTTTTATTTATTTTCTTTGCACTTTTTCTGTCACTTGCTGGAATATCTGCTATAATGTTGACAGAAGTAATAATGCACCTGAATCTTTTTCCTGATTTCCCAAGAAAATCTTTCAATGTTTTACCATGAAGTACTATATTTACTATAGTTTTTTAAATAGGTTCAGAAGGGCCCTTTCTATTCCCAGTTGGTTAAAAGTCTTTTTTTTTTTTTTAAAGTGAATGAACATTGAATTTTATCTAATTGTTTTTCTGCATCTATTGGAAGGACTCTCTCTCTCTCTCTCTCTCTCTCTCTCTCTCTCTCTCTCTCTCTATATATATATATATATATATATTTACCTTTACTATATGATTATTTTATCTTTAATCTGTTGATGTGGTTAATCATATTAATTGATCTTCTAATATTATTCCAACTTTGCATTCCTAGGATAAATTCAAATTTATCATAATGTGATTTCCTTTTCTATACATTACTAGATTCAGTTTGCAAATAATTTGCTCAGAATTTTGTAATCTAAGAAATGAATTTTGTTATAATTCCTCATCTTGTAATGCTCTTGCAGATTTTAGTGTCCAGGTTAAGCTGAATTTTGTCTTATCTCTAGAGGGTTCTTGTAATATTGACATTATTTCTTCTTTATATTAAGAAAAAGCTCACAGGTGAAGTCATTTGAACCTGAAGTTTTCTTTGTGGGAAAATTTATATTTTTATTTATATTTATATTGACAGATTCAATTTCCAAGATAAATATGGAGCTGTTTATATTTTCTCTTTCTTCGTGTGTCAGTTTTGGTAAGATGTGATTGTGAAGGAATGTGTTTATTTCACCTAAATCGTTACATTTATTGGTATAGAGTTTCTCATAATATCCTTTTACCATATTTGAAGTTCAATTTCTTGGAGAATGAGAGGCAGGAACTGTCTGCTTCAGGCAGGGGAAACACTGCATGCAAAGGCCTGGTGGTAAAATGAAGTGTGGCATTTGGGGAACTCAAATCTATTAATTAGAAAAGAATGACAAATAACAACAACGAAAATCATTGTCCTTGCCACCAAATAACTTACAGCCTTTTTACATTGAGACAGTTCTTACAAATAACTTACATTTTTACATTGAGACAATTCTTACACACATTCGAATTTCAAGAGATCAAATATATGACTGAATTTATGCCAAGGGTTATATGGTAGATTTAGATTCCATATATGAATAACAAAAGAAATGCCAATTAAGGAGGAGGAATTAGTAATATTTTTTGGTGGTTTAAAAGTGAATATCTATGTTTTATGCATGTTTAGGTCAAATATATCCCTTGCACAAAATAAGTATGTCTACCTCACTCGAGGAAACTTGATATAAATTCATACACTGTATTAGTCCATTCTCACATTGCTAATAAAGATGTACCCAAGACTGGGTTATTTATAACGCAAAGAGGTTTAATTAACTCAGAGTTCAGCATGGCTGGGGAGGCCTCAGGAAACTTATAATCATGGCAGAAGGGGAAGCAAACAGGTCTTTCTTCACATTGCCGCAGTAAGGAGAAGAGTGAGAACCAGGTGACTGGGGAAGCCCCTTATAAAACCATCACTCACTATCATGAGAACAACATGGGAGTAACTGCCCCCATGATTCAATTACCTCCCACTGGGTCCCTCCCATGACGTGGGGATTATGGGAACTACATTTCAAGATGAGATTTGGGTGGGGACACAGTCAAACCATATCACACACTCTTAGAGGCATGTGGCTGTATGTGTATGTCACTCCTTGGCATGTTTTCCTTTTGGCCAATAGACTCCTGGAATCTTTTCTATTTTCTCAAAACATGTCTTTCTCTTCTGAGCATTAACTTAATAGTTTTGTGATGCAATAAAACTCAAAACAACTTTAACCTGTATCTTTGCTATAAATCAATAAATGTATTACACAAATATTTTTGGTGTAATATTTGTGTAAACACATATTTTTGGTGTAATATTTGTGTAAACACAAATATTAGTGTTTTAGAAATGAATACATGTTACTCATTTATGCCAATGTGAGGGTACAAGTAATCTAATTAATAACATGCATTTATCTAAACTTGCCAGCTGATAGGAAATGATCTATTTTACAAAATAAGTTAGTCTCAGTGTTCTGAACATTGAGTCTCATGTCTGGCTTTTACATGTAGGACTAAAATAGAAAGTTTAAAATCATGATTTAACTTACAGTTTTTAAAATTTTATTTTTAAATTGACAAATAATAAATTATGCATATTCATGGGGTACATAGTGATGTTTTGATATATATACTGTATGTAATCAGATCAGAGTAAGTGGCATATCCATCATCTCAAACATTTATCACTTACAGATTTTTTTTAAATCATAGGAAGCTAAGCATAACAGTCTGACTTTGCCTTAAATGATGACATGGTACATGAATATTTTTGAGCTTGCATTACCCTGCAAAGCTGGATAGACATGAGTGTTGTCCCCATTGCTGGGTTTCTTGCAGGAGCATCATTGTGGTCAGAAATAAACAAAGGAAAGAAGGTAATTAGAGTAGTGAATCTCTTTTGTGAAGTAGACTTTGTTTAATAAGTGAGGATAATCTCAGACAAAAGTTAGAAGGAGGCCATTAAACTCCTGTTGCTTAAATAACCATTATCCTGGAATAAACAATCATTCCAGAATGAAAGCAAAATAAGAGAAGATTTCAAACAAATATTAGATGAATTTACTGCTACTAGATCCTCACTGAAATAACTCTAATGAGTGTATTATACTTAGGGAAAAGTAACACAGTAAGAATGGGAAATACAGGGGAAACTGTAGATGAGGCTGTAAGAGGAACAGGCGAATTGTTAAGGGCCATCCCATTTGGGATTTCAACTTGATCTTTATAGCAAAGACTATAGAATGTTTTTAATTGTGGAAGAGTCAGTCGCACTGCTCACTGAATAATGGTTGGCAGGCAGTGAGATAAGGAGGAAGAAAGACTGGTTAAGTGGATGTAAAGGTTATCCATGCAGGAAATGATGATGACATCTCCCAGGCAGTGGAGATGGATTCTAGAGGTGTGGAGTCAGACCCAGAGGGTTTACAGATATTGTCAGGATGACTGGATAAGAGGGTTGAGGCTATGACAGTTGTAAGGATGACTCAAGTCTTTCCCTTGAGTTCTTGGTGGTAGCATTTACTGGATTGAGAAGAAGAAAGGGTTTGGAGGAAGTGGTTCGCTTTTGAACACATTGAATTTCAGAGGCTTGTAAGACAGGCAAGCAGAGATGGGCTTCATAAAACCCCAATAAGTTGGTGTTATTAGATGATTTAGAATGCTTCAGTATGCTGGTTGTATGGTGACCCCTCTCTCTCTTAAATTATATTCTTCCAACTACTAGTGAAGTTCACAACTTTCATTTGTTTATCAGCCATTCTGGTTTGCTGTTTTGTCAATTGCCCATGAACTGCCTTTGCCAGATGCTGTAGATTGTTTATTTAGCCAACACTTTTCTCCTTTCATTTTTGTGAAAAGTGACCCAATTTAGTTAAAGTGTGAAGAGACAATGTGCTAAGAAAGGAAGACAGGTCTTCCTCATTGTGGATGAACAATGATTGATGGTCATCAGACTCATTTATTTTATTTTATTTTATTTTTTAATTGACAAATAATAATTGTACATATCCATGAGGCACATGGTGATGTTTCAATGCATATAATATATAATCATCAGATCAGGGTAATTAGCATATCCATCATCTCAAACAGTTATCATTTCTTTGTGTTGGTAACATTCAATATCCTCCTTCTAGTTATTTGAAACTGTATATTATTGTCAACAATAGTCATCCTACAGGGGTATAGAACACTAGAACTTATTTCTCCTATCTAGCCATAATTTTGTGTCCTTCAACAAATCTCTCCCTATTCCTTGCTTCCCCAGACCTATTTCTGACCAAGAAGACCTAAGAGAAAGTCTCTTTTGTAGCTATTTGTGTTGCTCACGTCTTCTCCAGTATTTGGCTTCTAGATTTCACTCTGTTTATGGTGCCACACAGAGATTTCAAATTTTAATATAGCAAAAAAGTGTATCACTCTTTTCTTTGTTATGTGTCATTTCTGTGCCTTGGTTTAGAAATGCTTCTCTGCCTTGGAGTTCTAAAACAAATCTCTATTTTTCTTCCATAAATGTTAAATTTAGAAAACCTTTTCAAATTCATCTGGAATTTATTTTTTTGTAACTGGAATGAAAGAAAGTTGTTTTTTTCCAAATGGATAGTCAGTCAACCCAGAACCATTTTTTGAATAGTTCATTCTTTCCCCACTGGTTTATATGACCTTCTGCCATATGTGAAATGCACATGCATATGTTGGTCTGTTGTTAATCTCTCTAATCAGTTCATCTGAGCTATTCCTTTACCTCTATTTCTTTGCTCTGATAAGTTGTAGGTTCTCTTGAATTTTCTAAGTAAATAATCATATAGCCTACAAATAATGACAATTTTATTTCTTCCTTTCTGATGATTATATCAATTATTTTTTTGCCATGCCATGTCATGCTGGCTAGGATCTCTGGAACAATGTCATTTAGTTTTATTTTTTTTAATAGAGATGAAGTCTCCCTATATTACCCAGTCTGGTCTTGAACCGATGAGCTCAAGTGATCTTCTCATCTTGACCTTCTGGTACAATGTTAAATAGAAGAAGCTAGAGTAGGCATTCTCGTTTTGTTCCTGACTTGCTTTGTTGCCTTTAGGAGAATGCTTCTAATTCTTGACTATTTTGTATAATTTGGATAGATTCCATCCATCATATTAAGTGAATTCTTTCCATTCTTAACTTGTTTAGGATACTTGTTTTGTTACCATGCAAGACGTTGAATTTTGCCTTTGTGCTTTTTTTGCATCTATTGTGGTGATCATATAGCTTTTCTCCTGTAATGGGCTGTGAATTATATTTGGAGATTTTTCTAATGTTAACCTAATCCTGTATTGCTGAGATAAATCATACATGGCCATCATGTATTTATTTAAGTCTTATGGATTTAGGTTACCAATATTTTATTTAGGATTTTTGCATTTCTAGTCATAAGATAGATTGATTATTAGCCTATAGTAAATTTTTCTTTTAATGTCCTTGTTTTGGTTCCTAGGTTATATCAGTGTCATAAATTGAGGTAGGGAGCTTTCCCTGGAATAATTTGTGTGAAAGAGAACAGTTTGTGGAATATACCTGCAACGTTATTTGGTTCTTCACACTCTGTCTTTAGTGTTAAGGACAGGATGGGCCAAGGAACCTGCTGTATTATCAGTGGAGGCTTGGTCCTCAATCCACAGCTGATCTTCTGTCTTTGGGATCTAGGCTGGGCTATGAGGATCCCATTTTTCACTTTTTTGCAGATGCTCTTGGCCTTGGGCTCCATTGCCCCATCAAGGCCCAATCAAACACAGACTTAAGACCATTTCATTGTTCTGGTTGAAGGATTTTCAAGAAACCAAGTAACTAAAGTGAGAGGTAACCTAAAGAACATACATGGACGTAAGAGATTTTGATGTGTATTTTCTACCAACCCCAGTAGGGAAATTGGAAGCTTCTACCATAGTTATAAGATGTAATTAACCTGCTGAATAAAACCTTGTCTTCATTTTTCCCTGGGTTTCCATTTTGCAGAAAATTTGGGAAAAAAATCCAATTTTCAGAGCCTATTAAAAAAAAAAAACTAAGTCACGTATTCATTTTTTTTTATCTTGGGAAAAAATGTCTCTATCAGAATTCAGGCTCTCACGGGCATAGGCCCTGTTTATTCCTCTTTGAATTCCTAACATCGAGCACAATGTCTGGTGTGGCACAGGTACTTAGTAAGCGACTGTGTGTTTGAGGATGTTTGTTGTCCAAATTACTTACAACATTGATGTCAAAATCAGGCCAGGCAATGAATATCCTATTTTCAAGGGAGAAAACTAATTTTATTTCTGTTTGAAACTGAAAGTTCTTAAACAAACAAGCAAAATGATGAAAAATTAAGGTGATTGAGAACATTGTTAATACATACTATTTTATCACTTACGCAATATGTAAGCTTCTAATATTAAATGCTCTTTGCTTGTATTCACTGCCTGCATTTCTTATCTTGGCCTTTTGGTGTCATTCTGAGATTAATCTGAAAAGCATATTAAGCAAGGGTGAAATTATTTCCCTGGCTTTGGGTCTTTCTTCCGTCTCTGATTTGAAGTGAAGCTTATTGTGCCCGAAGTGAAGTTTATTTTGCCCGCAGTGAAGCTTACATAACTATCTTTTTCAATGTTGTCCTAACTTTGTGCCTTATGTGATTGGGAAACTTTTAAGTGTAGAGAGCACCAGTGGTAGTAAAATAAGCCCTTTTTTATAGGTAGTCTAGAAAGAGCTTTTTCTGAAATACTTTTTATTACCATGTATGAGAAATTTTAGTGAAAGCAAAACCAAGGTTCTTAAGCCATACTGGGATCTGATTTGTTTTCAATGATCTGTGAAATAGAGGTAACCGCTTTCCATGGGGCTGCAGAGATGATGAACCTCCTAATGCTTCGTCTTTCTGTTCTGCACATGGTCTGGTCACCTATGAATAAGTATGAAAATGCTTCGGACTTGAAGCCCATCGCCAATCCCAGTGCCAGACGTGTGTTTGCTCTTCCCGTTCAACTTGCAAAAGATTACGTGTCTCAACAACTTTTCTCTTTTCCATCATTAATTATGTTTTTCCTTCATTCATCATTTTAAGGCATATGCTTAATAAGATAGACTTTTTTATGCTGTAATAAATAAATTCATAAACAAATAAAATATAAATATTGACCTATAGGGTCACAAGTGAGAAGCAAAAGTTATGAACTCATTGTATTTGGCTGTTATTATGTACACTGTGTATATACCCATTACTATATACCCCGGAAGTTCACAGTTCCTCATTCCTGTAGGCTGCATTCATTCTCAGGAAGGGGAGCTGGACTTGTCTCCTGAATCTTTAAACAACAACACAATCTGAGATAATCATTGTATTAACTCTATTGCTCATGGTATGTCTGCCACTTGCTGGGTACTTGAGTGGTTCAACTTCAAATTTTGTGGCTACAAAGACACAGGAGATCCATTTCTCAAAATATTCCATTTTAATTCTGATCCTATCTGAGCAATATAATAAAGTTTTAAAATAAACTTTCTTAGAAAATTATTTTTTTAATGTAAGCCAAATTAAAATTTCATCCTGCAATTGGCTGCTTTCCATGATGTGAGGTCAATGAGTTTAGTTAAGAACTGTGATGGATCTGAGATCTTCCCCATACTTAGAAGCTAATGAGTTGGCCTGCCACATGCCATGGATGCTGGCAGATGGTGTGAGACCATTATATCAGAGACAAAGGCCTCTATTCCTTTCAGCGCAACAGGCAGCATGAGCATTACTGTGTTGGTTCTCCTTGCCCCCCTAGTCCCATGGTCATGGTACAATGGGGCCTAGATTTTGCTTACACAATCAGTGGGTGGGAACTTTGTACTTAGGGAACCCAAGTCTCATATAATGGGCAGTAAGCATGCCTGCTCTTCATTCCAGAGGGAGGTATTATCTCTATGTTCCAAAGCTGTTTTTCTATACAGACATCCTTGACAAGGTAGTCCAGAACAAAGGCTGGTCAGTGACTCATTTGCAAGATGTGTCATTGAACAATAGGGTAGAATATGCTTTCAGAGCTGTCCTGCCCTAAGGGGAGAAAAGCTGAGTATTTGTCCTCCAACTCCCACTCATTCTGGGCTGAGAGCTGCTCCAGGGACATTAACTTTCCAGCACCTCCAGCCTCCCAGTGGTACACTGTAAGGGTGAATTCCATGAGGGAGGAGGTTGGGAGTTGTCTGTGTTTATATAGCAGGTAAAGAGTATCGCGTCTGACTGTGATATGGACCGTGAGTGCGTGGGGACACTGTTGTAACACTGATGCTATCTGCCACACTCCCCAGTTTTAGTCTCCTCCCCTCTGTTGCAGTAAGAGAAGGACATGACATTTGGGAGGGGCCAGGGATGGAATGATATGGTTTGCATTTGTGTCCCTGCCCAACTCCTATGTCAAATTGTAATCCCCAGTGCTGGAGGTGGGGCCTGGTGGGAGGTGATCGGATCGTGGGAGCAGTTTCTCATGGTTTAGCACAATCTTCTAGGTGCTATTCTCGTGATAGTGAGTGCGGGAATTATGAGATCCTGTGGTTTAAAAGTGTGTAGCACCTCTGCCTTCTCTCTCTTCTTCCTCCTTTGGCCATGCAAAGTACCTTGTTTCCCCTGTGGCTTCCACCATTGTTGTAAGTTTCCTGAGGCCTCCCAAGAATCAGAAGCTTCTATGATTCCTGTACAGCCGGCAGAACCATTAGCCAGTTAAACCTCTTTTCTTTATAAATTACCCAGTCTCAGATATTTCTTTATAGCAGTGTGAGAACAAACTAAGATACCCTCCCAATATCACACATATCTTTTTCCCCTTTAAATCCACTGTTGATTTGTTTGGTCTATCAGAAATGCCCATAGACCTTACATAGCCTGGGTGATATTTTCAAATTTTCTTCATGTCATTCCTCTTAACTAGCTCACTGTCCAACTGCATACCTGTAAGAGAGTGGGCAGGGGGAAGGAGCAAAATACCAAATTCAAAGAAGTCAACTTAGCTACTTATTAATATCTGTGAAAATATTAAGAGCAAAAAATGGGAACTAATTGCTCACATTTGTGTTTTAAAATAACTGTGTCTTTTGTTCCCAATCTCCGTGACCTAAGCCTTGGAAAATCAAGAGTTGGTCCTCAATCAGAGTGTGTCAACAATTATTTTAAGAACAAATTGAGGAAATGTAGGCACAAGTCTTTCATCACCTTTTCACCATGGTTAGATGTATTTGCTCCCTCTCTGACAGTCCCTTCACTTTCAAGCTCTCCAACTGCTTTAGAATCCAGGGTGAAAAATGAAACTTAGTTCCTGCTTTTAAGAAAATGAGAGAATGCACATGACATATTGACAGGTACATTTCCTGGGAGCATAAAAGTATTGAGGATTTTGAGGGAAAAAAACATGCAATCTTGGCCAGTGAGAAGTCCACTAATTCAGAATCGGGGATAAATTTAAAATGCTGGTGAAGTGCATTTATATATTAGGGCTTGAAGCGGGGGAAGGGTTTGCCAAGCAAATTAAAAGTATAAACAAGGGAAATATTTAGTCTTCTTAAGGTTGGAGGCCAACAAAGGTTTCTAAACACATGTAAAACCATTTTGTATTTAAATGCTTCTGTGAATCAGGGAGTGTTCTAATTCCTAATGACTTAAAAATATCTATTATTGAAACCCTTAAAAAATTCTCTGAGACATTCTGCTCTCTCCCTTCCTGAGGCCCTGTCATCCTTGTTACCATATGAACTTGAAATTAAGTTGAATTTGTTTCTGTACTTCAGACTTTTCCAAAACTTTCTGCCCAATTAGGGAAAATTAATGAGGTTTACTGCACTTGGTGTTGATAATCCGTCACCAGCAGACAGTCAGACTTTGTTTCTCCCAAGTTAGTGTTTGAAAGCAGAGAGTTGTTTTTTTAACTTTCCCAAAGTTTAAGGAAACACAATTCTAAGAAGATTGTTTTTTTATTATTCCAAGTGTCCACCACCTTCTCTTTTTTAGTTTGCTTTCTTCGTGCTTTCCTGATGGGCTCTGAGTCTTCCACCTATAAACCAAAAATAAAATTTGAAGTCCCCTCAACTGATTGAATGGATATTCTCTTGGCTAAGAGGGCTCCAGAGTAACCTTGAAAACTGAGTTCTCATCCACGAGGGGATGGGAGGTTGGACATGCCTCATTATACCTCTATGATGGTTAATATTGAGTGTCAACTTGATTGGATTAAAGGATGTAAAGTATTGATCCTGGGTGTGTCTGTGAGGGTGTTGCCAAAGGAGACTAATATTTGAGTCAGTGGACTGGGAAAAGCAGACCCAGACCCTCAATCTGGGTGGGCACCATCTAATCAGCTGCCAGCGCAGCCAGGATAAAAGCAGGCAGGAAAACATGGAAGGACAAGACTGGCTGAGTCTTCCTGCCTTCATCTTTCTGCCATGCTGGATGCTTCCTGCCCTTGAACATCTGACTCCAAGTTCTTCAACGTTGGGACCCTTGGACCTTCAATCACAGACTGAAGGCTGCACTGTCGGCTTCCCTACTTTTGAGATTTTGGGACAGACAGGCTTCCTTGCTCCTCAGCTTGCAGACAACTTATTGTGGGACCTCACCTTGTGATCGTGTGAGTCAATACTCCTTAGTAAACTCCCCTTTATGTATACATCTATCCTATTAGTTCTGTCCCTCTAGAGAACTCTGACTAATACAGCCCCCTCCCTCACTCACCAAAATTAGGCTTCCTTCCCTAAGGGCTAAACAGAAACAAGCCCTTTCAAAAGACTCCACCACTGACATCAAGCAGCTGCAATGCTCCTTCCCTTTTGCCTGATAAGAGATCACCAACCATGAAATGATGCTGGATAATCTATAAAGAATGTGCAGTAAGGGTTTGCATGTCCTCTGCTTCATGTTTAGACTTCAAAGGACTGGAAATTCCACCCTCGGATCATGCTAGTACCACCATTTTTTGTACATGGGTCACACGGAGAGGCAGGAAGCTCAATTGCACATGCATGTGTATCTCTTCTCATAAATATTCATGTCTCATCCTGTAGCTTATTGAATATGTATATTTGGTCACCCTGCTCAGAATAAATTCCTGCTCTTTTTGCTCCTCCTTAGAAGTGCCTGCTTCTGGCTTCTGACCACAGGTTCTAAAAAATATGACATTTGAGGAGAGTATTAAGAGGGGAGCCAATTTATACCATATATTGAATGTTTTCTTATATTACCTACACTATCAAAAGATTTGGACCTGGAGTAACAGCAGACATATGGATCGAACAGAATGTTCCAGAAATAGCTAAAAATTCATAGGGAGCCCATTCATTCACAAATAAATTAAAGATAATTCAATAAATTATGTCGATCCAACTTACTACCCATGTGGATTAAAAACCCCACTCTCAATACCAAAACAATTTCAGGTGGACCAAAGAGTTAACCATAAAAAACATTATATTACTAGCAAATAAATAATTATATATACAGTCAGCCCTCCGTGTCTATGGGTTTTGCACATGTGGATTCAACCAACCTTGGATCAAAAATGTCTGGGAAAAAAAAACTGCGTGTGTCTGAACAAGTACAGACATTTTTCTTGTCATTGTTCCCTAAACAATACAGTGTAACAACAATTTACATGGCATTTACATTGTATGAGGTATTATAAATAATGTAGGAATAATTTAAAGTGTACAGGAGGATTGCATAGGTCATATGCAGATACTATGCAATTTTTTCTATCAGGGACTTGGGCATCCACTATTTTGGTGTCTGTGGGAGGTCCTGGACCAAAGCCCTCAAGAATACTGAGGGAAAGACTGTATGTATTTTTGGAAAGGGTGAGAAGTTTGTAAACATGACATAATAATCAGAGGTAAAATAACAGGAAAGATTGGTGATTTTAGTTACTAAAAAGTTGAAAATTTCTGCATGACAAAAAAAATAAGTAAAATCAAAAGGCAAATGGTGAGCCCAAACATTTTCAAATACATTGGACAAAGAGTGAATTTCATTGACATATAAAATATTTACAGATCAATTTAAAATAAAAAAGCAAGCAATCCATAGGGGGAAAAAGGTAAATGGCTAATAAACAAAAAACTCTTCAACCCTTCTCAATATTAAGAAACTCAAATTAAGACAAGATGCCATTTTTTCTAATCCGTCAAGTGGCCAATGACAAAAATGAATTTAAAATTGGCTGGTGATGGTACTTGTATGTCCATCAGCTCAATGAGAGTGTGATAGAACATCCCTTTTGTGGGACAACAGCAAACCATGTGCACTCTCTCAGGAAGCACCCTGAACCCATGTTCAGTCTCTTAGGTAAAGTAGTATCTTGAAAGATGCCAACTGTACCATTCCTCGTGATGAATGGTTGAAACATCCTAAGTGTCCATAGGTGAAAGGAGGAGGAAGGTTGTTTAAAGAAATTACAGCAAACCCCAGATAATGAGGGAGAACTACTTGCCCTGGTGTTGGAGTGACTGCTCAGCTAATGTGGATAAGTGCGGCCCAGTATAGAGAGGCATCTGCAATATAGTCTCTTAGGTGAAAGGATCCAAAAATCTGTCTTTGATGGTTATTAACTGGGATAGAGCTGGGATCTCGGGTAGGGCGGGATGCTTGACTTTATTTCTGTATCAGTCGGATTTCAATTGCAGGTGGCAGAGTTACTTTAGCTGTTTTAACCAGAAATTGATTTAATACAGTTATTTCTTCTATAACATTATATATATATATATATATATATACCTGAAAAACCTTGTGCTCTTCAAAATTATTAACACAGTTATACAGGTTCAGTGCACACCACCAAAACCTACATCACTTTGCACCCACAGTATTGGTAAACATGATGCTTGTAACTTTGGGGACAGTTCGGTAATGGAGGCATGAAATGTGATGACTGGACTTAGCCTCAAGAATGTTAAAAATGAAAAATTAAAAAAAAGCAAAATGCTGTCTTGTGGATTGAGGAAATGCAGATGGAAGCTCTTAGCACAAGAGAAAGAGCAACCAGCCCCTTGCAAGAGCCTTCAAGTTTGGGGGCACCTCTGCTGTAGGTGATCATGTTTAATTTTCCTGGGACAGAACTAGGAAGTATTTTGTAGCCAAGCTGAAGATTCGTCTTTTCCTGCTTCTCTTGCTAAGAAACATGTATGAACCAACACAACACACTTGTCATGTTAAAGGGACATCACCTCCTAACTCCTAATTCTACATGAACTATCTTGGAGCCTTTGAAAGATGCATTGTAGTATAACAAACCGTAGCAGGGATGATGAATGAGGAACCTACACAATCATTGGAAGGCCTGGCTGGCTCCCAGGAAGACTCCAAGAACAAGTCTGGGCACTGGTCCTCTAGAGAAGCCACTACCTTGGGCAGGATTGGGAGCGGGAGGCCACCAGTGGAATTGCTGAGTTAAAATACAAACCATCAATGAATCAGAAAATAAGACCGAGTAATGGATGAATATATGGTGGATACATGATACAGCAAATCTAACACGATGTTAACAATTGTAGAATCTGGGTGATAGATATATGTGTATTCACTATATAATACTGTCAACTATTATGCATGCCCCAAAAGGTTCCTGGTTAAAAAAACAAAACAAAACAAACTAGACTTGTAGCTTCTCTCTGTAGCTGCTGCTGCTCTTACTGCCCCTCAGCAGGCATGAGGCTGGGAACTGGACACTGGGATGGTGATTTGGCCTTGCCAGGGGTCCAGCTGCCCTGGCCATTGGTATGGGAGAGGAACTGCAGGAGATCCCTGCTGCCTTCCAGTTCATGGGATGATGGCCTCCACTTCTGCCCCTGTTTGCTTCTCCTTTCAAATCTTACATGAAGGTATACAGTTTGAAGAAGCCAGTTTGACTCCAATATCTGTGCAATGGAATACTGCTCATTAAAAAGGAATTAAACTATTGATACACACAACATGGGTGAAGATCAAACTGTCTCCTTCCCTTTGATTCAAGGGAATCTGAGAAATGTGGTTCTCAGCTTTCCAGCATCTGCAGTTTGGAAGACATGCAAGAGCATGGCTGGAAGGAATGCCAACCGCCGGTTCTCTACACCTACCATAATCTTATATTCTTTTTGGACAGTTTTCTTTTTTCTTTTTTATGATTCTTATAAATAGAGTATAATTTACACACATTAAGGCTCAAAGTTTTATAAGTTTTGATAAACGTATATACCTGCACAATCACCATACCAGTCAGGGCATAGAGCATTTCCATGACCTCAGAAACCCCCTTGTGCCACCCTTAGCAGCAAGCATTGTTCTGTTTTCCAGCCTTACAACTTAGCTTTGCTTGCTCTCCAGCCCAGAGAAATGAAAACGAAAAAGTTCCACTAAAAAAAACATGTATAAGGATGTTAATACCAGCATTTTTCATAATAGTTTCAAAGTGGAAATAATCTAAGTGTTTATCAGTAGGAGAATCAATAATTACACTCTGGTATGTCTGTGTAGTGGAATACTGCTCATTTGAAAGGAATTAAGCTATTCATACACACAACATGGGTGAAGATCAGATACAATGTAAATTCATTTTATAATTAGTAAAAGAAGTTTTAGTACATTTTAATTCTGGGATAGCCTTCACTTTTGCTTTATGCATTTCTTTAATGGTTAAGTTATAATAATTACATACTAATTTAAAAAGTTTAAATGCAAAATGCAGTAATCATTGTGATTAAATGTTAGTAGGCAATTTAGTAATATTATGACAATATTATACAATTAATGTTTTAATTATATCTATATTTAAAACTTAAATATAAATTATTTAAATATAAAAGATACATTATATTTTAAATAGGTAAAATCATAGATATATTATTTATTTTGAAGTAAAAGTGATCAGAATATGTCACCCCAAAATATGCTGCTTTGGCATATTGATTATTTTGAGCTGAAGGCAATTAAGAAAAGCAGATATGGGAAGGGCTATCTGCCCCCTACTTTTCTCCCTAAAAGGAGGGCATAAATTTCCTATGAGAAAGGTATTCTGGTACCAGGAAGAAGATAACATTTGTATCATCAGAGATGGCGAGATGATACCAAGATGAGTCTGTACAAATAAACCTTCCTAAAATAACCCTTTTGTTTCATTGGTTACCCCAGTATATTTTCTAGTCCTTTTCCCACAATTTATTGTCCCAAACCTCTTTATCGTGTCACTTCTCCACAAATTTATCACTGTTTGTTAAAATGGTATATAAGCCCTCAATTCTACCTGTTCCTTTCAGGTTTTCACTTCTTCTCTACGAAGTCCCCTGTGTCATGTAAAAAAATTAACATCAAATATAATCTGTATGCGTTTCTCCTGCTAATCTGGCTTTCGTTAGTTGAACTTGCAAACCTCTGCTGCAGAACCTAAGAGGGTTGAGGAAAAGTTTTGCCTCTCCTACAGAAGCAAAGAAAGAATTAGAGTTGGTTCAAATCTCCAAGTCACTAATAGTCCTTTTAGGTGACTTTGAGGAGTAGAGCCATATTCAGAGTCAGCAACTCAGCCACCAAAAACACTCAAATTTCATTTTCAGAATAAATATAAATTATGATTTGATTCTACTTTATAACTATGTCAGCTGGGATGCATTTGGAGTAATAGAAAATTTGTTGACAGTGGCTTAAGCCGTAAGAACACTTACTGATGTTACAAAAATCATGGAAGTGGTCTCAGGGTAGGCTTGAGGGGTTACAAGGACACCAAGCTTCTAAAGTTTTTCTTCTTCATTCCGATATCCTTAGAGTATGAGCAATGCCTACTGCCTTCCACTCATGCACACAAGACAGCTGCCCCTGCTCCAACCATTATGTCCTCACATGATAGTGTTACAGATAGCAGGAGGAGCTGCCACAAAAGGGCTTTCTCTTCCACAGGTCTTCTCGGTCAGGGAGGAAAGTCTTTCCCAGAAGTAAAGAACAGGCTTTTTTTCATCTCTTTGGTCAGAAGAGAGTCACATAGCAATCACTAAACCAGTCACTGGCTAAGACAATTGGGGTTTTCATGATTTTCCTAGAACAAATAATTCAGCCAGGATGACATGTTACTGCCTGAACAAAATTAGTGTTCTGTAGGCCAGGAAGTGGCTACCCTGAGATATTTCCAAAGTCTATATAGATCAGAAACGAGTTATATCAGTAATATTCTGCCTCATCAGTGCTTAAAGTGTGAGCCTTTAATCCTGAGGAAATAGACCAGAGAGAAAGATGAATTCTGGCTTTAAATCCCACATGCTCTGTGCGCTTGAGCAAGTAACTTTACTTTTCTGAAAGTCAGTTTTCTTATCTATAAAATGGGAATAATAATAATCTCTGACATGTAGGATCTGGGGAGGAATACTAGAAATAATACATACGGAGCACCTGGCACAGTGTCTGGTACGTAGCAAGGGGCTTACAAAATGGTACATATGATTACTCTCGAAAAGCGCAGACAGGCTTAAACCACGGCTTATGTCATTGAGTCACATTGCACATTTCTTTGTTGTTCCCTTTAAGAACTTAGAGAAGTATGATTTTGAAATGCCTACTTTCTAAGAGGGGTAGATGAGATTCAGGTAAGGCATTTAGAGTGTTCAGCATACTTCTAGCCAATAGTTGGTGCTCAGTGAATTCTTAGATCCCAGTTGGAAATGATGTGAGTTCTTTTCCTGACATTCACCTGAGCTTGAAAACAATGCTGAGAAATTCTCCTCTCCCTACTGCTGAACCCAGCTCACTCTGCCCTTAACTCCTATTTGCTGCTCTGTGTCTTCAGAGAATTGTCCAGGTCTGACCTCGATAAACGGGGTCTATGAGGGGAAGAGTAAACCAGGGGGACAGCAAGCAGTGAATTAACCCTGACATCCCCTAAAGCCCCAAGATGTTTGCTTCGTAAGATTTTGAGCCTTGCTTTTGGCTTTTCCTTTTTTTGAATAATTTGGTCTCTGATGTTTCTAAGCAGGCAAATCCTCAGACCATAATGTACAAGGACTCTGGCTTTTATGGTCTCATGCTGTGTGTTTCATCCATTAGGAAAGAAGGGGCGCACCCAGCTTCTCAATGTACTGAATGCTTACATCCATGCTGTCACTTTTGAGCCCACACAAGAAAGGTGGGTTTCATTTATCCCCTTTCTATAAATGAGCAAAATAAAGGTCACAGGCACTAGATAACTTCCAATGTTACCTATGTAGTACTTTGTTAGGATTTGGAATTAGAAGTCTCATCCAAGGGTCCCTAGTTTACTCAGGAAACAGAAGTTTGACTAACATGCACCAGGAATGTCTTTCCTTTTTTTTTTTTTTTCAAGTTTCTGTAAATTCAGAATTTATCTTTATTATATACATAACTAAAGAATTGAAATAAACTCCATGGCATCACAGCATTATCCAGGTTCCCAATTCGTGGGCAAAAAATTATCCTCATGTCTTTCTTTTTAACAGTAGAAACAATCATTTGTACGGCATAGAGACCTACCCAATTTTAGGAACTTCTGAAACCTTGAAAGTTCAAAGCCAAAGGTTGATCCACACCACCTCTGTGAATTAGTGAATATTTATTTTCGTAATTTATAAATGGCAGAGAGATTGAGTCATGGTTGCTTTGTTTTGTTTTCACTTCCAATATAATCCTCTAAGGTATTGAAGGTAGCTTCCCCAAGCCCTGAGCTACGTATTGAGTTATTTTTGGTTTCCTTGGAGGTTTAAAAGTGGAGGAGCAAGACCTTGGGATGGGGGGTGGGATGGACTGAGGAAACAGATGGGATAAGGGACTCTGGAGTTTGGGGTTTAACTCAGGACCCCCTTCTTGGAGGGGTGCCATAGTTAGCCTTTAGCACAGATGGGTTGGGGGAGGCCATGGGCCTGGAGGACCACATTGTGAGAGGTCCTGTGAGGCCCAGGGCCTGAGCTGATGCAGATGACTCCCCAGGGCAGCCTGCTCCCTGACTGATAAATGCTCTAAGCAATTGGTGGGGGTATTGGGCATTGTCTGCCAGCTCTAACTCTACCTAAAAACAGTGATCTCTCTCTTAGAGCACAGGCCTTGGATGATGGAGCAAGTGCGTTTGGACATGGAACTGAGAAGCCTCTTGGCAAGGAGGAGTATGTGTTTGCCCGGGGTTCTCAAGAGCAGATTTGAAGGCAGATCGTGTGATCTGTTCATACAGTGGAGTATGCAGGGTGACTTGATGGTAAAAGGGAGGGAAACAATCACAAGGGAGGCCAGGAAACGAAAAAGGAGCCTGGGACTAGAGCCCCTCACCTTCTCCAGGGTGCACCTACATCGCTTGGCCCCGGCTCCCTCCACGCAGAAAGCTCAGCCTGGCCCAGTGGAGCCAGTGGTGGGGCGTCAGTGACAATCCAGCCCTGCCACTACCAGTGCCAAGCCCCTGGGCATGGATGGGACCGTGTATTCTGTGCACAGGAAGGGCTGGTGTGTGGTGCTGGCATTATTGCTTCCATCCTTGTTATTGCCTGGAGCCCTCCTTAGCCTACTGCGCTACTTCACCTCTTCCTGGCAATATGGTGCCAAATCCTGCTGATGTTTCCTCTGCAACATCTGCTATTACTACCCAAGTTCAGGGGCCCTTGCTTACTCTTACCCAAAGGACACCAGATTCCTTCACTTGGCATTCCAGTGCCTCAAGTCTCTGGCCTGGACCAGCCTCCCTTTTGCCTCCTGTCTTGGTAGAGCCTCCTCTTGACCCCCTTCCAGTTGTACTAAAGTCCCTGAATTTCCTAGAGGCTGCAGGCTGTTTCCAGCTTCTTTCTCTTTGCTTGTGTGGCAAAGGATCCACCTAGAACTGCACCCCACCCCTGCCCCTTAGCTTCAATCTTAGTCCACAGCTCGCTTCCTTCAGAAAACCCTTTTCTGAGTCTCTGCCATATAGAGCTGGTCCCTCTCTCTTTATAGCCTCTGTGGAGTCTTGTATGCTGATAGCACCATCCCTCAAACCATTTACTTCAAGTACTTGTGCATCTGTCTGCTGCAGCTGAATATGCACCCTGGAGCTGTGTTTTATTCACTTTTGAATCCCCGGGGCCCTGGCTCAGGGCCTCGCACACAGCAGGCTCCCAAGGCTCATTCAACAGATGCAGAAACCACCTCGAATATGACCTTCGCCTCCTGCTGTGTCCCTGTTATGTCACCTGCCAGGGAGTTCATGCTGCCACCTCCAGGTGGGGTATTTGGGATTGCACTCCTCTCTTTCTCTCTAGACTTTAACTGATGGAACATGAACCCCAGCAGCAGCTGCATTCAGCCCTATGTGGTACTAGCCGGTTTCCAGTGTCCCCCTCTTTATTGAAGACACGTGGCCCACAGGCTAGCCCACACCTGGATGTGCTGGCAACTAAGTAGGCAGTCTCAGCACCCCCGACTGGGGGGCCTATGCAGGTAGCTTTTCTAGGTGGTGTCAGAGTCTACTAGAGAGTCTGGCCCTTCTCCCAACCTCTGAGACAGCCCTGGGAAAGGGCAGGAAAATGCCACACACAGAGCCCGGACACAGTGACTACACCTAAGTAAGTGCTCCTGGACTGTGGGCAAAGCATAGTCAGTCATCCCGAGTGATCATCCAGAATTAGGGACCTGATCAGTTTCTCCTCTTGCTTAAAGCCTGGGAGCTTCCCCTTTTGGAGGGCGTGGGGCTTGCAGAGAGGAAGTCACCTTTGTCTGAAGAGAAGATGTCCCTTAATTGTGGTGCATATGGCCCCAGGTGCAACATGGTTAGGGGAGGGCACGCAGCCTGGGTTACTGCCTGCTCCATAGGGCAGCGTAACCAGCACAGCCCCGCCATCTGCATGATGCAGAGACAGGCAACAGGATTCTGGAGCCCCTCCTAATCTAGCCCTCTCCTCCTTCCTGCAGCCTGGCTTCTCTGCCTGCTTGACAGGGCAGCCTAACTTGCACAGCCCTGCCGGCTGCATGATGCAGGGACAGGCAACAGGATTCTGGAGCCCCTCCTAACCTTCCCCTCTCCTCCCTCCTGCAGCCTGGATTCTCTGCTTCTGCTGTATCCTCTATTTTCCCTCATCACACTGCACTTAAAATGTCTATGTGTCCATTTCCAAACTAGACTCTTTTAGTTTTTTTATTAAAAAATATCAGGGCATTTGTGCCTTGTAAGATATGCTTTGGGCCTTATTCTGATGGCTTATTTAATCTTCACGATAACCCAAAGATGTAGGGACCACTACTGTCCCCATTGTATATTTGAGGGTAAGAGTTACTTTATTCCCTCTGTTGTCCTCAGAACCCAGGACAATGTTTGACACAGAACAAGCTCTGGGGACACAGAGATGAATGAATGAGTGAATGCAGGGATGAACTGTGTGCCCTGGGGAAGGGGATACTCTGTGGACACCCAGCCCAAGGAACCAGAGCCTTCTCTCCAGCCTTTGCTACTTTCTTTGTTCTTGTCATCAGTTCTCTGCCTCTTACCTTTATTTCTCCCAGTCCTTCCTCTACCACCTCAAAGACACAGATTTAAGCCAGCTGATGTACAGTATCCATTAAAAAACAGTCTCTTAATTTGCTAAAATTACATTTTCTGTTGGTTTTCTGAGGTTTGGGGAAAGAACCAGATGGGTGTTATCGTATGTTTGGAAAGTGCCCTTTGAGAACAGAGACAGTTAATGACTGTTTCCACATGAGTCCAATAGACAGTGCTAAGTATCCTCCGGGCACAGGGACAATATTAATTGATGTTGATTTTCTTATTCATGATTTAAATATGCTAAACAGCCCCTGAGCAGACTCCAAAGTGTTAATATGTTACCCAAAATATGACTTACCCATGGAGTCCTTTACTCATTGAGGGTTCAGTGGCTCTCTTTGTGCTGCCTGTTCATTTGGTAAATTTGATGAATTTACACAGGAAGACATAGACTAAGATTTGGTTATAAAGTGGTAGAAAATACTGCTTATTTCAAGAAAAAGTCAACTTGGATACTAAGATGCTTTTGTGTAACAGATATGTATGAGTCCGCATGGATTTGAACATTTAATGACCTCTTTTTCCAAATATTAAAATTTATTTAAAACTTGAAATATTCAAAGCTTAATTGTTCTTATTTTTCCGCTTCCAGAGCACCTCTGCATAAATGTAAAATACTATATTGTTCTATATTTTTGGTGCTTAAATTACTGGGAAATAATTTTCTTTCAAAACCAAATCACAGACCCTTACTGTTATTCATTTTAAAATAGAAAACATTTTAGAGATATTAGTGTCTTACATTCTTGAGAGCTTCCAGAATATATTAGGCAGATGAGTATTTAAAATAGCATATGTTAGATTTCACTTGTCACCACTTCTATAGCCCACGATCCCGAGTCTATCTTTGTGGGTTTCCAACAAACCATCCACTAGTGCCAAGGATGGTTTTCCTTGACTCATTTTGCTGGGAAGTTTTCAGGTGATTAACACCAAATGCTGCTCAAGTTTGGGTTATGTGTGGCTTGTGATCAAGGGAGGAAGCACAGCAAAGGGATTTGGATGCTGTTCCTTAGAGGATGACGACATTCCACAGTGAAAAAGGACAGAATACAGGCCCAACATCTATCTCTTGAACCGAGGTTTGAAATTTGGAGGTTTTCCGATTTTGGAAGGTCCTATGATACCCGCATCACACACGCTGTAACAGCCCTGACAGGGTTTGCAACATCGCTCCACAATCAAAATTGTTACTATTTCTATAGTCAAAAGTATCAGTAGTCCCATTAGTGGGATAAGGACTATTAATAGTTATATGTCTCTTCAGGACAGGATTTGTCCCCAGATGAATTAGCACAAAAATTTCAGTTTCCAGAAATTTTTGGATCTTGACGTTGTCATAAGGGATTGTGGATGTAAACAATGAAAGTCCAAAATGTTTGTGTTACCAACAGAAACTGCAAAAGTGAGTCTCATTAAATAACCACAGCATGTCTGATAAAATGCCACATGATAAATTTTATACTTTTAGGCACTACTGGTCAAAGTATTTGGGATCTTTTCCAGAATTAACAGTCAAGGTCCATTTGTTGTCTTGGAATATGTACTTAATTATATTAAATTTTAATTTTTGTTTGAGTAATGTTATACTGGTAAAGATTTTTAAAATTGATACTCAGAGCCCATCTTTTCATGTTTTTGTTCAGACCTTATATGTATGCATAATTTATTCAGAGTAGACATCTTTTTTCTTTTTTAATTTAAAATTATAACGTGTTTTTCTATGTATTTTACTTTCTTTATAACTATTTTAAACAAGCTCTTCTGAAGCAAGATTTAACACAGTACTCTACTGCTATCTTGGAAGGAGGAGGCAAAAATACAAAAACAATAGAAATTAGTTATCCTGTCACGTGGGTTAAATGCAGCTGTTAATAAAATAGGCAAAGTAGTTGTCAAGAGTTAATCAGATACACTTCTGCAAGGATGACTAGTTTTATAAAATAAAATAATGGCATCAAAATGAATACCAGTTGAGTAATGTATTACTTTAAAATAACTGTGGGATCTTAAGTCATTTTATAAACACACTAGACCCATCAGACTCAATTTTTTTTTTCAATTTCAAGTATTCTTTATTCAAAGTTGAAAAATATACCATACTGCATTATTGCAAAAATTCACTGGTACAAAACACTTTGCAGCTGGTGAGAAGGCAATAAAAAGTTGAGTTTTAAACTCATTGCTATAAATTATTCTTATAGTACTTTGCAAATTCAGAATTTCAAACGGCATTTTCTTTTTCTAAATTGCCCACAGTACTCGAGGTTCCTGAAGCTAAGCTGACGGAAGAGGGAAAGTGTGTGATAAATACATGTGCAGCTTTCTGTTCAACTTGAACAATGATTTTGTGGTGGATGCAACCTGCAAGGGTAACAAAATTCGTTTTGCAAATCATTCGGTAAATCCAAACTGCTATGCAAAAGTTATGATGGTTAATGGTGATCACAGGATAGGTGTTTTTGTCAGGAGAGCCATCCAGACTTGCGAAGAACTGTTTTTTGATTACAGATACAGCCAGGCTGATGCCCTGAAGTATGTTGGCATTGAAAGAGAAATGGAAATCCCTTGACATTTGCTATCTCCTCCTCCTCCTCCTCTCTGAAACAGCTGCCTCAGCTTCAGGCTCAACTTCTACTTAAAGAAGTTTTGAGTTTTTTCAGTTGTCGTGGACTCCCAGGTGGAAAGTCATAACCTTAGTATGCCCAGATGAACCAGGTGTTTAACTGCAGCGGGAACCTAAGCGCTCGCTCTGACCGAGGATCAGGGAATGATTTAGGAACAGATACCCCATGATGGGATCCAGGATCCAATCAGATTGAACTTGCCTGTCACCCTATGCTGATAAAACCCAACCCAAACCCCAGGTCAGGGAGATGGATTCAAAAAAAGGTTTCCTTTTCTCAAAGGCTGGTGCCATAATATTGGCCAGTGTCCACACTGGGCAGTGAGCCGACTGATTACTTGATAACGATTTAACCCCGCAAGGCCTTAATTTTCTCGTTTTTGAAATGAGAAATTTTATGAAATTTCTAAACCACTGATGATTTGTTAAGCAGTTAAAAAAATTTCCTTGTTAAATAAGTAGTCTTGCTGGTGACATTGAACATTGTTTGCCTGCAGAAATATAGCGTCATAAGGATTTGTTGATTATGTTATTATGTATAATTAGAAAAGTAATTTCCAGTGATACAATTTCTATTAGAGTTGAGCAAATGAGTTTGTATTTTGGAGACTTGGAGTCCGTGTTCATTTGTCCACATAGTTTCCAGGTGGTTTTGTTGTTGTCAGCTACTGAATTGGTGGTCAAAGAAAAGAAGCAACAAAATGACAGAGTCCTGTTGCCTGTCCCTGCATCATGCAGATGGCGGGCTGTGCAGGTTAGGCTGCCCTGTGGAGCAGGCACAGAAGCCAGGCTGCAAGGAGGGAGGAGAGGGCTAGATTAGGAGGGACTCCAGAATCCTGTTGCCTGTCTCTGCATCATGCAGAGGCTGTGCTGGTTAGGCTGAGGCAGGAATCCAGGCTGTGTGCCCTCCCCTAACCATGTTGCACCTGGGGCCATATGCACCACAATTAAGGGATATCTTTTCTTCAGACAAAGGTGACTTCCTCTCTACAAGCCCCACACCTTCCAAGAAGGGAACCTCCCGGGCTTCAAGCAAGAGGAGAAACTGATCAGGTCCCTATTTCTGGATGTTCACTCAGGATGACTGACTGTGCTTTGCCCACAGTCCCGGAGCACTCACTTAGGTGTAGTCACTGTGTCCGGGCTCTGTGTGTGGCATTTTCCTGCCCTTTCCCAGGGCTGTCTCATTCAGAAAGTGGTACGATAGTGTAAAGAAGCAATCGGGGACTGAAGTGAAAGCTTGGCCTGGGACAAACTGGGGGCTGAAGGGAAGGCTTGGCCCGGAACCTTGGCCTGGGACCAATCAGGGGCTGATTGCACCCAATGGGAATGGAAGTTGTCACTGCAGTCTGTGGACTCTGTCCAGAACTGGTAGTTTGAGGGCTTCAGACTGTCCTTGGCTTGAAGGTCGAGTTTCACCAGGGACCCATCCCTGTCTGCCTAAGAATTTGTTGGCTTCCTATTGCTATCAGTGTGAGGAAACCTGAGCTATTGCTCCCATTCTGCCATTGACTATCCTTGAAATCTTAAGTCATGTGACTGCGTTGCATAAGAGAATTCCAAATTCTTATATAAAATGAAGCTGGTAGGCTACATAACCCCCAAGGCACTTTCTATAACTCTCACATTCTAAGATTCTGATGAATATCTTGAATTTTTTTTTGAAACAGGGTCTTGCTCTGTTGCCCAGGCTCAAGTGCAGTGGCAAGATCATGGTTCACTGCAGCCTCCACCTCCTGGGCTCAAGCAATCCTCCCGCCTCCGCCTCCCAAGTAGCTGGGACTACGGGTATGCGACCCCATGCCAGGCTATTTTTTTTTTTAATTGTAGAGACAAGATCTCATTGTATCGCTCAGGCTGGACTTGAACTCCTGGGGTCAAGTGATCCTCCTGCCTTGGCCTCCTAGTGTTGAAATTACAGGCATGAGCCCCTGCACTTGGCCTGAAAATTTTTCAAGAGAGTGTGAGGTGATTGCAGTTTACATATGTTTATTGATGTCTGGATAGCCCCCTCTCTCTATCCATGGTTTTGTCTTATTCTGCAGACTGCATTGCCCTGCAGGCATTACCCATCGCACACCCACCTCATTCCAGATATTTATCTGTACTGATGTCACTGCCAATGGTATTAGACACCTTATTTTTGTATAAGAGGTTCAGAACTACTTTTAAATGTAAAACTTAATTTCAACCGGATAGCCAGTAGAACATGCAGCAGAAATTGTCTTAGTGCAATAAAAAAGGATTCAGGAAACTACCAAGTTTTCATTTTGTAAAGAACGACACACTCAGTGACATATAGAATGAGTAAAGAATGTTAATGGAAATAATTAGGCAAATTTTTATTTTCTCTGCAAAAATCAGGATTTCTTCTGGAAATTCAAGAGCAGCAGCAGCAGCATCCTTGAAGCTGAACAATATTCCCCAAAAGCCTTTGTTTGCCCTAATATTCCATAATGTTATGCTTTTACAGTCAATAAGCCATTAGTAATCAAGAGATGTATAATTTATTAATTACACTTCACATTAATATTTAATCTTTTTGGTTGCTGAGTATATTTCTAAATCTACTTTTTAATTACATTTTAGTGATATAAATCTTCCAGGCAACCATTAGAAAAGTATTTTTTTCTGCACATTATGATGCCAATTACTTTTAAGCAGCTGGTTGTGAACTCTTGTGATGATACTTGGTACAGTGGCAATCTTGGTGTGTAGGTGCTCCTCACTCATCTGAAAGCTAATTGAATAGTAGTGAGAAAGGAATGTTATAAAGAATTTAAAGACATACAGTAGAGAGGGAGAAAAAGCAAGAAACAACTTATATCAGAAAGAATGTCATCCATAGCAGGCCTATTACCATCTCCAATTGGCCAGGCAAAACCAATTGGCTAATGGTGAACTTTTTCTGGGTGTTGGCTCTGATATTTACAGTTAACAGAACTGAAATAAGCAGTGCTTCTCTGTTATGACTCTTGTCCAAGTAATGGCATTTTTAAAAAGGCCATAAACGAACTCCATCCCCCTTTTTTCCCCCAGTAGCGGTGTCAAATGCTGGTGATGTTGATTTTGTCTTTCTGCCTTCTTGAAACCTGATTGGCTAACTTACTAACACTGCTTGGCTGATTTTATTTTTTTTTGAATCAGATTCCCAAGCTTTTGAAAACTTTCGTGCCAGATATTTTATTCATTTATGTCTCTCTTGCATCTTTGGTGCTTTACATTTTTTAATTGCCTTTATGCTAGGACATATTTTGAAAGTGACACCTAAATTTTCCCATATAGTCGAGCTTTAGTGGTGGTGTTAGTGGTTTCAGCAGGAGGTAGACTGAGGCATTGAATTATATTTGGGGAAAGTATCTGCTTGTTTATAAAAGGATATCATAGCTGAAAATTCTGCGTTTCCAAAACCATCTCCCTCATGGATTTTCTGTTGGGTCTGAGATTTTTTTAACCATAAATATTACTTCTTGAGATTTGACAATATAAGGAGCTGTTGTTTTGAAAAGACTATTGCTAAATGCTTGCTGGTCACCTAGACAAAGCAGGTGCATACTTACCCGCTTCTCCTCTTAACTTACTTGCATGGGCTCATTGTCTAGTTTAGCCCGTGCAGCCCTCTGATCTTCTGTTCTCCTAAATTCTCACTTGTGCAGTTCTTAAAAAAAAATGTTTATTTGGAAGCTTGATTATTTTCTGCATATTCTTCAAAATATGAAATACATATATGAGAATGTAGAAAACTCAATTATACCAAATACACAATATAAATATACCAAAAACTATTTTTTTTTATTTTAAAGTGTTCTCTATCCTTACTAGCTTGTAGACCTTATGAATCAAGGGCAATCTCATGTTCATTGCTGGATCCTCTCGGCTGTGGCACAATGCTTTATTCACAGAATAGAGCATCTTTGGAAATTTCCTTTTAAAAGGAATTTTGGGGGGAGATAAGACACGGTTACCTCTCAAAGAATATATAAAGTAAATTGAAATTGAGGATGACCTTTCTTTATCTTCATATAAGGTTTAGGGCCTAGACTGGTTTTTTTGTTTGTTTGTTTTAGGTCTTGTTTTCTTCTCATGAGAATGGCATACACATCTTACCTTTTTCTTTTTTTGAAATTAACTATTGAGGGAAAAAATTTTGGTTGAAACTGGAACTTATAATTCCTTTCAGAGTCTGGAATGCATGATATTCCAAATATCCTGGGAACTCTTCTCTTCTACAAAAGTCAATTTCTTTTTTTTAAATTTTATTTTCTTTTAGGGTCTGGGATACATGTGCAAACGTGCAGGTTTGTTACATAGGTAAACGTGTGCCATGGTGGTTTGCTGCTCTTATCAACCCATCACCTAGGTATTAAGCCCGGCATGCATTAGCTATTTATCCTGATGCTTTCTCTCCTCCCACCCACCAACAGGCCCCAGTGTGTGTTGTTTCCCTCCCTGTGTTCTCATTGTTCAGCTCCCACTTATGAGTGAGAAAACGCGGTGTTCGGTTTTCTGTTCCTGTGTTAGTTTGCTGAGGATGATGGCTTTCAGTTCCATGGGACATGATCTTGTTCCTTTTCATGGCTGCATAGTATTCCGTGGTATGTATGTACCACATTTTCTACCAACAATAGACAAGCAGAGAGCCAAAATCATGAATGAACTTCCATTCACAATTGTTACAAAGAGAATTTCTTTTTTTAATAACCAAAAAGCAATAGTCTAAACATAGCTTTGATAAGCCCAAATAGCTTGTTTACATTTGCCAAATTCCGCTTTTTAATGTGCGTGGGTAATCCATGAATCAACTGGTTTACTTAATAATCTACTTGTCAACAACACTAGAACCACAGTATGTGTAACAGTATTCGAGAGTGATTGTGTTTAGTATACATGAGCGGTTGTATTTAAAAAGAGCTTGCCTTCTAATTAGTGTGGTAGCCCCTACAAAATAGTCCTTTTGGCTTTTAAGAATGTTTAATATAGAGCATACGTTGATAGTTATTGATATAGATCTCATTCCTATGGCATTTACTCATTTCAGCCAGGCAATTGGGTCATTGAAAGGAGAGATGCAGGGTGCTAGACTGAAGTCCTGTCATAGGGGTTGGGTTCTGAGCTGTACTCAGGGGAAGATTAAAATTGGGACAGAAAAATGAGAGAAAGGAGGCAGAAAAGTTTTTTAAAAGTGGTCATGAGTTGGGCGTGGTGGCTAATGACTGTAATCCCAGTGTTTTGGGAAGCCCAGGTGGGCGGATCACCTGAGGTCAGGAGTTTGAGACCAGCCTGGCCAACATGGTGAAATCCCATCTCTACTAAAAATACGAAAATTAGCCGTGTGTGGTGGCACATGCCTGTAATCCCAGCTACTAGGGAGGCTGAGGTAGGAGAATCACCTGAACCCAGGAGGCGGAGGTAGCAGTGAGCTGAGATCATGCCACTGCACTCCAGACTGGGTGACAGAGTGACACCCTCCCTCAAAAAAAGGAAAAAAAAAAAAGAGAGAAAAAAGTGGTCATGGTCCCTGTGACACAAGAGGGTAAAAAGAAAGGTATAAATACACATGATAAATATAAAGAAAAAAATTAAGCAGCATTTTGATAATTGCTCTAAGCAGGGACAATTCTCACCTCATGAGTGTATCTTAGGAGATAGAGGCAACTTTAAAAATCACATATTTGAGAATGATGCCTTTAGGCAGAGAAAGGGCTGCATTTTCATCCACCTCCGGTGAGGTTGGGAGGAGCAGTTAGACCTCCTCCTCTTGTCCAGTGACAACTAAGCTACAAACCTAAGCAGCCATTAGAATGTATTGTGCTATTTCATTTTAGAAAGTAAAAATAGAAAAAAAAAACAAACCCATAGCATTGGAAATGGCCTGTTCTGTCGTGGGGGTGTTCCATGTCTGTGGACAGATTTCTTTGTTATTCATGCTCTTTCCTATAACAGAATGCACAAAACAATAAATGACCCTGGCTCAGTTTCCATTCTATTTCTACCACAGTTATTCCCCACAGAGTGTCTACTATCGATTTGCTTTCTCTCTGGAAGACAGTTTTTCTCCCTCTCTCTTCTTTCTTCCTTTCTCTCTCATGTCTGTTTCCCTTTGTCATCTTTTCCCAAATCATAGGGATTCTTGTGTTCTTTCCTACCTGCTTTTTGTTCTGTTTCTTCAGTGAAGCCGTTACCCAAGTAAGAACAGACTCATCATTAACAGACAAGGAATCCTGGAGGTCAGGTATTTACAATCGAACCACACAGGTGAGAGTGAGGTGTTTTCCCTGAAAGGACTTTTCCTTAGCAGTGATATTTATGTGGAACCGTCACACCCTCCCCTGCATTTTCAGTGTCTCTAGTCTAGATTTCCTCATTGGCTGTTTGAGGTTAAGAATGCATATGGATTTAACTCAATACATTCTAAGAAAAGTTTGAGTGCTCCTAGAAAGGGGAAGGGGAGTTAGCTAAAGATCTTAAGGGTTAATGTTACCAAAGGCTGCGTTCCCTGCATTCATGCAGTGACTCATTCCGAGGATAGGCTTGCAGAAAGAATAACAATGATAGAACAAAAACAGTGGTAACAGCTATTATATATCATAGTGAAAGCCTACTTGATGCCAAACACTTTACAAACATTATCTCTAATGATTACAACTGTACTACTGGTGAGTGTTATTATCTCAGTTTGGAAATAAAAATCTTGGCTCAGAGAGGTTCAATAACAGTCCCTGGATTACCCAGGTAGGAAGTGGTTTAGTTTGGAATTATATGCAAGCTCTTCTTGACCAAAGTACTCTTTGCTTTGCATTTTACTATTCTGGGAGGATTTTGGAGGGGGATTTGCTTCAGGGAGCCCTTGCAGAGAATGGAAGGAGCCATTCTGCCATTTGGATGACCATAGATATTGAAGGACACATCTATTATTAACACTGGATCTTTGTAAAGTTAGGTTTGTATCCTGCAATCCCAAATCATAAGATCTTTATCATTTTCTGTTTTTTTTTTTTACAAAGAACTTTGAAACCAAATGTTTCTGGGCAAAGGACAATAGAAATGGTAGTATAGTGGTTAGAGCATGGACTCTGAAGGCAAGCCAGCTCAGTTCTTCATTCCAGCTCTGCAGCTACTGGTGGTGTTACCAGGGCAAGTTGCTTACCAATTCTGTGCGTCAGTTTCCTCTTTGTATAATAAGCATTAGAACAGTACTTATTTCCAGGTTATTGAGAGAATACAGTAAGTTAATATATGCAAAGCTCTTAGACAGTGTACATCATGCACATAGAAAGTGCAGTATTAGCTATTATTTTATGTTATTTTTATTTATAGCAATTGACATTTAAAAATACATAAGAGTAGAATAAAATTATGATTGGGGACTTCAATACAATAGAAATCAAACAACTTTCATGATGATTCAAAAAGATATTCTGTTTTTTATGCATCAGATATAGTTGATCAAATTAAAATGAAGTTAGGAACTCAGTGTAAATTGATTTACTGTGCAGTAAAGTTGTTGTTGTAGAATCTGTTACTTAAACAAGGCCCCAGATTGGAGCTTTGCGAAGTGGGGTGAGGAATGACCTAAGAGGCAGCACAGTAAACAACTGTAGAAACCATAGATCCAAGAGTTGTAGAACCCGGATAAAATGTAAATTTCAAAGGAGAGGCAACTCTCCTATTGTTAACTTCTCTTTAGATTGCTTTGAGCTAATGCTTAGTGTTAATGCCTGGCAAATTCCAAACAGGGAAAAACATAGGGACTTATCTTTCATATTATATATGATTAAAATTAAACTTGATTTGTCCATTAAGCAGTGCAGTAACAGGTTTTCTGACTTTTCATAAGGCATTAGAGAAATGATGCATATCAAGAAGACGTTCTTTTTCAAAAGGACACTAATCAATGCTGAGAACATTTGCTATAAATTATTCACATTTGTTATAAACTATTCCATCCTTTTAAAAATTAACGGTACATAACCTATAATCTAGGAGCAAAAGTAGAGCTGCCTCACCTTGGAAAGTTTGATTATGAGGGGCTGATTACAGTAAGGGAACAAATAGGATCCTGAGATTGGAGCTCAGTGTCTTATGAGGAAGAAATCACTGAGCACCCGTACATCTGATAAAATGTGATCTCTACTCCTTGTTGTGTGTTCTTTCACCACACATTAATATTTCATGCAACCATTTCAAAATAAAGTCATAATGTGGGTCATAAATCACAAAACCGTGGCAATAAACCACTTTGGTTTATATTAGCTGTATACAGATGATACTTAAGCATTTCCACCATTAGCATGGACTATTTGAGCTTTCTGTACACCACATTTGCTCTGTTTCTTCCATTTTAAGTGGTAGGAATATGGGAAACAATGCTAAATCCATTCATTAGTGATAGAACTATGCTATTTGTTCTCATAATTGATTTCATTTCAACTTGGACCTGTGAAAATGATAGCACAGTTGAAAATGACAATATTATTGACCTTGTTTTAGCAAAGAACATGCCTTTTCCAGTGAGTCCTGCTGAGGAGTAAAGGAAGACCAGGGAAAAATAAAATATTGAAAGAAAAAATAGAACAGTGCATTGAAGATGAGAATTAATGTATAAATATGGTTTATGCTCATTAGTGAATGGCTTATTCCTTACAGATGCTCCTGAAATGATGCCATTATAATGTATAATTTTGGTCTTCTTCTCTTTTAGTTTTTTTCTAGTGGGATCTGTTCCACTTACTGCTCAGTATTAATGAAATGGTTACTATAATTATTATAATTCATACTAGGTAAAGAGGCTGGATAAGGTTATAGCTGAAAAATGCCTATCTATATTTCTCTCTATATATATATATTTTTATTTAAGTTCTGGGATACATGTGCAGAACATGCACGTTTGTTACATAGGTATACACGTGCCATGGTGGTTTGCTGCACCTATCGACTTGTCATCTACATTAGGTATTTCTTCTAATGCTATCCCTCCCCTAGCCCCCCACCCCCCAACATGCCCCAGTGTGTGACGTTCCCCTCCCTGTGTCCATGTGTTCTTATTGTTCAACTCCCACTTATGAATGAGAACATGTGGTGTTTGATTTTCTGTTCTTGTGTTAGTTTGCTAAGAATGATGGTTTCCAGCTTCATCCTTGTCCCTGCAAAGGACATTAACTCATCCTTTTTTACGGCTGCATAGTATTCCACAGTGTATGTGTGCTTAAGAGAGTTGGAGTCTCACTTTGTCAAACAGTGGCACGATCATAGCTCACTGCAGTCTCATGCTCCTGGGTTCAGGCTATTCTCCTGCCCTAGCCCTCAAGTACCTGGGACTATATCTAATTCTTGATGTGAATAAAAAGCCCATGCATTGAAGGCATCCTGAATTTATAAAAACCAAGCTCCCACCAATTAGACAAACTGACCAAAACATAAACACATACATATATTAGAGGCTTGTAAATATTTAAAGATGCTGCTGCTAGTAGTTTCTTGTGCTTAAACCACACGGCATAATCTTCAGGACAAGGGCACTGTTTGTGAACAGTTGGGTTGGTTCATGGCTCTTCAGCCCTTGACTTGGAAAGCTTGAATGAGGTTAGCATTCAATGCCCTGGATGGATGCTCATGGTTTCTGTCAGATGCCAGGTCTGCAAAGGAGCCAACCCTGTTTCCTCATCTATCAAAAACAGCAAATAGGTATAGTCGTTGGATTGGGAGATGGTTGGGGTAATTAAGAAAATGTATACAAAAGCACATTGAAAAATTAGAACATTAGAACCCTTTATGAGTAAAAATGTATTTTTTTGGTTCATCAAATAATGTATTAATTTATTAAAAAGTTGATTGATGAAGGATTGAAAAGTACCCTGAGGGGTTGCATGGGTTCTGTATTTGAGATAAGTGGGCTAGGATTCTGAAAACCTGGAAAGCACATGTTGAGTCTGTGGAGGACAATGACTGCTCAGTCATTCTCTGGGAATGTGGTCGCTGTTGTCAGGCCATCAGGTTTTTTTTTTTTTTTTTGAGACGGAGTCTCACTCTGTCGCCCAGGCTGGAGTGCAGTGGCGCGATCTCGGCTCACTGCAAGCTCCGCCTCCCGGGTTCACGCCATTCTCCTGCCTCAGCCTCCCGAGTAGCTGGGACTACAGGCGCCCGCCACCACGCCCGGCTAATTTTTTGTATTTTTAGTAGAGGCGGGGTTTCACTGTGTTAGCCAGGATGGTCTCGATCTCCTGACCTCATGATCCGCCCGCCTCTGCCTCCCAAAGTGCTGGGATTACAGGCGTGAGCCACCGCGCCCGGCCAGGCCATCAGGTTTTTAAGGGTGGCAGTCAAAAATCCACTGAAAAAAATAAGGCTGCGTATGCTAAATAAAACACATTTACCAGTCTGATTTATTCTGCCAGCTATGAGTCCAAGACTTTTGTGTTGATATCAAGACAGAAACTTGAACATCAGCATCGATATTGCCTTTCATAAAAAGAATGCATACGATGTTTTAGGTTTTCTAATGAAACTTTACTGTACTTTTGAAAGTACTCAGATATTTTTCTGCCCTCTAACATCTCCAGGAGACCCTACATTTTAGTTGAACAAAGATTTTCTTAAAAGAAGAATTAGATAGAAGGTGATATAAAGAAGCAATGTGTCTGAATTTTCAGGGAATGCAAACTTAAAAAAGTGCATATACAGTCAGCTTTCCATATTTGTGGGTTCTGTATCCATGGATTCAATCAACTGAAGATCAAAAATATTTAGAAAAAATGACGTAGTAAAAAATAATTAAAAATTTAAATATATAGTATAACAAGTATTTACATAGCATTTACATTGTATTAGGCATTACAAGTAATCTAGAGATGATTTAAAGTGAAGTCGTGTACCCCATAATGACTTTTTGATCAACAACTGACTGCATGTATAAAGGTGGTCCCTTAAGATTATGTTATCTTATTTTTTCTGTACTTTATCTATGTTTAGGTATGCTTAGATGCCCAAATACTTAAGCATTTTCCTACAGTTGCCTACAGCATTCAGTACAGTAGCATGCTGTACAGGTTTGTAGCTTAGGAGCAATAGGCTGTACCATCCAACTTAGTTGTGTGGTAGGCTATACCATCTAGGTTTGTGTAAGTACAGTGTGATGTTCATCCATTGACAAAACCAACTAACGATAAATCCCTCAGAAGCATCCCAGTTGTTAAGTAACACTTGACTGCATAGAAGATGTGTGTAGGTTATATGCAAATACTGTGCCATTTTGTATAAGGGATTTGAGCATTTGCAGATAATCCTCAGGGTCCTGGAACCAATCCCATATGGATACTGAGGGGTGACTGTACTTGGTGTCTTATAAAAGCTAAGGTAAGAACAGACCAAAAGAAGGTAAACCCAGCTGAGCATTTCTGCAGTTCTGGAGCAGCGAAGGGTTACTACCATGCAGCACAATTTAGTGCATGCCATTTGCTTTTATGGAGGGCAGAAGATTGCTGAGTATTAGGTCACTGTGGCCAAGAATAAAGCTGAGCTTTGACCTCAGAAAGGAATTTGGTCTTGATTTCAAGAAGGCATTTAAAACAATAACCCAACACTTTGGAGTACCTAAATGGATGGTGGAAACTGCTAGAAAACCACAGGTAGTGTTTGCTCAAAAAGAAAGTGGTGGGAGGTGTGTGAAGGTAAGGGAAGAGAGAGGAGCCCCGAAGCCGCTGGAAGGGCACACAAGTGCTCCAGAATTGCAATACTTATAACGATGAGGGACCTGTGAGAGGAGGAGGGTGACAACGGGAAAAGGTTGCGGCGAGAGAAGAACATGTTAAAAGATTCATGCGTGCAAAGCCTTGGGAGGATGTCCATATCGTGTCAAGGTAACACCGTCATTCTTTGAGAGAAAGGATTCAGAGAGGCAGCCGACTTCCCAACACGGACATCCCTTTCTTGTACCTATTTAATGGCTGCTATCCATTTCCATCCCATTGCTGGACCCCCCTGGCCCCATTAACTCTGCAGGGAAAGAAGAGAAAATGCCCTAGACAAGTCGGATGCCCTCCTGGCTGCACGGCAGTCCAGGTTTAAGATGCATCATTGAAGTTTGGGGTGGGTCCCATCTGTACCTTCGGAATGCCATGCTTCCCCTTGCCAGCACCCCGATCCCCATGGCAGAGAGGGCATTTCCCTGAGAGCACAGACTGGTGGATGAAGGCAGGGAGTGGTTACCTGTCTCTGTCTCTCACTTGTCCCCTTGTGTTGTCCATGTCACTCAGTCTGGCCATGCAGGATGTGGCTAATTGCTCACTGGTCTCCTGCAGGGGCCCACCCATTTTGAGTCTCACACTGCTATTCATTTTTAAATTATTTCTCCCCTGAAATAAACTGAGACACAATTCCATGTCATAATAGAGACAAGAAGGAGTCCTCACTTCTTTTGACATAGAACAATATCTAGTCAGTTTCTGGGATTTTTTTTTAGCTGGACAGTGATATTGAAATGTGGGTTACCTTGGTTGCTTCCCATTGGAAGCTTGGCTTGTTGTGGTTTGCTTTCTAGTTATCAATGTAAGTAGCTCCAGGAATAATGAATACTCGTAAAAGTGCCTTTATGCTCATCTCCTCAGTAAAGAGTTGCTCTTTTCTTGAATTTAAATACAATTAGGCAAAGGATTTATCTTTTAGTGAGCATTTTTTAAAGTCCCATGTAATGGACAACATGAAGCAGCTTATTTAGTGTGGGTTTAGTGGGAGTACTGTCAATAGTTTTTCACCCACTGAAATGGAAACCTCATGTCTGTTGTATTTAGCTACCGAAAAACAATTTTAAGAAATGCATGTAATCCCTGGAGTATCTGAAGTCAGGTATTGCTGTTTCTTTTCTTATTTAAAATAATGTCCCTAATTTTCTGTCTTTAGCATGGGTGTCCTCATAATAGTGTTACTGGGATTTTAAAAATCTGAAGCCTGAATTCAAGTCTTTTTCCTAAGTTAATATAGGAAAAGGTCAAGGTCAAAGTCAAATTCAAGACATTTGTCTCCATTTCAAAGACAGAAAGACTAAGGTGACTTTTGACATAATTCACATCTCACAAAATTATACAATACATTGCAATTGCTTATTTATTAGATCAGGCCCTGGAACCAGTAACAAAGTTCTTTAAAAATGTAAACAGTGAGGTATTGATTAAATCAGCCACGAGTGCATGTTGACTCCACAAAAATGCCAGAGCTTCTTACAACTCAGATCAGCACAATCCGACTCCTTTTATCCTCACCTCCTTTTAAAATTGTTTAAGCAATGTTACCGCTTAATTGCTAACCCATCTGTAGCAGGAAACAATTATTCTGAATAAGCCCACGTACCACACTGGTTTTCCAGCAGATTATTTAAAAACAATATTTCCTTAAGATAACAATTTTGATAATGATGCAGGAAGGAAATATATTTGCAATTAAACGAACATGCTTTAGCACAACAAGCAATAAAAAGCTTAACACTGAGCCTTTGTGAATTAAATGCCTTAAATGCCGGAACAACATTGGACAAAAGTCATGGTTCTGCTGACACATTTATTTCTCAGTAAATGAAGACTGTTTAGGTTTAATGCACTTGTGGTTAGCAATAGTTTAAAAGATCAATGTAAATTCATTCTGAACTAGTAAATAAGGCTTTAATGAAACTTCTAACAGCATGCTCTCACACCTTAGTTCTCTTCATCATTTCGAGGTGACACAGCAGGATTTGCCTTGAGTTTGATGACACGCACACAATGTTATGAAGTGTTTGACAGATTTTATTCGATGTTTATTTGATTTATGGGGTTGATATCGGATTTCAGCATCTCCTTATCAGCCTTTGTTCACACTTAGCAGAGTGCTTATGAAGATAGTTTCTTCTAAATGTGCTTATTAATATAATATATATACTATTAATGAAAGGCAGTTTGGAACTGGGATCATTAAACATTTCCACTCTGCTAAATGAGGTAATGTATGAGAAAGCACTTTGCAAACTGTAAAGCCATATACAGATGTTAGTTATCATAATTATTGTTGTTACAGGAAACCCGGGTTTTATATATTATTATTCTGTTTTCCTTTAACACTTAATTCAAAGAATAAATACAGGCAACCAATTTCCTTAAAAACCTGCTACAGCTTTTTAAACAGTTCTGAACGTTTCATTAGGGTTTATTGTAAGCCATGCATGATGCTATTAATTTCGTTTAGGCTTAAAAACATCGACTGACATAATAAACATGACTCGTAACAAACTTTGCCAACATGAAACTTGCTTAAGAAGGTGCTTGGGAACCTTCACTTGGGCCTGGGAACCACGAAAGGAAGCACATCCAAAACTACTTCTGTGAGACGTCAAGATGCTGCCTGTTCCCTTTTCATTCTGACTGTTAATTTGCCTTTTCTGTCCTTCACAGATGATGAACTTCATGAGTTACTTTGTGGGGATGCAATGAAAGGGATTTTTTTTTTTCTTTTTCTCTCTGTTTCTTTTTTAATCTGATTGAGGAGAGATGTAGGGACTGGAAGACATTCACATGGCCATAAATAAAAGTCAAGATAAAATTGTTGAGGTGAAAACAAATGATTTCTTACATTAGAATTTGACTCTTACCTTAATCATGTGAGGAAAGCTTGGCAAATCTTATGAACGGTCAAAAAACTTACGCATGGAGATGGATGATCATGCTTTCTGTATAACACTCCTCTACGGTAAATCAAGAGTTCAGTTTACTGTTTATCATGTAAACCTCACAATATGATCATACTTGTTTTTCTTTTTCTTCTTGGTTTAAATATGTACTGAACACTAAAGAAATTACTAATGATTTATTTGATATTGAAACAAATGCAGCAAATATTTTAAATAAATAAAAGAACTCATTACCCGTTCTGGGGCTTGGGATGTACCAAATGCTCTTACTTGATATATAGCTAAGAATAAAACTTAAATGGTAAAAGGCAAATGAGTGGAAAGTACTTCTTTCCCTTGGTAATTCGTACCTTAAAAGTGTTTAAGATGTAAAGCTTGTTAGTAAAGAAATACTGTATCATGGCATATCCATTGGGAGGAGTACAATAAACATAGTTGTATGTGATTGGGAAGTAACAAAGCACAAATAACTCAGAAAAAAATACTACAGCAAAATAGGGGAGGCAATAACTAAACTATACAGTCTGGGAGCTCCAACACCAAGTTTTTCACAACTAAGGATTCAAAGGTAACTTGACTGTGGGGCCTATTAGCTCATTTAGTAAGTCCCAGAAGGTATTTCAATCCCAGAGAGCTGCCCAGAATTCTGGTGGGACAAGAAGGGCTTAATGTCATAAATATCAGTATACTGGCTCCATGTCAGTATTACTCTGGCCATATTGAAACAGTCCCTATTGTCTTAACTCATGTTAATATTTGAGGCTCCTTTTTCCATTCTAAGATTTCTTTTACATAATGAATGACTTTCTTGTAAGTTCTACAATTAAATTCATATAATTTTATAGCTTTTTAGTAACTCACTTTTATCTTTCATAGTGGCTACTATTTCTTGAGAGTTTACAATACGCTAGGCACAGGGCAATGTGCTTTAATTATGTTTATCTCATGTCACCTTCTGAATAATCCTATATAATCATCATTATTGTCCCCATTTTCAGGTGAGGTAATTGAGGTTAAGCAAGGTCAAAGTCAAGGTCACTCAGCTAAGTAGCGACGCAGCTGGGATTAATTTCAGTCTGTGTCCTGCGCTACTGCCTAGTTACTTAAATAAACTACATGACTATATATCAGATGCTTAACGAGAGATTTAGAATGGCCGATTGAATGAATTAGAAAAAAAGTCACACTGCTAAGTCATTCTGTGTCCATATGAAAGAAATCAAAGTAAAAATTATAAAGACAAGGAGGAGTAAAAATCAAAACCACATGAATGTGGTTGCTGGGTACATCGTCACTGGGAATGTTCTCTTTTGAAGTAAAGGAATATCAACTCTTAGGCCCTTCAGCGGCTTGATAATAACTTAAATGTCAATGAAATGTATTTATATTAAAAGTGATGTTAAATACCCTTGTTTCAGTTAGGACAGGTGACAGTACAGCCAGAACATCTCAGAGTAGAATATAAAACTTAACTTTTTTTCTTAAAAATTCTATTCAATAGACTTGCTTTTCTGGATTTCTAATAACAACATAGCAGACACTGAACAAAGGAAGATTGTTAATGAGTTAATTGTTGGTTAATTCAGTATTATATTTTTCTTGTTTGCCACATGAGGAATTATGTGTACTAGAGCTTGATTTTCTTATTCTTAAAATAATTTTTGAGCCAAAGTATCCCTTTGTCTCAAAAATTATTGTCAGAAACAGAATCATAAAAATAAGATTTTTTTTCCTATTAAAAACTTGAGAATACAGACAATTTTTAGAAAGAAAGATGAGAAATCCTAATTTGGATACAAATAATTTGACCTCTAACTCAGTGGTAATCAGCTCTGAGTTTGTGACACACTGAAGTGCACTGAGTTTTTTTGAAAGGAGGATGTGAACTTTCAACTCTTAAAATGTGTTTCAATTTGCTTCAAATTAAAAATAAGCATGTTCACAGTAAGGCGTTGAAACTGTAAAGTGTTGGCAACACTGGAAGTGTACATAACATCAAATGAAAGAAGGAAAGCAGAAGTTGAAAAGGAAAAAGGAAGTAATTTTATTAAAACTGACAATTATTTTATTTTTATTAAAAATAAAAGTAACCTTTTAACATGTGAAATATATGGAGAAGTGAATCTACTTACCAACTTAAAGCATTGATTGTACCAAACCAATTAAAGTTAAAGCTACTAAGTTTGTCATTTTGATCATAATGAGTCATTAGGGGAGCCTGGGAGTAACAATCCTATTTTGTAAAAACAGTTTTGCTTCATAAGAGAAAGAAAAAGTAGGTAAATGCAGATGTGAGTAAGCATCTAGTATGGAATCTCTATCTACATCTATTTTTAATCAATAGAAAACATTTCTATACTATATGGCTTTAAATATTCTTGAAAGATCCTGGTAACTGATTTATAGTTGCCAATTATAAGAATGATTTAAGGAGTTTACATGTATTTAATTTATAATTGAAACTAAATTGTTATTTCTCTCCATGCAGTATACATTTTTAGATGTTGGCTTTTGAACTGTATAGAATATTGCAAAGAACTTCCAAATTAATCATTTTTATTATTCCAAAATGCTGACCGTAAGTCATTACATTTCACCCTATTAATGTCAATGAATCTAAGTAAAGAAACAAGCAATAAACTATTGATAGTTGTGGAGATGCAGAGTTGCTGGTAACAATAACAAGTTAATAATGCCAGAAAACAATTGAGAGGTGTTTCTTGTGTTGTTTTGCAAACACTGGTCACATTTCCCCACAGAAGTACCAAAAAGAAATAGGATGAGGAAAGAGAAATAATTGTGCAGGCTGTTTCTAACAAGTTTTGGTTAAAGGCAAATAAAATCAATCTCAAATGCGAGTTACTGTAGTTGATTGAGGCGTTAAAGGAAGTAAGTTACAGGAGGCAGTTGTGTCCAGTTTGGAGTTGAAGTTAGCAGATCTTTGAAAAAAACTTTCTCTGATAACTAAGGTCAATTAATAATGACACATTTTCTAAATTTAGATTACTTTTCCATCTGCCTCAAAAGTGACATTTGTTTACAATAAAAACTTAAAACATCTTCCCAGAATAACAAAAAAAGTCATTTAAAAAATTCTGAATTAGCCTCTGACATGTACATTTTCTCCAATTTTAGATGTCTGGTCTTTTCCTGTTTCCATTTAAAGCCCAAATAATTGTTTTGCTCACTGCTTCCTTTGTTACTGAGCAGTGGCAAGAAAAGACAGAACTTGTTGAAGGAACTTGCTCTTCACTGTATTCCATGCACCCATTTATTCCCCATTGAAATATGTGCCGAGAGCCAGGAAACCCACAATATTTCTAAGCATGTTCTTGAAGCATGTGAGCTTTAATGAGTGTTAAGAGTACTTATGAACTTGCTGTTGCCTGCTGAGAAAACATTGTTTATATAGAATTGGCTTATTGCTAATGAGAGAATTTATTAAGGCATAGCACAGGCAAGGCATAATATGAACACTCTTTTTCTAAATATTTTCTTTCAGGTCTTTCTCGCTCCAGTTGATGATATTAAAGAAGGGTCAGACACGTCATCACTCACTCCTTTACTTACTGGAAAAAGCAAAAAGATTTTATTAAGATTAGAAAAATTTCCCCACCCCATTTGTCTCTTCCACACCAGTGTCTCAGCAATCGCCCCATTTGAACTGTGAGATGCTAAATAGCTCAGATGTTTTCCTCTTCCTGTAATAATCATGCATATGCCCAGCTTGGATGTCTCCCCTGCCTCATGAATTTGCAGAGTGGCCCCAGCTAGGCTCCTTCTTGTCGTGGGGACAATTGCCAAGGCTGATAGAGAAATAAATTGTGGAAAAGAGGGTTCACTTTATTTAACAGGGCTCCAATCCCTTTAGTGTCTGTAGTTTTGGGGCATGTGCCCTGAGCCCTCCAGCCTTGGTTCCTCTCTCTCACTTTACACTGTGTGCCCTGACCATTGGTTGGTCCTGAAACATGGCTTATGTGGCACTGGTATGCACCTTGTCGTCTACACAGCTGTAGAGCCCAGCTATCCCAAAATGGTGGTAGATGCTAGCAGGTGATGGGCAGGACTGATATCCCTTCTCCCATCTTTATTCGCTAGGATCCAAGTAAATTCTAGTGGGCAAGAGGAAGAGAAGAGAAACTACAACATCATTATCTTACTGCTGGAGGCAGCAGATTACGGACCCCTGACTGTGATGTGTCAAATGCACTGTGTGACAACCAAGACCCTACACATCTGGGGGGCACTTCAGGATTCCTCCAGGCGGCAGTTGCTGGCCTAGACTCACTTCTTCAGGAGGGAGGTTCGCCCTGGAAAAGCTGATTTGCATTTCTGCTGGGATCGATGCCGTGGAGACTGAATACATTGGTAAGTAGTTTAGCAGCTAGTTTGGTCTCAGCTGACAATGATTATGGATTGGGGTGTTCAGAGCAAGAATGCACAAATGGTCTGGAGAAAAATCAGCAGTGAAACTACATTTTTTGTAACGTCTAAATCAGCAAAGAAAAACGCTGCAGAATAGTTTCGGGTGTCTAGGAGAATACGAAGAGGGCTCCAGGCAGGTTAATGGACAGATATTCCCCCGATGTCCTTCATTCTGCACCTGAACTTCTTGGAGGCCATGTTGCCTGCTCTCTGACCCTCCTTTCTCCCTTGCTCTGTCCTCACTGATTCTTGGTTCTATTGGTGTTTTTGGTCTCATTCCCACTTCCCCCCCTGGCCCTCTGTGGTCCTAGCTTTTCATCCCAGAAGCCCCTTGTCATGGCCAGAATCTAGTTGTCTTCAGAAAATTAATCACATGTCAATCTTGGTTGTCCCTAAAAATCCAGGACCAGCAGTCACCTATGAATTTCTTTTGTGGGTCTCAGTAAAAATACAAAGTTAAAAGACACTGGGAGTCACAGGAGCTCAAACACTATCTTTTAAATCTCACGTGACTGCCCTCCCTCAAATAGGCTGTTCCCAGTTCTGAATGAAACAAAATTCCCTTCTGTGATTCTGTTTCATTACCCTCCAAGATCTTCTTCATAGCTCTGATCACTATTAAAGATGGAAACAAAATAAAAGCATGAAGAAATAAATTCTGCTGCATGAGCCTTGCACCATGCCAGGCACATGGTAAGTGTTGATTCAGTGACTAAGTAGATTCTTTTCCTGCTTCCATAGTGGGCTGCATCTAGCATCAGTAGCTTACCCAACAAATGGTATGTTCTTTATAAGAGAAAAAGTACTGGAGATACTTTCCTGCTTTCTGAATTCCGTTTTGTTTCATGATCACTCTTAGATTTGTTAACTGTGTGCATAAGAGCATCTGATATGAATATGGTTCAAGTTGAATCAGCAGAAATGAATCATCATCATAATCATAAGAAACTGAAAACTGAGAAAAAGTATTGGAGATACTTTTTCTGGTACTGATAATATTTCACCTTAATATTTTGCTGTGTTTTGGGTCTATTTCAGCAGATTTTTGATAGAACACCCTGAAATCCTCATATGAGTCATTAAGGGTTTGATTGAATTCAGAATCAAATGTGGGTGGGAAAATGGTCTTCTTGATAATCCATGATTAAGCTTTTTGATTGTTTGGTACTTTTTTTTTTTCGTGGTCTTATCCAGCCAAACCACTCTTCAGACGACACTCCTATTACCCCACACAGAGTAAGTCTGATCACACAAAAGACCTCTGTGTCATGGCCCTTTCAACGCCCATCATCTCTACTTTGAACAAGGGGTATGTTGTTGAGCTCTGCGGCATGAGTTATCTCAGAAGTGGCGCCATCCTTGCTGTCAAATAGCACAGTGATGGAGCGTTTCACAGCGCTTAGGGTTACATGAATTCAGCAGTGTCGTCCAGTTCTGTGGGCACATAGCCTAAAGGTCAAAATTGTAGATTCGATGACTTTGGGGCCAGTGAGGTCCGTTTTGTTTCATGACCACTCTTAGATTTGTCAATTGTGGGCATAAGAGCATCTGATGTAAACATGGTTCAAGTTGAATCAGCACAAGTGAATCACTCTTACTTAAGAAACTGAAACAAAAAAACAAGCACAAACCAACATGGTAGCCTTTGGTGAACTTGCAGGCAAAATATCAATCTCTTTTTCCTCCCTTCCTCTCTCTTCTCTCTCTTTCTCTTTTTATATATGATCGTTATTTAACGAACTGAATGACAATCAGATATATCATTTTTATCCTGGACTGTGACTTTAAAAAGACATTATTTATGAAACACCTACTGTGTCACTACTCATGGGCATTGTAGAGCAAGATCAGCATCTCTCTCTTCCTTCCCTTCTTTGCGGTTGACCCTCTGCAGGTGTCTCAAGGACCATGGCACTGACTTGTTTATGTTACTGAACTTCATGGTTAACAAAATGCCGTTTTCCATCTAATGAATTTGCCCTGCAGGCACAGGAAAAGAGTTGGTTCCACCATTTTCAGAGGCCAAGCAACAATAAATTTTGCAGGATTTTGTTGACGTTAATTGGGTTTGTATTGGTGTGAGACATTCTTGCTCCTGCCTCATTTGTCTTCTGAATCATTTGAATCGCCCACGTTCTGGGCCAGCTAGTCATTCAACCATGTGATTCCAAGCTTAACAATATATCCGAGTCACTGGTGGCTCAATCACACTTTAGTTTATTGCTCAATAAAATAATAATAACAATAAGTTCAGACATTTAACCAGGCTGCTTTTCTCCAGGGGCAAAATAAAGCTTTCCAGTTTAAAAGAGGGCTTGCTTTCATTTCTGTTGTTTTTTTTTTTTTTCCCAAAGAAATAAGTCAAAATGCTTTTGGTATTAACAAAAGACCCTTTCCAGAGGTGTAACTACTAACACCTGGAGAAAATCCTAAGAACCAGAATTGAAGACAAAATGGAGAAGACATGGGGGCAATTATTGTTTGTATGATGGAGACACATACTCATACTCATGCACACACACAAATACAAGTTGTTTTCTCTTATAAAAATAATTACTGCCCAATTCTTATGTTATTATAAAACTATGATTTGCAAATGTGTCTGTTGAAACAGTCTTGCTGTATGGTCAGGTGGCAATAAGATGTGAATAAGTTCTCGCTTTGTTTTTGTTGTGGGCACTAGCTCGTGCAATGTGCTTGTGTATGTAAGAAGTTTTGATGTCAATTGTGTGTGATTGGAGGCATAGAAAGCTGCAGGCAAATTTGTAAATGGGTCTTTATATCTGCAAGTTGGTTACTAGACCATTGCTATCTTGGTGAAGGGCCATTTAAAAAAAATTCAAATCTGTTGAGAACTGATGCTTTGGTAAAATACGATGAAAACTAATGATTAGAAAGTCAGTCATGCATTTGGATGTCATGGTGATATTATATTGCTGTAAAACTTTCTAAGCACTGAACTTCCAGTGTCTGTGCTTATATTGATGCAGACTGGTTACAAATAGTTCCTGGATCTCACTGTTCACAGACCTTTCTTTTAGTAGCTCCATCCTGGACTGCTCAAATGCAGAGAAAACTCTCTTCCAGGCTTAAAATAAATGAGATATCACTTAAAAAAAACACATTGGGGATTAAAAAAAAAACCAGTTGTAAACGAATGAGCTTATTAAATTGTCGATGTAATAGGGTTCTTTTTTAAAGACTTTTTTTAAAACAGCTCACTGTTTTGAAATACCAAAAACAAAAAATGCTTTTAAATTAACTTCAATGTTTGTCCAGTCTGAATCTAACACATTTTTGAATCTTGTCAATGGTCAGTGTGCCAGTGGTGGAAACATTTGCAAAGGTGCTGTTTTCTCTAAATTTGCTTCACTATTTTATATAAGCATTATTATGAAATTCCTTCTAAATCCCTAAAAAACATATGCTCCTTTATGCCACTTTATTACTGAACATTGTTTTCTAGGATACATATAATCACATATGTTTTTATGACTGAGGTGTATCTTTGTGAAATGGCTGGCAGAGCTCAGGGCAGACATTGGCCTGTCCCCACATTGAGAGAAAGACAGTCAATTTCTCACTCTGTTTTTACTAAGGTACCAAACCAATCAGGATTTCAAAAGTGTGTTGCCCAAATGTTGAGACATAGAGTCAGTTTGGACTTTGATATACTTTTAGTGCTGGTGTGTATGCTCAGACATCCATGTCTGTACAGATACCCCCTGAAATAGTTTGATCCAGAGTTCACATATTGCTAAGAATATAGGTTTGCCCTTGTGACCAGTGTAACAGTCTCCCAAACCAGATAGAAGTGCAAAAGGTCAAGCTGGTATGGCAGATTTGCTCAGTGAAGTCAGTGGAGCCCAAGATCCTTCTGTCTTGTTTGTCCATCATCCTAGCATGTTGGTCACACTTGCGTGGTCCACAGTGGCTCATGGCCAAGCTGCTTTCTAGTCAACAAGAAGGGGAGTGTGAAGGAGCAAGGGAGAACATGGAGCAAGGGAGAAGAACATGGGCTCCCCTTTTGGGGCATGACTTGTAAGTTTTATACATTTCTTCCCTTCACATTCTATGGGACCATCTGCTCCAAGATAAGCTCAGAAATTGAGAGTCAAGCACTTAGAATGTTTTATAACAGTATGGCATCACCTTAAAATCCAAACACATGTTTATTTCATTATTTGGAGATATAAAGGCCCATTTGCAAATCAGCCACCCAGCTGCAAAGAAGAAAATGTGCTTGTTTTCTGGACTGCCGTGTGCCCGTCAAATATGGAATTATTGTGGGGGGCCAGCAGTATCCGTGCAGGCGCCTTTCCAACTCCCGTGTCTTGGTTAACTTTGCTTCTCAAATAGTGTCAATTATTTGCCTTATTGTCATTTTCTGAGAAGTAAGGCTATGATGTACATACACTGTGGACTTACCAGGAACTCCTTCACACCACCTTGGCTTCCTCTCAATGCCGCTTTACTGCATGTCGACAGCTTCTACCTATTTGATCTTAGTGCTGAAGGGAGATTTTCCTAGGATCTAAACCACGAAGATTTGTGATGAAACTACAAGAAAGCTGAAGTTCCTTAAACCAAATGCTGCAAGGTGGGAAGTGAATAAAACCTAGTTTTAGATGGCCTCTGCAGAACATGCAGGAATTGAACACACACAGAATACAGGGAGCCTGTGGGTCAAATGCAAATGTGGATAGCTTAGTATGATGGTGGTAATAACATGGGGGTAAAATCTTGGCGGAGTTGCCTTTCTGGAAAGAATTCTAGGTGTCTCCTGAACAGTGAACTCATAATTACATCTTGTAATTGAGCTGTTTACTCACCACCAGTGGAAATCCCTAGGGAGGGGGCTGAAGGATAGGTCTTCCTGTGCTTTCTTTAGCTTCTGTGGCTGTTGAAGAGGTTTGAGGCTCTCCTCTTACCTCCACCCCACATCTGACCTGGCCTGTCCAAAGCCCATTGTGCAGCATCCTGAATCCCATTACTATTTCTCCTCTGATTTCTTTTCCTCCTTCCCTACTTTGTTTAAAAATGTTTGGGCCATGGCTGTTGAGATGGCCGTGGCTTTAACCAAACAGAAACACTGAACTTGCCTCCTCTATGGAATTGGTTACTCATGCTTGAATGATGGATGGCATCTTCCCTGCATGTTGGAATAGAGGCCGGAATGATGTCACTGTGGAGTCTGAACCAGGCTTTCTGTTGTGGTCTTATGGAAACTTGATCTGAAGGGCATAACTAGGTAGAAGGGATGCACTGAGCAGTGGCAGGCAGTGAGAAGCAGCTATATTGCTGCATTCTGGTCAGGAGCACTATGTAAAGACACTCACAAAGGGAGGGAGGGGTGAAATGACCACCTGCATCAAGGATGAGCAAGGGCAGCAGCAATCAGGGACTCCCTGCAGGGCATTGGACTGCCAACGCAGAAGCCAGAAGTGATTTGGTTGAAGTCATGGAGAGGCTTCCATAGGGGAGAGGCCAGTGCGAGGAAGTCCTTATTCTTATTTTTGTTTTTGTCTTGTTTGTTTTTTTAATTTTAATGTCTGACATCTGAATGTCTTTCAGGAAGAGCCCTGTCTTTATTTAGAAAGTTACCCGGGCAAGATGTTCGGAGTTGAGATGGGATTCAAAGGGCGTGGGTTTGGCTGCAGACAAGAAAGCCAAAGGGTTGCAAAAGAAAGAAATTGAATTTGAGTAGTAGTCATATAGATATATGTATATAGTCAATGTGTAGTCTGTTATCCCTCACTCCCCTCTCACCCTTTCCCCCAAGTCCATTCATTGTGTCATTCTTATGCCTTTGCACTCTCAAAGGCATATATGTGTGTGTGTGCATGTGCGTGTCTTTGTTAACCTTGCTTCTCAAATAGTGTCAATTGTTTGCCTTATTGTCATTATATATATACACATACGTGTATATGTGTGTATACACACGTGTGTGTATATACATGCCTTTGAGGGTGCAAAGGCATATATATACTCGGTGATGGGTGCACCAAATCTCACAAATCACCACTAAAGAACTTACTCAGGTAACCAATCACCACCTGTTCCCCAAAAACCTATGGAAATTAAAAAAAAAAAGAAATTGAATTTGAGGGTTACAGAGATACAGAGAAAGAGAGGAAGAAAACTGGAGCCTATAATCAGTCAGAAATTATAGAGGAAGTTAAGAACAGGAGTGTTTCAACGTTGTAAATATACTAACAACCACTCAGTTGTCTACTTTAGACAGGTGAATTTTATGATACATAAATTATATTTCAATAAAGCGTTGAAAGAAGAGAGCACAAGTGTGTCTGATACACAATTTCAGGTTGCTTGCATTGCTGCAGTATAACCTCCAAATGCTCTGCAGAATTGAGCAAGCCTCATGAAAGGATTTGTTTATTTAGTTGCTCGGTTTTCGTGGAAGTCTGGGAATGGAGGAGGATTGCATACTTGGCTTAACATGGGTTGGAAGGAGATAGTGTGCACTGGAAGAAGAGATGTTCCATAGATTCCTAGCTCACTGGAACCTGGGGCTTTTGGCCAGAAGTGTCCAGGAGAATGAAAGTCCCCAGTAATTTGCAGAAATCCTGGGAACATTAGACTTACAATGTAGACAGGAGGGTTATCTGGATATTGTGGACTGGTGACTGTGAGTTTCTGTTAAGTACAGTAGAATGTTTCTAGCATATAACTTATGTTTACTTTTATGGAATGCCCATGGTTCTGGTTACAGTTATATTATGCAAATTCAGCTTTTTCAAAAGCGCATTCCTGGGAAATCCAGAAGATTTGCAGTGAGAAAAAGGACTAGATGGTCAAGTAAGTGTTAGGGAACACTGCAAACTCTATTCCCTCTCTGAGAGTCACAATGTACAATAACATATTAAAGGCTCTAAGAAGGTCTGCAATAAGGCCCATGTTTGTTTAGCCTGGTATTTCCCATACCTAGTTGACCCTGACCTCTTTTCAAACAGCACACATTAACAGGGAAGGTCCTGGGAAACATGCCTGTTTTATCTTTGAGCAAGGACCGTATGCCTGGAGCCAGAATGGAACTCTGCATCAGTCCACGCCTGATATTCTTTCATTGATTCCTTCATTCTTTCAGGGCTGGGAAGCCTATGTTGCTTTGCGTTTGTCAAAAGCAGCAAACTGTTGAACAATAATCATTCAGCAACCACAAAATGTATCCAGGGAATTGGTGCTGTCAGATTTGGATATTAGTCTTTGGTGGCCTAACTCTAGTAATTAAAACACAATGATAATGCAAATGCAAATGAAATTAGCAATGCAATTTGGTTTATCTGCAATTAATATGGTGTAAGCATATTATTACTGGCCTACCGCCGGCTAACGTCAGCCTCTTTTCACGATGCTTGGTAACACAGTGAGTCAACATTTCTAGTTGGATTCTCTCCCTTGCAATCAAATGTCACTGCTACATGCTGCATATAACTTTGTTTTATACCTTCTGAATAGTTGTCACAAATACAGCAGATGTTCCTGACTGCTTAGGTGAATGCCAAGTATTGGACAGGAGGGAATAAAATAAAAATAGTTTAGAACTCAGATACAATAAATATGGTGGGGTAGAAACTAGCGGAAAGGAATACTCTAATCATTGTATTAGACAATTCACTTGTACAACTACGTAGTGATGCAGTTCTCCACGTTCTCTCCCTGATGCTGTTCTCATAAATATCTGTTCATTTCTACCTTTAGCTAGGGTCTGATAGAATTCTCATAACATATTAGAAGGATATTGTTTGACATTGCAAACTTCTCTATGATTCAAAAGCGGGATGGGGGCTGATTTGTGCTGCCCATGATGGCGTCTTCTGCTGTGTCTTTTAATGACTGTTGGCACGAGAGGGCATTCTCCAGCCACTCTCCATCCTTTTCCCAGTTTTTACCCATTTAAAAATTTTCCTAATGTCTTCTCTGGAGTGTTGTGTATTTTCTTCCTGCTTTTTAGTGCTTTCCATTTTTTCCTTGTCTTGTCAACCAGTCTATACACCACTTCATGTGAGGGTACACAACGATTTTGGTAGAATTCTGGGTGTCTGTCTCTGATATTTAAGTGTTAGTGAAGTGATTTGTGAAAATCTTAGATAGATCTAAGATAACATAACAAATTTCATCTTGAGGAATGCTATCCTTGATGTGAAAGTGAAGAGAAGTAATGGGGTGGGCTCATGAGGTTAGCAACAAGAAGGAGCTAGCACATAATGGCTTATGTAATGGAACCATTTAATAAAAATAGGTACAACATACTAGTGTAATTAGATGAAAAGGTCATAGAAATCATCAATTTAGATGGAGGTGGTATGAGAAATAGGATTTAAAACTTCCAGGAAACTGTCTCCTGGAGATTATTTGAACCACAAAACGTGTTTTGCATTTCCAGCTTTATTGCCAAAAGCACGAGGCCATCCGTGGCACAGTGCAAGATCTCTGCAGAGCTTCCCTAACTGGAAGTGTTCAGGGGTAGGTCTCACGCATTACTAATGCTAGAACAATAGAGCTGCCGAAACTCCCGCTCCATGAAAGCGACTAACCTGATCCTTGGCTAGAGTTACTGAGTCTGTACAGGATAATTGCATTTGATTTCTTTAAAGAAAAATGTCCAACTTTTCTATTACTGAAGAAAACAAGAAATAACTTCAATTGTGCTTTAATAAGAAATAGCTTCAATTGTGCTTTACCAACTTTTATCTCTAAGACGTATGAATTTTGCCCCATGACAGTTTCCTAGTATGTCTTCCAATGGGACATTCACGGTCTTTTGTTTTCCTGTTTTTCTGTCAAACCCGTCTACATCTAAGGTGAAATTAAGGCTGTTCCCTTTTGAGATGACCCCTGTCTGATCTCTGCAGACCACCTTTGGCTGATGTCCTTACTCTCTATGATAGACTGTCAACAATTGTGTGGTAGGCTCCTTTTTATTTTGAGCTGAAGTTTCGCTCTGTCACCCAAGCTGGAGTGCAGTGGCACAATCTAGGCTCACTGCAACCTTTGCCTCCCGGGTTCAAGCAGTTCTCATGCCTCAGCCTCCCAAGTAGCTGGGACTACAGGTGCGTGCCACCATGCCCGGCTAATTTTTGTATTTGTTTTTTGATAGAGACGGGGTTTCACCATGTTGGCTAGGCTGGTCTCAAAAGCCTGACCTCAAGTGACCTGCCTGCCTTGGCCTCCCAAAGTGCTGGGATTATAGGCGTAAGCCACTGTGCCGGGACGGTAGCCTCCTTCTCACTCATATCTGTGGTGTCCTGACTTCTTCCTTCTCACCAGAAGTGCCTTCCAAAGTGCTTGGCTCATGGTGTGTACACAATGGATGTGTATGAATGAAATAATAAAAGAAAAGAGAACGGCATTGGTTTACTGACAGCTGGCAACAGGAGTATGCATAATGACTGCTCCCTGTGGTGGCAGAAAGTGACCCTGCCTTAAAGAACAGATGAGCACTTCTGACTTCGGGGACCCAGCATTGGGCACAGGCAAAGGCACCTTGAGATGTTAAAATATCCACTGTAGCGACTAACACCATTCAGGAAAATGCTTCTCCACCTCTGTCTTCTGCTCCTCAAAGCAAAAGATAACAGTCCAAATGCCATGAAAGACTGTGGGTCTATTATTGACAAATAAAAACAAGGGATACCCAATTAAATTGAAATTTCAGATCAACGATGAATAATATTTTTAGTATAAGTATGTCCCAAGTATATTATAGTTGATCCGTCAATAGTATTAGCTACTTTTGTTCTTGGAGATGGATACAGCTTAGGAGAAGTAAGAGAAAGAATAAATTAATGAACTTGTCCTGTCTTGCAGATATGGTGGCAGTATATTCTTGCAGTATGAATTATCATTTTCCAATAGTTCCAAACATCCATCTTCTTGCTTCTCTTTGTGTTCCAATTTGTGGTTTGGGAGGGTGCTCATGAACCAGTGAATTAGCTTGGTGTTCTCAATAGGTGAGCTCATGTTACCTGAGAAATATTTTGTAACATTACACAATTGCTATTATTCTTGAATTTGTGTATAGGTGGGTTTGATGTAACATATATAAAGCATGAAAATGATTTTTCACATATCCCTAGAGATTTATGTATTACTTAGATGTTGCTTTAAGAAATGGTGAAAACAGAAATATAAGTAATAGCAATCTATAGGATGAAGTTAAAATATTTTGTAATATTTTCAATTTGAAGATGATATGTAAAATTAATGTGTTGTTTCCAAATTTAAGTACTACTTTAAATCTGTTATTGATAATTCTGCTCACTACTGCCTGAACAAAGTGTTTCTTTGAAATTAAAATTAGTAAAAAAACTGTCTTGTCTCAGGTGGTATTACAGTCAATGCAATGCACTTTATGTGACAGCTTTGATTATAAAGACATGTGAAATGAAATAAATAGGCCAGGTGCGGTGGATCACGCCTGTAATCCCAGCACTTTGAGTGGCCGAGGCAGGTGGATCACCTGAGGTCAGGAGTTCAAGACCAGCCTGGCCAACATGGTGAAACCCCGTCTCTACTAAAAACACAGAAATTAGCCGGGCGTGGTGGCAGGCATCTGTAATCCCAGCGACTTGGGAGGCTGAGGCTGGAGAATCGCTTGAACCTGGGAGGCGGAGGTTGCAGTGAGCTGAGATCACGCCACTGCACTCCGGCCTGGGCAAAAGAGTGAGACTGTCTGAAAAAAAGAAAAAAGAAATGACAGAAATAAATGTTAGGGAATAAACATATAATATTTAATTAATTATGTACATTTTAATTTTATGACTCTACCAAAGATGCTGACCCACCAGCAGAACACTTAAACATATCTAATAATAGGAATTATTACATTTTGCTGGTATTTGGTTGCCTAAAAACCATAGTTTTAGTTATTTTCCTATGTTGCTATTATAAAGGTGTAATTGTCAGATTGAGAGGCAAGACACATATATTATTTAATAGTTTGTTTATCTGAGTTACAGCATATAGATGCATAGGTGAGAGAGTGCTTTAGATCTTGCCCTGGGCCCTACAAGTGTTGGGGACTAGGCTGCATGGAGAGGCCAGCATTGTACCTTCTTTTCCCCCAGAATCTGGTTGACTCCTCTGGACTCTTGGACATAAATGGTTCTTACTTTCCTGTCACTTTCCCTCAGTGAGATATAGAGACACCTGTATTAGTCAGCTCAGGCTTCCATAATAAAGTGCTGCACCCTGAGAGGCTTAAACAACAGAAACCCAGGGTCTCTCAGTTCTCAAGGCCGGTAACCTGAGATCAAGGTGTCAGCCAGCTTGGTTCCTCTCAGGCTGTGAGGGAGAATCTGTTCCAGGCCTCTCCCCCAGCTTCTGGGGGTTGCTGGCAATCTTTGGTGTTCCTTGTTGATGCATCTCTCCAACCCTCTGCCTATCCGTTCATTTGGGATTCTTCCCACCCATGTGCATGGCTCTGTGTCCAAACTTCCCCTTTTTGTAAGAGCACCAGTCATATTGGATTAGGGACTCATCCTAATGACCTCATCTTAACTAACTCCATCTGCAATGACCCTATTTCCAAATAATGTCACATTCTGAGTACTGAAGGTTAGGACTTCAACATACACATTTTTGGGGTGGGAGACACAATTTAACCTATGATATGGTTTGGTTTTGTGTCCCCATCCAAATCTCATCTTGGATTGTAATCTCTGGATGTGTTGTGGGAGGAACCCAGTAGGAGGTAATTGAATCATGGATGTCATTTTCCCCCATGCTGTTCTCGCGATAGTGAGTGAATTCTCACCAGATCTGGTGGCTTTATAATGGGCTTTTCCCCTTTTGCTCAGCGCTTCTCTTTCCTGCTGCCATGTGAAGAAGGATGTGTTTGCTTCCCCTTCCGCCACGATTGTAAGTTTCCTGAGGCCTCCCCAGTCATGCTGAACTGTGAGCCAATTAAACCCTTTTCCTTTATAAATTATCCAGTCTTGAGTATGTCCTTATAGCAGCATGAGAACTGACTAATACAACCCATAGTAACACTCAGTGTTGTCCACTGGCTGAAGGGGGAATTTAAGGGAGGTTCTATGGAATTGAGGTGGAGGGGTTGCCTGGGGTTGAGGGTGGGAATTGAAGTTAGGATGAAGACCAGACATGGATCACCATTCACACATTTTCGATAACTGAAAAAAGCCTGAAGTGTTTATTTTCTTTTTCTTTTTTGGTGGAGGGTAGTGATGGGGATGGAGTCTATCAGTGTGTCCTTGCATCCAGATATTCCTGATATCCAAGGGCAACATCACCCTGCCAAGTCTGAAGTTGGGCACATACTCCACTTGCTACTTTTTGGGCAGAAGCATAATTTTCTCTTCAGAGGAAGAGTTAGAGAAGATAAAGATTTAAGTTATTTTTATAAGGATATGTTAATTTAAAATTTAATTGTGTTTCGCTTAGGTCACATTAACACAAAGCATAAAACTGGCACATTCATTAAACAAGCCACTGTTTCCTAGGTTAAACATGGAATGATGAAATTAAAATGTCTAGGTTTGGAAAGGTATCATAGTCAATGCTATTCATTATGCTTTATTAAATACCAAAAAAATGTACCGGATTTTGAAAAAAAGAAAACCCACAGTTAAAACATTCAGATACTCTGCTTTTGGCAGGTCTGGCTGTGAATGGAAAATGCCCACAATGCAAGGGCAGGCAGAATCAGCTTGGCCCTAGGAGGGCTGTAAATAATTATTTCTGGAATGGAGAAACACGAGCTAAACATAGCAATTGCCTATGTTTACAATACTTCAATTTGCAAATTTCAAGGTATTGTTCTACCCTGTCAGATAAATACATACTACAGTAACACTGTGGTCATTTTGATGCCTTGACCAGGATAGATACCTTCATGGAGGAAAAGAGTTGCCTGTGAGGTTTAGCTTATTAAATCTATTTGAGATTTGTCTCATGACTTCCATCGTTACCTGTGCATGGGTATAATCTCTGAGTACATAGTCAGGACCCTCCTGAGTGAGTTTTGTTTTGTTGTAGGTAGGTCGTGTCAGGAGGTGAGTGGTAAATATCACCCTGTCTTTGACAAAACTCCTACCTATGTACCTGGAAAATATACATCTTTTGGACAGTTGATTGTCCTCCCATAAGAAGATGGACAAGCTTCTTGAGGATGCAGGTCACAACTTGGAATCAGATTTGAATCCAATTTCTTTGGCCACTTTTATTTATGTATTGTTGAGCCTGAAGTTGAGGCATGCATCCATTTCTTACACTGCAGGATAGGAAGTGGGATGTCAAGTGGAGTGGCTGTGATGATGAAGTGAGATCCTGAATTTAAGACAATTCCTGACAGGTGGTAAATGCTTTTAGGGAGACAATTCCCCAAGGTGCCTCATGGTTCTGCATGTCTTATAAGAAGAACAGTAACTACATTTTTTGCTGGACTATCTTTTCAAGAATGTTTGTTTCGTGCACATCCTTGGATGATAGAGATAGTGTATCCTGCTGGGGCAAAGGGTTCGGCAGGTTTGCTTGCAGCCCTTTATGAAGATTTGGATGTTCTAAGCTTGTAGCTCCTCAGTTGTGACACAAACTCACTGTGTATGCAACCTCCACTTGGGCTTCTCCTCCTCACCTCTGCAAGGGTTGAGGGGTAAGGGAAACCAAAGTAAATGCAAACTTCATGCCGCCTGCTGTGCTGTGAGTAATGAAGTTCTTTGTCTCTGACCCAGGAGTCTCCTGTCTTCTACCAGCATCCATGAAATTGTGGCAGACTAACTTGTTAGCTTGCAAATAGGTTATAATTTCAGACCCTTCATAGTTTTTGACAATGCTTAATATATAATCATTTTTTATCATTAAATAACAAGTGTTTTGAAGGCAGGGACCATGCTGCTCATTGTAGTATCTGCAAGCCTTGTATAGAATGGACTCACAGTGCATGCTTATTGAATGAATTAAATTGGACTGGCTAGTTTTAAACTCAGTTTTTTTTTTCTCAGTTAACTCAAACTCAACAACACCTGCATTAGGGCCAGACAGTGAAGAGGAAGAATAGAGGGAGGAAGGCTGACGGGGAGGAAGAGGAAAAATCCAAACACCTTGATTTCTTTTGTCTTGTTGCACTCATGATCCCCTTTACAGATATTTATTTTCAGGAATAACATATCTCTAACCCTATATCCTCTTCATAAATGCATGACAAAATGACAAGGAATGAATGCATACAACACAGAGTGATTATGTACCAGTGTGTGTGGGGACAGGGACATAACTAGCAAAGAAGCCCCAGTACAAGGTCTAATGAGATCCTTCTTCATGCATGGCAAGGAGAATTCTGATTTCATCCTTCCTCCCATGAGCAGGGGATGTGGGGATGCTGGAGGCAGAACGACAGAGAGCTTCTTCAATGGAGAAGTAAACATGGTCAAAGAACTAGCAGCTGACTCCCCAACTCTAGGGAGGGGGCTTCTGCCATTCCACTTGCTGCTCAAGAGTGTGCAGCAATTGGCCAAAAGAGCAAGGAAATTGAGGCCAAGTAGGTGTCTCTAGATAGGACTGCAAGCTTTGTAGAACAAACAGCAACTATGATCATCCTCCCTGCCACAGCTGTAGCTCAGCATGCTTCATGCTGTCCTGCTAGCTATCAGCCACTCAGCCCCAACAGTACTCCTCCCCACCTCATCCTTGGAAGGAGCTCATTTGCACCCCTCGGAGACTAAGGCTCTATGCAACAACCTGGTTGAGTCTGTGGAGCTGTGCCTTTGGGCAGGAGGCAGAGTGTATTGTGTTTCCTTGATCAGCCTGCCTATCATTTATCAAACATTGCTTGAGTGTCTAGGCATTTGTATTAACTTCTTTCTTATTTTCTGTATTCTTGAAGCCCTGGCACCTGCGGTCTCACGGGTCAGGAGGGACTGCCCCTTGGAGGGGAGAGCGTTAGCTAATTCCCAAAGATAACAATCAACTAACTTAGAAGAGCACCTTTCATATGCAAGCCAATCAGTCCAAAGCCCATACCCTGCCAGCCACCTCTGGGCCACTGTTTACCTGCCCTAATCACACCAAGGGCAGATGTTGGACAACCCAGGACAGCTGCCAAACACTCGAGCCTGCAGAAGTTATTCAAGCTAGCTAACCCTAAACCTGCTTAGCTTGCTTATCCTGCTATACTCATTCCTTCCTTGGAATCCCTCATAAAGCCTCTTTTCATGCCTTCCCCTCACTCCCTCAGCCTCCTGACCAACGCTGGTGCTTCCGCATATGACCCTGCATGACATGGCTGCCTCCTCCTCGGGGGAACCGTGAGTCATGAGCTATCTTTGCAATTGTAGTCCTTTCCTGAGCTGTTGGCCTCATAGTCCTTGGATAATCATAAAACCCACATTTTAAAACAGCATTGCCCTCTGCACTGAAAATAAGATGGGCTTGTGTTAGGGCTTAAGGGAGAACTTTTCTTGGTTTTTGTTAAAGAAAATACATGTAAGATTTGTGTAAGAATTCTTTGTTTTGATTTCCAGTTGGAAATTATAGAAATAGAGCAAGACAGAGTTGCAAGAAGTTTTGCCTTATCCATAAAGGAATGGATAGAAAAATTATGAAATTTCCATAGCCTGGAATACACAACTATTAGAGAGACTGAGTCACAGCTATAGGGGTTGATGTGGGGGTGTTTTCCTTTCTCTTTTTGGGAGAGAAAAACAAGATGCAGAGAAGTGTTTGACAGGGGATTCTACTTTTTAAGAAAATAATGACATAAAGGATGTATCTGTGTGGATATGTGTATACGTGTCTGCATAAAACTAGATGAACCTGAGGAGGAACATGGAAGGGTGCAAGCTAAGTTGATTGTATGAGTTAATGTGGGTGGATATTGGGGAGCAGGGAGAATAGAGAGGCCAAGGAAAACTGAGAGAGAAAAGAGAGCACTTAAAATCTCATATCCACACTTAAATGTTTATATTAAATTATTAGTGTTAATATGTATAGATACATTTTAAAGCTCTATAATTCAGTGGTTCTGCTCTTTAGCAGAATTTTACTCTGTGACTCAAGATATGTTAATATCATTCTTGTGTGATTTACTTTTAAAGGGAGATGAAGATAGATTTGCCTGCCATCCATCCCGCCTGTTGAACGCAGGCAAACAGAGTCCTTGGGTTTTAATGTCTTATTGCCAGGCAGACGTGGGCTAGACTTGAATCACCACCTCCCCAGTCAGGTCTCTGATGTGTAAGACAAGCAGCATGGGAAGAACCAGCTGCCCTGCAGAAGAGACGCCTGTCTCTCCAGATAGAATGGAGCGTTTCTGTCCCTCGGGTTCCAGACCACCACAGACTCACCAGCTCCAGCCCCTGCGGTCACTTGGCCAGACAAAAGCAAGTTCTTTTCTCACAGCACAGGGCCTCCTCTTCTGCAAACTTAGCCCCTTCTGTTGGGTGTTACTAAGCCGTGAGTCTAAATATGGCACATGGCCGTTGGATGGAAATCATTTCCAGTAAAAGAGGATGTTTCCTCAGCAGTTTTCAAGCTGGCGCTGACTCAAGCATCCTCGAGGGAGACCATTTAACTGGTCATTAGGGAGACAGCAAAAAGGCATTGAGGAATTCTGTAACAAGATGCGTATCCTGTGTGGAAGGCCCCCTGGGACTCTGACCATTGGCTCTCTGTGCTTGCTGGAGAGGTTTTATTGATGCTGCATAAAAGTATTTTGCAGCAACAAATCTGTTAGTTGTGCATTGGTTTAAAGATGCTGTACTGTACTGGATCCAGCTTTGTGAGGAACAGCACTGAAGGTGAGACGTGGCACTCAGACAGTAATTAAATGTTTAAAGATGATTAATACCCAAGTCAATACATCATCAGAGGTAGAGAAGAGAATTGAGGCCTTGAAAGGAGAGGTGAAAATTTATGCTGAGATTTTTGGGCAAGCTATTTACACTGCCCTGAAGGCAACACATACACTTACTTACAAATTGAAATGTTTGAAAATCAGAATGTAAACACAGTGAGGATTCCTTGACGTAGACTCTATAGTGCAAAAAAGGGTTTACTTGAGGGGTATGTAGGGTCTGTCTGCTATGGAAAAAAAATGATCCTTATGAGAATAAAGTGTCATAAAACTTCAAGGCTAGTACTTGTAGACTGACAAAGATATAGCTACTGAGGATGATAAGACCAATGATCTGAATTCAAATAGGTCCTTCAGGTTCTGGGATCATTCAACACCTATCAGAGCTCTAGCAGCAGGTCCATAAGAGTAGGGGTTCACTTTGCACAATGAAGCATGGATTCATAGGATCTTTGGTGTAGGAACCCATTCCACTAGGGTTCATTCCTGTTCCCAAATATTTTCTTTTTCAACACTGTTGATGTCGATCTTTAGGGAAGCGTTTCAAAGTACATGAATGGCAAGAATGAGAGAATGTATTTTTAAAATGGAAGATATGCTAAAAATGTACTTTTTAAAAGGATCTGAATGAAACTACAGTTACTTAATCAAGAAACAATATGACTAACCACAGCTGTGTAGTTCTTAGAGAGTATTTACGAATGCGTGTCGTCAATGAATGTGTCCTGGGCATGGACCATGGGGTCAGAAACTTTTATTTATGTATTCACTTATTTATTTATCTTCTAAGTCTAGAACTTTCTTTCTTACAAATAGGAATCTGTAAAGTGTAGTAAATCAGGCTTATTTGTTTTAAAGAAGTCATTTGAACTATTTCTCCTTTAAAACAGAAATATTTTTAGGTGCAACCTGTTGCCCTTGGCAATAGAAGTGCTGCTCTGTTAATCTTTGCTCTGATCTCTCTTTTCATGTTGTGATCTTTTAGACTCTGTATTGGTCCTAAAATGATGGGTCTTTATCCTTGGGATAACTCTCAGTGCCTTTCCTATAGGAGGTCAAGGTCAAGGCTCCTTGTAGTGACACAGAGTTGGGGCTTTCTGCATATAGTACTGAAGCCCATAGAGAAGTGGAGGCCCGAGAGAAGATTCACATGGTGGAAGGAAAGGGATGGTGAACCCATACTACTAGAAGATCATTCAGCCCTAGAGACCATGCTCCAAGCTAAGATCATGGCCTTAGTGAGAACCTTCCTTGAAATTTCCATGAAACCATAGCTCAATAGTCTCAGAAGGGCATTAGCTGCGTCCCGTGGGCTAAGGGGGCAGGCTGCTTCTGTGACAAGTGATGGTCCTGAGTATGACACTTGACTCTCCTGGGTGTGACACTCTATGGATCTATATAAAATGATTTCTGTGGATAAGGTAGGAAGACTGGCAGGAGACATGACAAAAGAAGACCTGCCTATGCGTCCATTGGTTGGAGCTTGGTAGGAAGCAGTAGAATATGGAGCAGTGGGATTCTTGCTTTTTTGTTCTAGCTAAAAGCTTACTTTAGGAATGACACTCCTATGAATATGGAACAAAACATGGGAAGTCATGTTAACCAATATGATTCCATTTTCTCATATTTCTTAAGGTAGTAACCATGTGGTGTTTAAAATATCAGGTAGAAAATGATAAGTTTAATTTATTGTCTGAGTGCATAACTTCTTAACGCTTGACTCAAATGCTTTGGGGTAATGAAAGCACAAGACATCATCTATTCCCCCCTCCTCACCTTCTTTTCCTCTTCCTCTTCTCCTTCCTCTCTCTCCTCCTCCTCTTCTTCTTCCTCTTCTTCCTCATCTTACTCTTCCCTTTCCTCTTCTCTTGTTCTTCCTCTCCCTCCCTCCCTCCCTCCCTCCATTGTTCTCTTTCTCCTATCTCCATGAAGGCAGACCAGGAAATGTGCCTGCTGGAATGAGCCTCTAGCCTTAAGCCCCCTACAGTAGTGGACACACTCCACCAACAGAGACTTCTTGAGTGTCTCCATGTGTCATGCACTGGGCCAGCCATGAGGGTTTAGCAGTGGACAAAATGAGCAAGTCCTTGCTTTCATGTGCCCGGAACTCCAGTGAGGGCCAGAATTATAGCTGGGGTTAGGCCCATGGAAGGTGCTTAAGAAACTGGTGGTATAAGTTACCATCAGGGAAATGTTAGAGACAACCTTTTAATTTTTTTTAAAATTAAAGATGGTCTGCTACAGGCTTTCCAGGGATGTCAAAAGTTATTATTTAAAAATTTTACTTTTTGCTTTAGATGCAATTAGAATGCTAATCTGTCTTGTTGCCCAATCCCCACCTGGTGGTTTTTGCTCGTGTTGGAAGGATATGATGGATATTACTAATTTCTTCAGAATGATGTAACTACAGTGTAGAGGTCCAGAGCGCAGATATACAGAGTTCTGCAAAATCTGTCTGCTCCAAAGATAGGCATTTCTTATGATATTTGTCTAAAACACTAGAATTAGTCATGGAGGGAAAACTAGATCTTACCATGAAAATGAACTAACCACATATATCTCATGAATGTACCCAGAGTCCTTACGATGGGTACAGCAGGCACGCTGATAACTTATTTAAATAAAAAGGACAATGAAACATTCTAAAGCATCATGTTATATTTATTAATAAAAAAATAAGTCTGGCCATGTGTGGTGGTTGCAGAAACATCTATAATATATACAGAACACATTCTTTATGCAGAAATTGTAGACCCAATTGAATAAACACACAAGATATTCTTTTTAAAAAGATTATTAACTTTTAATTTTTAAGCAAGGTGTTCTTATATACAGGGGATTCAGTGGAAAAATTATAGCTCTGTGAAGATATTAACTATCTACCAATGAAAAAGTTATTTATAAACTTGTAATAATATGGGTTATTGACTTCATCCCATAAATTCCACTTTAAGATGTTTTAAAATGAGTATTTCTGAGCGAATGTGCCGAGATGGCTCCAATGTGATCTTCTGTGTTGAGTTAGTATGTTGCTCCATCCAAGAGAGCCAGTTAATGGTCTAGCTGTTATCACTTTAATGCATTCAGTCCTGTCTAGCAAAAGGTCTAGGGAGGTATCGAGTGAGTATCACACTTTCAGGCAGAAGGACGCAGACTACCATGGACATCACTTCTCAGATACTGGGGAGAAATATTTTCAAGCCAAAAATGGTTGGATGCATCAGGGTTGTGTTCCAGTTCAGGGACCCTGCTCCCTGTTGCTCTATTTTTCTAGAGAGTTCTTTGAAAAGGTCACTAAAATGTCAGAAGAAAAGCAGATCAAGTTTAAGTGCCAGTTGCTCTGGGGAGTTGCAAACCTGGGTTGGAGACATTGGCTGTTGAGCAGAGGCAAGGTGAGAGGTCGGGACTACGCCTAGTCTTTCTTACTGGGCAAGAAGAGCCTCCAGTCCAGCTAGCTCATTGGCAGACAACTCCAAGAGAGACACTGCTGTCATCCAGTAGGTCATCCTGCCAATCTCTCCATGGTACCCAACGGTGAAAGGTATTGTATGGGGGACTGTACAAAAATTATGTGAATGAGGTTCCCATCTTCTGCAGAAGAAAATGAACCAATGGCAAATTGCATATGCAGATTTAAGATTGTCAGCTGCGAGTGCAGCTAGGTTCAAATGGGTTACCCGTTCAGAAGCACTCCAGGAGAAGTGACTCACCCTCCTCTTGCTATTTTTATATTTTGCAAGTTTTGTGTTTTTCTAAATACAAGGTTTTATTCTTTCTGCTTAGTCCTTGAAAATGACAAGAGATGTGCATTAGCTGGAAGTTACTAACTTAGTAACTTGAGGGTTAATTGATCACAGGATGTGGCATAAATGAGAAAAAGCTTAAAATCTGATGTTCTCCCTCCATATCTATACATGAGATGGGAAATACATTTAGTTTTCTGTAACAAAGGATGATAGGTCCTCCAAACATTTTCTAATTTTTGACTTCCTTTTTGGCCCGTGAGTCATTAAGCAGTATGTTATTAATTTCCAAATATTTGGAGATTTTCTAGATGTCTTAATGCTATTGGTTTCTAATTTAATTTTATTGCCGTCAGAGAATATACTCTGTTCCCAGAAGGTCACTGAGATGTGATTTATGGCTCACGATATGGTTCCCTTGGTGGCTGTTTCACGTGCATTTGAGAGAACATGCATTCTGAAGTTTTGTAGTTACTACAGCTGGACAAGTCAAATTGTTCGACAGTGTTATTTGAAACTTCCCAATTCCCATCTTTTCAAAGTCTAGTTGTTCTATCAGTTAGAGAGGGATATCAAAATCTCCACCTATGGTTGTGGATTTATCTATTTCTTCTTTAAATTTTGTCAGCCTTTGCTTATGAGTCACAGCTCAAAGCCTGGGAAACACTGTTCTGGGAGACCACAGAGGGAGGAATGGCCCTGGCTTTTAGTGGCGTCACGGATGGTACAGTACTTGATCCCAGACAGCAGGGTGAGTAAGATTAGGGGAAATGGAAGGGCAAGGAAGGCCCTGGTGAAGTCAAAGAACGTAATATACAAAGCAAATGAGTTAGAAATGCAGATGGAATGTCCCGGGAGCAAATTATGGAATAGTTGATATCTCTTGGATGGAATAGTTGATATTGATATCTCGTCAATAGTCAATTGACTAGCAATGTTTCCTGACCACACACTGGCTTCCCTACTCCAACTAGATTCAAAAGGCCCTGAATCTCCACGGCATCAGTAATTTGTTATGATTTATTCTCTCATTCATGACTAATTTTGTATTTCCTATTTTGTATTATTTTTCTTACATAGTTCCACAAATTGTGTAAGTTTCAGGCCCCACAAAACCTAGATTCACTCCATCCCTTCTCCTCCACCTACCAGCTATGCAATCTTTGGCAAGTTACTAAGCTCTCTGGCCTAAGTTTCCTCACCTGTACAACAAAGCTAATAATGGTACTGCCTCCATGGGTGGTCCAGAGGGATAATTGAGTTAAGATGTATAAAGCTCTTTACAATAGTGCCTGGTGCACAGTTACACTGACTTAAGTGTTTGTTAACTAAAGATAAAAGGAAAATGGGAATAGCCTTTGTGGTACGCTTTGACAAATGACAAAGATTCTCTCCTTGTTTTTTTTTTTTTTTTTTTTTTTGAGATGGAGTCTTGCTCTGTCGCCCAGGTTAGAGTGCAGTGGTGTGACCTCGGCTCACTGCAACCTCTGCCCCCCAGGTTCAAGTGATTCTCCTGCCTCAGCCTCCCGAGTAACTGGGATTACAGGCACCCGACACTGCACCTGGCTAATTTTTGTATTTTTAGTGGAGATGGGGCTTCACCATCTTGGCCAGGCTGGTCTCTAACTCCTGACCCCGTGATCCACCCACCTTGGCCTCCACAAGTGCTGGGATTACAGGTATGAGCTACTGCACCCAGCCAAGATTCTCTCCTTCTAAAGTCTCTCCCTGATTAGGTCTTGATGTTTGGATTCTCATGCATGGTCCAGTGTTGGCAAGAATCCTGCTAAGTCAGTTGACCCAGAACCCCTCCCCCTCAATATTCGATCACCTTCTATGTCTGATCAGATTCCTCATCCTTCACCATCCCCCATAATGGGTGATCACCCTGGCCTGTCTTCAGCAAGAGTCCTGCTAAGAATTTTTGTAAAGGGTCACTCACTTGTTCTACACAAATTGTGACTTCATTCACCTGAAACAACAGGTAAAAAAGAATTAGTGAAATAGTGTGTTTGATTTGCTGTATTAAGTAAGTACGTTCCCCTTACCTCTGATGTTTCCTCTTATTAATTTTCCATCCACTGGTCCCTACCCTGTTCCTTGGCTGTAAATTTCCACTTGGTCTTGCTGTATTTGGAATTCGTTCCAATCTGTCTCTCCCATTCAAAAATTATATTGCAGTGGCCCCTATACCTATTACAATAGTCTCCCATTGAATAAAGTCTTCCTTCCTGTCTTTAACACATGTCATGAACAATTTTTTCTTTATTACCACTGTGGTTTAAGACTCAGTTTTCTTACCTGGAAAATGGGAATATTGTGACTTCCAAGTAAAATTCCATGCACCTAGTATATTTTGTTGTTTGATTCACCCCCAGGCTACTTCTCATAGCTGTGGAGTTAGCTATTCTCCACCTGTCCTGAGGGGAAAATTTTAATATGAATAAGCATGCTGCAAAATCATCACATTCTGCATTTCAAAGCAAAATCTGAACCTGTGCCTTAACCTTATTGACACAAATAATGGAGAATTTGCTGTATTTTGTTCTTCCTTTCTTAATGAGTATTAACTTGATTTGGAGTACGTTTAAAAAAATTTTGGCTTCGTTGTAAATATTCATATATGCCTATATGTGGGTATAAACAATGTAAAAATACACAAAAAATCCACTTATAATTCGTAAGCTAAGTACATGTACACATAATCTTGATCTTTCTCTGTGCATGCAAATGTGTATATTTTATGGAGTTTTGTCTAATCCAAACTCAAATGATTTCAAAGTGTTGAGAACCGCCTTGGGTGTCATATTTTACTATCCATGAGAATGGCATTCAGTTTTAAAGTAATTTCCAAAGTCGAGTGATAATTCTAGTTAATAAGGTCTTGTCTCCATGTTCCAATGCCATTTATGTTCCATTTTCTGAGAATATCCCCTGTGCCTAGGGTGCCCGAGGTGCGGGAGTGAGGTTTCAGTTGAAATAATGGGCAGGTCATGGTGTGAGACCCTTGAATTTCAGCTATGTCCCAGACGTCATGCATAACACTACTTGGGCCTTTCAGCCCTTAAACTGCTAATGGTTTGTTAATATATCAGAGGTAAAGATGTCAATACATAGAACTGAAGGTTTTTCAAATTTTATTTTAAAGGCAAAGAGCATTAAGGATTTGCCAGCCAAGTTTTAAGTTTCATTACTGATGACAAATTTATTTTGTCACAAAGAAGGTGCAGAGCTAAAAGACTATTAGTCTTTGAATCAGCACACATGAATTTGATGCATGTGGCATTTACATTGGCCTCGGTGCTCTCATCTGAAAAACCACCTCCTTAAACAGCATCATGATACCAGTGAGGGATTTTACAATTTACTCCAGCTGGAGGAAAGCTACTGGCAAAACGTGAGAATAGTTACAGCACTGAAGGTATAGACCTTGATAATTCCTAGAAATGATTTAGAGTCTGCCTTTTACAAGGTAAGCAAAGATGATCCCAATATCTCACATATTTGCTTTATCTGATTCTTGAACAGTAACACCAGGAGGAAGTCTTTATTATCCCCATCTTACAGGTCTTGTATTTGAGGTTCGGAAACATACCAGTATCTAAACTAAAATTCAGGTTCACATCCAGGTCTTTAGACTCTAAATCTGGTGCTCTTGGCACTAAGCTGTCTCAAGTGTTGCGGAATGCCAAAGAAGAGATTTTGATCTCTGCCATTTAGTTTATATCTCCCATCATCTCGCACTGGGGAATTGTAGACATTTGCTGTCTTTCAAGGCTTTGAGAACCTGAATAGCAAATGCAATGCAATTGCCAAGTGATGTGTATCTTCCCTACCTGCAACACATTATGTTTTGATCTTGATGCAATGAATGGTCGTGGACTGTCCCCTGTGTGTGTAATAGAGAATGGATAATGGTTCTAAACAGACATTTAACCTCCTGGACCTGTCCCAGGAGCTCTGTAGGTGGTGTGCTTCTCCAGATGCTCTGATGGAGGGGAATTCTCTTGGCATCCCTTAGGACTTTGCCAGCCATGGCACCAACCAGAGGAGTCACAGAGAGAAGGATATGGTGAGACCCCCAAATGGTGCCTGGGGGCAAAGGAAGATCGATGAACCGAATATTCAAAGTGACTGAAAAGGTCCCAAAACTTTTCAACGGCATTTAAAGCATTTGTGTGTGAGATACCTGAAAGTGTGTATAAGTCATTTTGTTCTATATTCATTTGTGTATATTAGTGTTAATTACTGAACATGAGTTAAGATCTTATAAATACGGACTAGAAAATTCGGTCTTGTTTATGCATCTGCTCTTGACCTTGCTAGCATATAAACGGAAATGCAGAAGGGAAGCTAGCATTTATTGAGCACCTACTATATGAACAGCAGTTTATATATACTTTATCTCATTAAATCCTCATGGCCTTCAACCTAATGAGATAGTTATTTCAAAGACATTTTACAGATGATGTAATTGAGTTCATAGCAGTTAAGAAACATCCCAATGGCTACACAGCTAATGCATGCTGAAGAGATTACATGGCAAAGCTGACTTAAAGGAAAGCCCGTGCGTTATAGTGATTGCATGTCATCTTCCCTACAGTGGCTTTACATGCTCCATGTTTCTCAGACAGGAGGTGGCACTTCTTAACAGATGTTCATCCTTAGTCAACAGTTTGAGAAAAATGACAATTCAGGAAAAGGTGAATGGCACTTCAGGGAAAGGTTTGCATATAGACCAAAACATGGTCATATCTTAAAATAGAATTGCCAAATGTGTAGGGCAGTGACTTCTGTGAACATCAGTTCAGAGAGCTACATCATGGTTCATTTGGTTCCACGGTTGTATCTCCTCTGTGGTCTCCCGAAACAGTGTTTCCCAAATTTGAGCTATGACTTGTCAGCAAAAGCTGACAAAATTAAAGGAAAAAATAGATAAATTCACAACCATAGGTGGAGATTTTGATATCCCTCTCTCAGTAACTAATAAAACAGCTAGACTTTGAAAAGATTGGCATTGGGAAGTTTCAGATAACATTGTCAAATCATTCTTTCTTTCAGAGAGGGTTTCTGTACCTCTAAATGGTTCCACACATTCCCCCAAATACAAAATAAGTAGTTTGCTAGTTTGCTGTACCTCCCAGTAAGTTCATTTTCACTCCTCCCTATTTTTAAAAAATAACATTTTATGAGAAAGTTTAGTATAAAATTCTCCTTAAGCCAGTTCATTTTACATTGGGTGACATTTTGGAATTTCCAGATAAAGAATCAATGATTTTTACAGTAGGATTCTCATTTTAAGCAGTCATCATCCATTTTTCTTACTTTAAAAGTTTGTTAATGGAGAGTGTTGACCAATTCGTTGAAAGGTTGATAAGATATGGGGAAAGAAGAGGGATTTGTGGGAAAATGGAGGGTGTGTATTATTGGTGTTTTTCACTTGGAGAAAAGTTCTGACATTAAAAAAAAAAGGCTTGGGGCCGGGCGCGGTGGCTCACGCCTGTAATCCCAGCACTTTGGGAGGCCGAGGCGGGTGGATCATGAGGTCAGGAGATCGAGACCTTCCTGGCTAACAAGGTGAAACCCCGTCTCTACTAAAAATACAAAAAAAAATTAGCCGGGCGCGGTGGCGGGCGCCTGTAGTCCCAGCTACTGGGGAGGCTGAGGCAGGAGAATGGCGTGAACCCGGGAAGCGGAGCTTGCAGTGAGCCGAGATTGCGCCACTGCAGTCCGCAGTCCGGCCTGGGCGACAGAGCGAGACTCCGTCTCAAAAAAAAAAAAAAAAAAAAAAGGCTTGGTCGGTAAGTGCATTTTTGTGGTATCATTTAAGGTTGGATGAAAAATGAGGTTAGGATATAAGAACTTCAGAAGGGTGCATGTGGAGTAGATATAGGCTACACCCTGTGGTTTGCACCCCAATAGTCTTAAAATTTTTCTTATACTTCTTCCCCACAATGATTAAAGTAAAAGAGTCTTTCCAACTTAAGATATTATAACTATGAAATAAAGTCAGTAATTCATTTTATCTTTACCTAATATTTACTCTTTTAAAAATTAGCGACCAATGATTCTTCTGTCATAGTTTTATTCAAATGTATTTAAGAAACTAAGGTTTAAACAACAGCCAAACATATGGAACTTGCCTTTAGGCAATTTCTTAGTCTGTTTTAATGAAAAATAAAACATAAAAAATTTACCTTCCATGAGTTTCTAGTGCCAGACAGCCACAGGGCACTTCTGAGTGCTTGACCCGTTCTGGAAATGGTATGGATTGAGCAGAGCAGAGAGTCTCAAGCTTCCTGTTCTTACTTCATTTGGTTCATCTTTTATCAAACCTTCATTGTGGCTGTTCACTAGGTTAAAAATGATCTACTCTAGAGCTATTTCCTTGCCACAATGAAATCTCTAGGGGGAACAAGAGTCTTTGTAAAGGGTCACTCACTTGTTCTACACACATTGTGACTTTATTCACCTGAAGCAACAGGTAAAAAAGAATTAGTGAAATAATGTGTTTGATTTGCTGTGTCATGTGGGGGCTGCTGTATAAAAATAGACCACTTCTTCCTGGCTGTTATTGTGTTGAAAGTGTTTTTCAAAGACGTGGACTCTGTTTGCGTGTTTGAGGGCATTTACCATATGCATGCTGAGGGGATCGTGCTCTCCATTTTCAAGAACATACACTTAATTTGTTGCAAGGAAACTGACATTTCTTTCAAAATATTTAAAATATAAATAATCATCAGGCACTGGGAAATTCATTGCCTTTGAAGTAGGAAATTAGGAACGTGTGTTTAGTTCCAAGTTACTCACACAAAACATGGAAAAGACAAGGACGTATAGCACATCTTCTGGTGAACTTTTCTGTGTTCTCTGGAGGTAAGGAAACATCCTCCAGAAGTCTTGCAGCAGGTGACACACATTCATTTATTCTTTCCACATACTGTTATCACATACCTGTTATTCATCAGAGACTCGTTTAGGCTTTTTTTTTTTTCTTTTTAAATTATACTTTAAGTTCCAGGGTACATGTGCAGAACGTGCAGGTTTGTTACATAGGTATACACGTGCCATGGTGGGTTTGCTGTACATCAACCCGTCATCTACATTAGGTATTTCTCCTAATGCTATCCCTCCCCTAACCCCCCACCCGCTGACAGGCCCTGGTATGTGATGCTCCCCTCCCTGTGTCCATGTGTTCTCATTGTTCAACTCCCACTTATGAGTGAGAACCTGCGGTGTTTGGTTTTCTGTTCTTGGGTTAGTTTGCTGAGAATCATGGTTTCCAGCTTCATCCATGTCCCTGCAAAGGACATCCCTTTTTTATGGCTGCATAGTATTCCATGGTGTATATGTGCCACATTATCTTTATCCAATCTATAGAGTGGTAGACCAGATGGACAAGCATGTCTGTCTTCTGCTTCACTGGGTGACATTCTCATAGCAGGCGTCAGATGTGCTTGAGTACCATGCAGAGATTTACAGTGAGGAGACAATGGCAATGTGGGGAGGGGGTGTGCTCTTGAGTCTGTGGAAAGGCCTTTGAGGAGAAGGTATTGAAGCTAATCTCTAAGTAGGAATGTGAAATATATTAAGTTGGTGCAAAAGTAATTGCAGTTTTTGCCATTGAAAGTCATGGCAAAAACTGCAATTACTTTTGCACCAACCTAATAGCAAATACAAATATAGGACAACCAGTTAAATTTGAATTTCAGAGAAACAACAAACAGAATTTTAGTATAAGTATGTTCTATGCAATATATAATATGTATGTATGTTTATACGTGTGTGTGCACATGTATGTGTGTATAGTTTGTGTGTGTGTATAAATACATATTTAGAGATGGTCTCACTCTGCCACCCAGGCTGGAGTGCAATGGCATGATCATAGCTCACTGCAGCCTCAGCCTCCAGTGATCCTCTCGTCTCAGCCTCCTGAGTAGTTGGGACTACAGGCATGTGCCACTATGCCCAACTAATTTTGTTTTCAGAGATGGGATCTCACTGTGTTGCCCTGGTCTTGGCCTGGTCTTGAACTCCTGGCTTCAAGCAATCCTCCTGCCTCAGCCTCCTAAAGTGTTGGGATTACAAGCGTGAGCCACCGTGCCCAAGCTCTTCTATGCAATGTTTGATCCTGCATTTTATCTGGCAACTCTAAACCTGAGGGACTCCAGAGGAGTCATTCCTTGAGGACTAGGGGCAGGATTTTGACACTGCAGGAAAAGGGGAAGAGCCTGTGCAGAGGTCCCTGGAGGTAAGATCAGGAGAGGAACTTTGATGGAGAGGCAGTGTTCCTGGAGGGCAGGAGCAATGGCACTGAGGACAGACTGCCCCAACTTAAATTCTATCCCCATGGCTTACTCCCCATCTGGCCCTTCAGTTGAGTCACAGAACTTCTCTATAGAGTTTCTGCATTAGAAAAATAGGAATGATAACAGTACCTGTCTCATAGGATCAATTTGTTGATTAAAATAGCTAATACTTATAAACAGCATAAACCATTTAAGTGTTTGCTATTATTATAATTTTTTTCAGTTACACGGGCAACTCACCATGAAATATTTCCATCACACACCAGTTTAAATTGATTCACACACAGCAAACATACTCTTTGCTTCCAGAGAGAGGGAGGGAGGGGGGGAGAGAGAGAGAGAGAGCGAGCGAGAGAGAGAAATATCTGATGATGTTAAACTTATCTGTTCCTTTCATAAAATAAAATGTGTACCTCCCAAACATCAATTACTACCTGAAGCCAGACCCAGGGTGCCATGCTTAGTATCTATTTTAGCAGGACTGTCTTTGAAGTCATTCTTAACTTACTGCCAGATCTCCTGGCATGTCTTAGGAGCTCCAGAACAGACCACTTAACAAGGGAACCTGATAAAACATCTTGATCTACAACTGGTCCTAATATTTTTTAGCCATTTCCAATGCAGAGGTTTCATAGAATTTTTTTTTTTACCACTGTATGAAGCAATTCTTCCTTCGTGCACAAAATAAAAATGTTTCGTGATGTTGAAAAACCCTTATAACAAGGGTTTTTCAAATGGTGACCCAAATGTCCTTGATTCTTACTTGTGAGCTTAACTCAGTGCTTCCTCCTGGACTTCAGCATGCCAAGGCCAGGCCGAACCTCCCTGCTGTGGCATGATCACCATGCACAGGCAGCTGCAAAGGTGGGAAATGGGTGTTGGGGAGTCCAAGCTCCACAGAAGTCATAGTGGGTTTTGGCTTTCACTTATCTATCTGGGTCAAGCAAACCAACTCCTAATGACAGCAGCCACCAAGATGCAGGAGTGATAGAGCCTGGGCTCTTGATTTTTCACCAGCTTGCTGGAACCACCCACCCTACTGTATTGCTCTATGCCTCAGGTGTCTCAGCCTGCACATGGAGGTAAGAAGGGTGACTTGATTGTAGAGTTGCTGTGAGGCTCAGATAAGTGGATGCATGTAAAACAGCCCTGAGAAATGTGCCTGTCACATAGTAAATCTTATATAGCAAATACAAATGTGAATAATATCACCATATGATATAAAGATTATTATTATTTCATTGACATTGCATCGATGTAGTCCCACAGAGTTCCCGGATGCTGCCCAGAGGTGATGTGGGAAAAAAAAACAAACAAACTGTTATAGCATGCTTATAGCCAATGGCTAAATGCACCTTAACAGAGTGAGATCGTGTCTCAAAAACAAAACAAAACAAAACCAAAATGCATTTAAGTACTAGTTATATTATTACTATTATTATTGTTTGATTGTTTTTGCATGGAAGAGCTAATGATCAAGACTAGTATTTAACTAGCAGATTTGACTTTAGTTTCCAAACGATTGCAGGTCCTTTTAGAACAGTTCCCATTGCTCCACACAACTTTGAAAAATGTTTACTTGCCCGTGGACGCAGGAGCCCATCTTTTGAATTCATGCCTTTTTTGGCACCAAGGCTGGCAGATGAGTTGAACGATCCAATGGAGCATTATTATCAGGAGCCAAAAGGAACGAGTAACTAGAAAATACCTGAACTGATTTTAGAACACATTGCAAAATTGTATCTAAGAGAGATATTAAATAACATCTTGAGCAATGGCTACAATTTTGGAATTTACATTCCTAGGACTGCCTTGAAGGGAGAAAAATTATTTGAATTCTACATTTGGTGTTTTTTACAGCTTTGCTACTCAGAGTGGGTGCCATGGACCAACTACATCCCAATTACAGGGGCATTCCCTGGAAGCTTCTTAGAAATCCAGAATCTCAGACCTACTGCATCAGAGTTTGCAGTTAAGCAAGATCCCTGGGTGATCTGCATGCACTTTAAGGTTTGAAGGACACTGTTGTACAGTCTCTTTACATTAGTGGCACACCATAGTAAGTCCCTGGTCTTACCTGTAAATGTTTGAGGTCATTACACTCATTGCAATCTGATGTAATTCTCAACTGAACATGCTAATGACAATGTATTCTTTGGCACAGACCATCAGCCCAGGTAGATGGAATTTAAACCAGGTCTTCCAGTATTTATCTTATATAACTTGTAACACCAAGTAAAGCTGACCACAGAGGTTACCACTTGACCACTATGGGAAGCCACTCTTGGAATGTCCTAGTTAAGGCAAATACTTAGTATTGATAACAGCCTTTGGGGTTTGTTGATGCCTGCTTGGGAGTCATAAACACTCTGCTGGCTTGTGTCAAACCTCAAATAAATGAGATCATCACTACTTAAGTATTGCCACTTCTGTGGACAGTTTTTAGTTTAATGTATCATGCATGCTAAGTAATTTGACCAGAGAAAGGAAGAAAGGTCTCAGCTCATCTACCCAAAAATAATATCAGTGAAAGTATTTCTTGTTCCACAGGAGGATGGAGCATGTGTCAGTGTTGGTATTAACCAATCGAGGCACGAGCCATGCTTTACTCAGTGGCACTGCCACGAAGTATTTGGAGATCTGCCTCCACCCACAAACTACTTAATGGGAAAAAAGTCATTTGCTGCCAACCCACCGTCTGATTCTGAGTTTTTATGACTATACTTTTCTGTCCAGTAATCTGGATCTAAATGTGGCCCCCAGTTCCTTCTTCTGCTTTTTTGCTTCTCCCGACCAAAGCACATGTGAGGTTAGACCTTCATACTCTTGAAACCAGTGTGCCCATTTTGATTAAACAGTCTACCCTCTGCAGATGATGCTTTTTGGTTCTCAGTAGATGTCTGAGCTCATTCTCTGAGGATTGGAATGGCTTTTTGCCACCCTGGGAGTGAATTTTTGCCTTTCTTGCTGATATTTTAAGTAGACCGCTGGGTGTGGACTGCTATTTCATTTCCCAACATGCTCGGTGAAATTACACTAAAATATTACAAACTCTGTTTGTGGAAAGGGTGAGGGTTTTGGCTTTAGAGCCTAAACCTCTCCAGAGGACAGTGTGAGACAGAGCAGAGAACAAAAGCACTGGCCCGATGGCGGGATTGTGGGTGAGTCCTTGGAGGTCTGGTTAGCCTGGTCAGTTCCTGTCAGTGCCTGGAGAGCTCCATGCATTTCCAGGACTCAGTCCCCCTGCTGAGGAAGTCCATGCCATGTGGACAGAGTTTCCCAGAAAGAAATGGCAGGAGATATCAGGAGAGGTTGACTTTTATTTCGTAGTAATGCTTTGGCAATTGGGTTCACTTTGACTCTTTCTCTTTCTGCCACCATGATGTTAAGTTGTAGCTGAATTTTACAATGGTTTATTCTTATCTTTTTTTCCCAAGTCTGATCCATGGCTGCAAAAAGAATGTGACCCCAGATGTCCTTATGAGCATAGCTAACATAGATGAGGAGCCCAGCTTATCTTCTTTAGAGTTTACCAACCCAGGGCCTCGGAACTCAAAGTCCAGGTGGCAGAATAAGATAATGTGTTCTCTTCTAACAACTTGTTCCCATAATATTTGAATCCATTACGGTGGTATTTTCTGAGCAAGGAAGGGAAAATGAAAGTTGTGATGTAACAGTAATGACATCTATAATTATTGAAAAATATATTTCTGGAAAGAGTTGCAAAGTTGCATTTTTTTGCCTTTCCCATTGCTTCTAGCCCAGGATACTGTCGCTCCAGAACTGCATTTGAGGCAAGCTTGGTTCCACCATGGAAGGGAGAGTCAGGTGGTGAAATTCCACCTAGTCTGTGGTCCTAAATGAGGGGGTGGGGGATTTTGGGGGAGAACAGAAATTACTGTGCCAGCAAAGGGAGATTAGAAAACATCTGTAGGTGTGAATGCAGATGTCGAGGGAAAAATGATTTGGTTCCCCATTAGAAGGGTAACTGGCTAAAATGCAAACTCGAACTATACTGAGATGCTGTTTCTCAACTATGGGATTGGTAAACATGAAAAAGTTTGACAACACATTCTATGGTAAGGCTGGAGTAAGTGTCACTTTGTGCATTGCTAGTGGGAGTACAACATGACACAGCTCTGTAGAGGGAAATTTGGCACTATTTAGAGTACTCGAGGATTTACCCTTTGAACCAGCAGTACCATTTCAGGAAGACAATCCCAAAGATACTGGCAAAATATAAAATGATATTTGCACTAGATTATTTATTGAAGCATGGTTTATAAACAGAAAAGTCTAGAAACAACCCATATGTCCATCAGCTGTTGGTTGATTGGTTAAATTAATTGTGGTACATCCATACAGAAGCAGCTGTGTAAAAAAATGAGGAAGATTTGTTTTCATGAAGTAATCTTCTAGGTATATTTTAAGGTGAAGAAGCATGTGTATATTAGTCCATTCTCATGCTGCTGTAAGGACATACCCGAGACTGGGTAAGTTATAGAGGAAAGAGGTTTAATTGATGCACAGTTCCACATGGCTGGGGAGGCCTCAGGAAACTTAGAATCATTGCAGAAGGCACCGCTTCACAGGGCAGCAGGAGAGAGAATAAGTGCCCAGTGAAGGGGGGAGCGTCTTATAAAACCATCATATCTCATGAGAATTTACTATCATGAGAACAACATGGGGGAGCCACCCCCATGATTCAGTTACCTCCCACTGAGTCCCTCTTACAACACATGGGGATTATGGGGTTACAATTCAAGATGAGATTTGGGTAGGGACACAGCCAAACCATATAAATGTGTTTAGCATTCTGTGTAAGAAACGAGTAATACCCATAGATAGTCACACATGTCTAGATTTTTTCAAAGAACCAGTAGAATGATAAATAAACTATTTTTAAATGTTGGGACAAGGTTAGACACTAGACCTTTCTGAATAGGTCTTGCTATATAGATCTGACTTTGGAACCAGGTGAATGTTTTATGGAACTAAACATTATGCATCAAAATGAAATTTTAAAACTGCAGAGACAGCACAGAAATTTCTGTATGACATCACAGAAATTAATTGTATATTCCATGTGGGACATACCTAAGGAGAGAACATAAAGAAAAATCTTAAACTGCATTCTATAATAATTCTATAATAATATCAGTATTGTTACTTCAAACAATTATACAGATATACATATAAATGTATTGTAGGACAAGGAAATAAGTAATTTTGTTAATGACATTAGAAAATCAGATTTGCATCCTGGAGATACAAAATAAAATCAACTAATCAAGTGGAAATCCTATACTTTTTCATTTAAGTTCGAAATATGATATGAACCCATGATTTATTTTTCTCTTTCTACAAAAACATGTATTTTCTAGTTTCCTCAAACTGGAAACATCCCGCTATCTATCAATAGGTAAATGGAGAAACAAGGCGATATAGCCACACATTGAAATCCTGCTCAGTAACGAGAGGAATGAACTGGCAAGCCACACAGTGATGCAGATGGATCTCAAAAACATACTGGGAGAAAGAAGTTGGGGACAAAAGACCACGTCGTAAATGACTCCATCACAGGAGTTCTGGAAGAGGAAGAGGCAAAACTATGATAGAAAGTGGATGAGGGTTGCTGGGGGTGGGAGATGAGAAGGATTGAATGTAAGGAGGCCCAGGGGGAGTTTCTGGGGTAATGGAAATGTTCTATATCTTAATAAGAGTGTAGGTTTCATGGGCGTACATATTTTTCAAAACTCATCAAACTTTATGCTTATACAAGTAGGTGAATACATTCTAATGTTTGATTGCAGGATAGGGTGACTATAGTTAATAATAATGTTTGCATATTTCCAAATAGCTAGGAGAGAGGACTTGACATGTTTCCAAAACAGAGAAATGATAAATGGTTGAGGTGATGGGTACCCTAAGTACCCTGACTTGATTGCTACACATTCTATACATGTAACAAAATGTCACCCTATTCCATAGATTTGTGCAAATATTAGGTATTGATAAAAATATTTTTTAAAACTATATGTTAAAATGTGTGGTGTGTAAATTATACCTTAAAACATTTTACTTAAAGAGAAGAAAAGACAACCTGATGGACATTGGCTTGGGCCAGGAGCTTTATACAGCAATCTTGAGCTCCACATCCAAGAAGAGAATTTCTCCAGCACACAGTGGGCAAGTGAGCAAGGAGTCGGGCCAAGAGCAGTATTCACACCCTGTCTGCCATCAAAGGTCAGGTCTGGTGAGGACTTCAGCTGCTTAAGAATGAGCAATTAGGAAAAAAGCCACCCAAGGCAACAAAGGTGCCATTAAAAAAATATGCAGAAATAAGGGAAATGGAATGTCGTATTAGAAACATACCTCTGGAAAAGGTTTCCTACTGGAATTTTTTTAAATGTGGGAAAACTTTCTGCTTACCGTAACAAGTGGTGGAGAGACAAGGGCCCCGTCAAACAGGATCAGGGCGCCTTACAGGAAGAACCCATGGTTGTTCCATTTTGCAGGATGAGGCACATACCTGGGCCCATCCGAGTAGGATTGCAAAGAGCTTTGATGACAAATGAAGGACTGTAGATTTTTATCTTGCAATAACTCGATTTTTTTCTTCTTTTTAAAAAAAAAAAAAAAACTCAGGAGAATAGAGTGATCCAGCTTTTTGGCTTTCTCTGTTTTTAATTGAGGAAGATTACCCTGGATGTAGTAGGAAGAATGATGTCGTTGAGGGACACATGGAAGCAGGGCTGTTGGCAGTCATCTGGGGAAAGATAATTTGGGTCTGAGCTGCGACAGTGGTTGTGAAGCTAGAACAAGCTGGACTTGAGGGACATTTCCGAGGTGGCAATGAAAGAAACGATCTGCCAACGCTTATACGTATGGGAATAGATATAATGGGACATGAGAGAGCTAGGGAGGATCAGCAAGAGGCAGGTAAAGAAATGATAGAAATTAAGGTTTCTGGCATTGGCGCTCTTGGTAAGTGGTGACTCCATTAACAGAGTCTAGAAATACACAGGAGACACAAAATGGAAAGGAAAAATAACATGTCCTGGTTTAGAAACTTGAGTTTGATTTGTTTGTAGGATACCCAGGGATTATAGGCTAGTTGTATTATATTAGGCTTTTAGTAATATTAAGGGAGATACGATTAGACTCAAGTAGATCCAAGTCTATTATGATAAGCTGTTTCATAATAGACTTGTAGTGTTTGCCAAAAATTCATCTTACTCTTTGGCATTTTATGGATCATCTTGGTGTAACACCGCTCCAGAAAGAGACTTAGCTTTTACATTTCTTAAATCTTTGGGCTTAAAATCTCATATTCAGCTTCATGATTCAGTCACTCATAGAAAGTGTTGCGTGCTTACTATATGCAAGACGCTATGTTCAGTGCTGTAAGAAACATAAATATAAGAACCATGTCTAGGTGTAGAAATTATTTATAGCAAGGCACACCCACAGAGGACACTGCTTGGAAAAGGCGATATGAGTTATGTGTCAAGTGTGGAGACCAACAAGCAAGCTAGGGGTTGGGTTTATACTTTGCACTGATTTTGAAGATGCCCTATGGAAACATGCCTAGGTTAAATGCTCATCTACATACAAGAGCAGATTCTGCAACAAGGGTGGAGCATGGTGAGAGCAACTCTGTAGAGTGCCAGGGTTGTTTGTTGAAGAGTTAATTACCTAGACCCATAACTGAATGCGCCTCCTCTCTCTGCCTGTCTGCTGGCTTCATTCCATTGCTTTGCAAGCAACTTGTACTTGAGATCGGCACGGTAGAAACTTGTAGATATGGTAATTAAGTGACTACTCAGGGAATTTAGGCTTTCTGATATAGGACGCCTCTCTTAATTGGGAGGTCCTTATTCGGGAAATCCACTTTTTCAGGATGTGATCAGATAACTGATTTAGCCCTAATGATAGTTAATGGCAGTGGCTGGAATTTAATGGGGTTGATAATTTCATGTAATTGGGGGGTCTTCAAATGAGGGAATGCTCCTGAGTGGCACTGCATTAGGGCTGCTGTCTGAGTCAAACAGGTGCTTCCTGTCTGTGTTTCCCTTCTGCAGCTCTGTTAAGGAGGAGATTCGAGAACTTCTAGGAATATTGCAGAGCTTTTGGGTGTGTTTCCACTTCACTGTATGGCTCTCTTTCTGCGAGGATGCACCAAACCAGGTGATGTTTCTTAGAGGGCGTGCCAACCTGGTTTAGTTTCAGACAATGTTTTAGTTTAAATTTATTTTTTTCTTTTAAATTTAATAACCCTTAACCAATCTAGGTGACTATTTCAATGGATCTAGCATAGAACTTGGCAGGTGATAAGTGTAGAATGAACTAATTTTAATTGTAACTGCCATGTCTACATTAGAACGTTGTGATCCAAGGTGCCGCTTTTGTAATTATCATGATGATATTAAGCTATAAAAATCAAACCGTCTGAACTGCTTTGTTTTCCCCCAAACCAATTAGTTCTCCAACTCCCTGGATGCAAACTGAGTATCCTACCATTCAATTCAATTCTGACACTAACTACCTGGATCTGAGGAAGATCCCACAGGCAAAGGGGTGAGTCCTACAAGACTTCCCCCATTTCAGACACTAGTTGCAAGTCCCAGATTTCCAACTGTGCTTTTGATCAATCAGCTGCAAGTTGAAGATTCACACAGCCTCCTTCTCAAGTTTGATAACTTCTAGAATGGCTCACAGAACTCAGGGGAACACTGCATTTATGGTTACAGGTTTAAGATAAAGGATACAGCTCAGGATCAGTCAATGCAAGAGATACATTGGACAAAGTACAGAGGAGAAGGGTGCAGATCTCCCATGCCCATGCTGGGTGCACCATCCTCCCAGCACCTTCATGTGAATACAAGCTGGAAGTTATCTGAAATCTGTAGATTACAGGAGTTTCATGGAAATTTTATTACTTGGAAAGGATTGATTGAATCATGGCCCATTGATGATTAACTTTATCTCTGATCTCTCTGGAGATAGGGGATTGGGGCGCCGTACAACCTTTCAACCTTTTAATCATGCCTTGGTCTTTCTGTCCCTCTATCCTGAAGTTATCTAGGAGCCACCAGCCACCAACCACCAGTCCTCTTGTTAGCATTCAAAAGGACACTCTTATCACTCTGGGGGTTCCAAGGGTCTTAGAAATTCTTATGTCAGGAACTGGGTACTGAGATGAAATATTCTAACAAAAGATGTTCCTGTCACCCTATTCAGGAAATTATAGGGTTTTAGGAGTTACTATGTATTGAAGGTTTGTGTTCCCTCCCCAAAATCTTCTATTGAAATCTTAACTCCTGATGTGATTGTATTAGGAGGTTGGGCCTTTGGAAGGTAATTAGGTCAAGGGGATAGAATCCTCAGGAATGGGATTAGTGTTCTTATATGAAGAGGGCTTGCTGAGTCTCTCTCTGCCATGTGAAGATACAGCAAGAAGAGAGTCATCTGCAAATCAGCAAGAGGGCCCTCACTAGACACCAGATCAGCTGGCACCTTGGTCTTGGACTTCCTAGCCTTTACAATGGTGAAAAGTAAATGTTTGTTGTTTACGCTACCCAGATTATGGTAATTTGTTAGAGCAGCCTGCACAAAGACAGGAGCTCTGTGCTAGGAACCAGGGATGAAGACCAGATAGATATTTTTTTATTATATCACAATATCACAAATAAGTATATAATTAATTATACATGGGTACGAATATTTGCTTTGGGAAATGCTATCACATATGAAAAAGACTTTTCCATGTGTATAGAGGAGACAAGAAGTGATGACAGCATCAGACATTGACTGGGCCCTAATGATGTACCAGGCACCCTACAAAGCACTTAGCATGCACAATTTGCTGGGCAGGACATGCCTTAGATAGGGCTTGGTGAAATCTCTGAAATAATGCTGCTAATGTTTAATGGATTGCTTATTTTCTTTTCCCTATGAAGAACTGTAAAACTCTAGCTAAAAAACAAAGCCACTACATCACATCAGGTCTCTGTGATTCTATCTCAGGTCCTATGAGCTTTCCTCTTCACCCAGAATCATCACACTCTTTGTGAAACCAGCTCCTTATAGGGGCTATTAAACACCGCCAGACTGTTGATTCAGACTGCGCTGGAAGAATCCTACTGGCCCTCTGAGTCAACAAAGCTCAGTAATTATGTCTGTCGACATGTCAATATTTTACATGAATGAAACATCTATGGCTGGACTGTGGACTACAGTTAGTTGGTGTTAATGCATTTTTACAGATTAAAGACCCAGATGGAACCCTGAATGATGCTAATGTCACTGCAAATAATGCTTTGCATTGCTACTTGTCATCATGTGGTTTTTGGAGTTGCCTACTTCATGATGTCATAAAACCAGAGATGAGCAAGACGGACTTGATAAGTTAGATTTTTTTCTGGGTGTTAGTGGTAGCAATAGTATCTTTTCCTTTGCTTTATCTGCATTTTAGAGTGTTTCTGCATTCTAGTTATTGATTAATATGGGTGCCTGCTATTACTGACTCTCTGATGATGATGATGATGATAATTATGGTCATGATGACTTATTGCATCATCTGAAGGGGGATAACAACATTTGGATTAACCATGGTATCTGCCCTTGAACTTAAAATTTATTAAGGGAGGCAAGACAAATGCACCAATCAGCACAGAGACTGGGAGACTGGTGACCTGCAGGTGGGGGAGACTTTTACCTGAAAAGTGGCATGACTTGTGAGGTGCTTGTAACTACCCCCTTGGTCCCACACATCTCACCCTGTTTAGTTCACATGGCTCTGCAATAATTAGTAATCTGACATCTGGCATTAACACTTTAGGTTAAAAATGTTCTTTTTAAATTAACAAGATAATCTTATAATTGGTTCCCCCAGGATGGATCACAGACCAGGCACATTTTAATGATAAGGCAAGGTTCAACAAAAAGTTGTTTTTTGTTTTTTTGTGTTGTTTTGTTTTGTTTTGTTTTGAGACGGAGTTTCGCTTCATCCCCAGGCTGGAGTGCAGTGGCGTGATCTCAGCTCACTGCAAGCTCCGCCTCCCAGATTCACGCCGCTCTCCAGCCTTAGCCTCCCAAGTAGCTGGGACTACAGGTACCCACCACCACGCCCAGCTAATTTTTTCTATTTTTAGTAGAGACGGGGTTTCACCGTGTTAGCCAGGATGGTCTCGATCTCCTGACCTCGTGATCTGCCCACCTTGGCCTACCAAAGTGCTGGGATTAGAGGCGTGAACCACTGCACCCGGCCAACAAAAAGTTTTTATAGTGAGGGTCAGTGTAAACAGGTAGTGTGTATGGGAATTCCCTGGAACCTGGAAATAGGAGGAAGGGAAAACAATAGAAGGGATGCAGGATTTAGTCCATGGATGATATTTGACACCCCTGGGTGATTTCTGATCAATAAGAATTGAAGAACATTAAGGATTTCATGTGGATTCTGCCACTTGGTCCTCATGACAGTTTAATGAGCTGGGTACTATTCTTATTCACTTTTTATATATGAAGAGATTGAGGCATAGAAAGGCTACGTGTGGGAATCAGGGCTCATATCTATAACCACTGCACTGCCCTGATGCTTCAATGTGAAAATGTGGAATATTTAAGAGATGGGAACTCAGGAGAAGCTGTTACAGACACAGGAGGGTGAAAATGGGAAAAGGCGACTTTCATTTAGATGAAGCTCATAATGAAGGATGTCAAGAAAGGAATTAGAGAAAACATCAGCTAAAGAGAAGGTGTATGGCTGGAAATGCCACACAGCAGGGATGAGATCCTCAGAGCAAGGGATGGGTTTGTGCTTGAACATACCTGAGAGGAGAAGGGAGTGGTCATGGGGAAGGGCCCAGAGGGAAAGAGATGGGATGAAAAGCCTTCATTCAGATGGAGAGAAAGAGCCATGATTCTGTCCAGAAGTGAGGGAAGCCTCTGTTAGAACACCCACGGTGAGAGACTGGGCATGAGAAGACCTGCTGCTCATGAAGCTCTGGGCCTTGGGTACAATTCTGGGATACACCATAGACCCGTGCATGACCTTACAAGTCATCGCACCATTGGGCACTCACCTGGACAGGGAGAAATTGAACCACAGAGCTCCAAGATCCCTTCCTGTGATAACTTTCTATGCCTACTGTAAAATTGTATTATTTAACACTTTTTTTGTCACTTACATTTTGTAGTTTCCCCTTAATTTCTGTTGACTTTATGGAAACAGCCTACATACATGTCATGATAAGGGTTTTGTAGAGTTTTTAAGCTTCTAATGTTTCAAAATTTAATACAATGCATTAGATCATAAGCATTTGTAACACATGACGTTAAGTGACACTGAAAGAAAAACTGTATTCGTGTCACATCCACAGGGTGCAGTTTAGCACTGTCTGTGGAGTCTGATAGTTTTGAGGTCTCCAGTGGGGTTGCAGATGGTGCTGTAAGTTGGAACAACCACTGAAGTCTTAAATTACCTTATTCCTCAGCCTTTGACTACAGGGTAGGATTTGAGCTTCTCTACCTCTGGTGTCCAGAATGGGAAAGAAGTGCATTTGGCTTGGTTAAGAGAGTCATGTGTGGATTATTTAAGCACAAGCATCCAAGGGCAAGGCACTTCTGCAGGAATTAGAGCCTGGTTGGGAATTCCGTGTTGATCTGAAGAACAGCCCAAGGCCATGCATTCCTCATTGGCCATTGACATCCAGGAAGAGTGACCATCTTTACTATTATAAACAGCAAATAAATAGATGAAAGTATGCAGCAAAGAGGGTATAACTTAAGATCTATGTTCTATTTTTAATGAGAGATAAAACTGAGGTTATTTTATTTTTTTCCATTTTTAATTTGGTGATGACTACATAGTAAACGATGCATGTACATAGGAAAGCAGAAAGGTTCAATATTCCATTTTGCTAAGTAAATACATCAAAATAGAAATGTGTCAAAAATTAATATCATTGGGCAAGTGTAAGTTAACAACTATTCAAAGAGAAATAGATTCCACTGTCTAATGATTTTCTACTTTCAAAAGGTTAGATGAAACAGCTCTTCTGAGCATGGCATGGGAATCACAATAGTTACACTGCTGACATAGGTTAATGGCACAATTATTAGGCAATAGTGCTTAGCAATTAGTGTGGAGCAGGAAGAGCCTAATCTGCCGATGGAGTCATAAAACAGCCCATGAAGGGATTTCTGAAGACATGACAGGGACTTTCAATAAAGTCCAGAAATTAAGTGCTCTTTTTCTTCTCCCAAAAAGTGAAGTTATTTTAAAACCTCTTTTAGTATTGTTTGTGCATAATTCCCTCCAGAGGAAGCTTGTTTGATGAGATCTTTTGCAACAGCAATAGTAAGTTGTGCGGGTTCCAGACATAGTCATTTCAAAGCCATCCAGGTTGTGCTTCCCTGAAGAAGTCTCAGCCCCTGAGCACTAATCTTTCGGGCCTCTGCTTCCAGGTAGCTGCTAGGGTGGCTGATTGAAGGTGGATTCTGGGCTGTTTTCTCTGGGAAAACACTCATCAGTGAACATGAATGCTCATTCAGGGGGTGACTGGGAATTGGGACTGCCTCAAGGGCAGTATCAGAGGTGTTCAGGCTGACCATGGGCCTCTTGACCCTCATCAGAGGGATCAGAAAGGGTCTAAACTTTCGGGTTAATTCCACACGGATTGGGTCCCTGGAAGATCATTCAAATCAGCAGCAATCCCCTAATCTTAGCGCACTTGTTACTGCCTCCAGCTAAAACCAATATCTAGTTGTCTATTCCAGGCAATGAACAAAGGTAAGACTACCTTACTTTGTTACATGTACTCATGTCTCAGATGCCCATCTGGACTCAAATTCTAGACTCTCAAGAGGACAAAAACAGTGCTTGGTGGGAGGGAGCAAAAACTATTTTTATGCCTAAACCACAGATATGCATACAGTACACAGTGAATATGTAGCATTGAATTTTCAAAAAGGAGGGAGATTTGTTTTTTAAAAATGTCTAAAAAGGCTCCTTAGAGATACAATAATGAAAAATATATATTGTACAGCGCTGGTCTAAGTAAAAGCTGTCAAGGAAGGGAAGCTTGCCTTCTCTTTCATATTTAAGAAAACCGATATCATTTTAGAAAATAAAATTTGGGGGAAAAAAGGAAAGGGAACACTCTTTAGCCCAGCACTCCAGAATTGCTTTCTCCTTCTACTTAATATGTGCACATAGTTTATGTGGTGATGATCACCAAATACACAGTCCACGTGCATTTTTACGTTCTGATCTGTTTGTGTATCTTCTATCACCTAGACATTTAAATGTTGCAACAGGGTCTTCCTAATTCCTGCAGAATAACCCTCCGTCTGGTCAAGAATCAACTCTCAGTTTTTGTTCTGAATCTACCTGAGATCAAGCAAGTAGAGCAACATACAGCACAGGAGGCTTTGGAAGACAGCATCATTCGCAAATACTTGTGTGTGTAGGTCCTTTGTGGAGGTAAACAGATATAAAGGGCTAAGCCCTTCTTGGATGGCATCTGGCTGCTGACTGTCACCAGACCCCCAAGGAGGGCATTAAAGAGCAAGGTCAGGCCTCATCTAGGACTTCTGTATTAGGAGGTGACAATGACGTAAAAGTTTCCTTTTCTTCTTTGGTCTAGCATGAAGGCTTTGTGCCTTCTCTGTTATAATTTCTTTTTGTTGAGACATGGTGTCACTCTGTCACCCAGGCTACAGGGCGGTGGCATGATCACAGCTCACTGCAGCCTCGACCTCCTGGGCTCAAGCGATCCTCCCACCTCAGCCTCCCCCTCAGCCTCCCCAGTAACTGGGACTGCAAGCATATGCCACCATACTGGCTAATTTTTTTTTTTTTTTTTTTTTGTAGAGAGAGGGTCTCTGTAAGTTGTAATGTCTCATTGCAGTAAATCCACACTAATTATGCTATGCATTTGTGGACTCTTTCATCCTTTCATTTTTAGCCAGTTTGAAAATGAGGCCCCAAGGGTATGAGACTATCCACAAAAGAGGAGAAAATATTAATCTTTCTGACTTTTCAAACGTTAACTTCTTTTTCTTATGAGGAAGATTTTTGGCTTTCAATTTTTGTTGATGTCCTCTTTTCTACATGAGGGCTGACGAGGTGTAATGGGAGTACTGAACAAGATTTTGCAAGTCTTGTCATATAAGTGTTGACATAATTTAATGAATTTATTAGATGGAACCAACTCCTGTCAGGAGGAACATCTAATTGGATAGCATTAAAATAGAACGGACACAAATCTGAATAATGAATGCTCTGTATTTTTTTAAGCAATAAGAGCCGCAAGACATTTCTACAGCACAGTTTTTGGTTTGGTTTCCCTTATACTTTCTAGTATTTTCAGAGATATTTAAGAGGCTATTGTCTGCTCCTAAAACATTTACCAGATGTATTAGTTTGTTCTCATGCTGCTAATAAAGACACAAGACTGGGTAATTTATTAAGGAAAGAGGTTTAATTGACTCACAGTTCAACAATGCTGGGGAGGCCTCAGGAAGCGTACAATCATGGTGAAAGGGGAAGCAAACATGTCCTTCTTCACATGGCAGCAGGAGAGAGAAGAATGAGAACTGAGCAACTGGGGAGGCCCCTTATAAAGCCATCAGATCATGAGAAATTACTATCACAATAATAACATGGGGGAAATGGCTGCCATGATTCAATTACATCCCACCAGCTCCCTCCCATGACATATGGAAACCACAATTCAAGATGAGATTTGGATGGGGACACAGCCAAATCATATCACCAAACATAATTTCCGTTTTGTCAATCTAATGGGACCAAATCTCATTCCTTCAACTTTATCTGGGGAGACCATATATTGAAAATTGGAACATAATTTTTAATACTTTAAATAAGTTGATCATAGAATTTCCTGTTTGAATTTGATTTCTAGTGTCAATTTCTTTTCAAAGCTGGATTTGCCTATTTTATCCAAATTGTGGGATATGGAGGAAAGGAAGTTAGTTATATCCAAGTCAATGGGGAATAGCTAAAGGAGGGAAAGAAGAAACCAGCATAAATAAAATTATCTCTCCGTGAATCCTGGCCAGGGTTATCTATGCAATTCCCTCTGTAATGGAGAGTGGGTCTCTTTTTTTTTTTTTCTTTCTTTTTGATGATGGAGTGGGGTTCTCAAACATAGGCTATAACAACTTCCATGTACGTAATTCATAGCACAGCTCTGGATATTTCTGTCCACCCTAGAGGGGAGAGACTATATTAATTAAATCCATGCGTGGACAAAGGCAGCATTTCAGCCAGGTATTACATTATTACTACTTACATCAGAGTTTGTGTCTGTAATCTGTTTTAAAAAATTACTTTTTTGTTTTGTATTTTCATGAATCAAGGTGACAATTCAGTACAATTAATGGTGGCCTAGAGGTATATGGACTGGGGTGTGTATAAGTTGGTAGCTGGCACCAATTTTGGAGAAATCTACTAAGAGATAACTAGATAGGATCTTGGTGACTGCCAGGCGTGAGGACCAGCCAGGTTATGCCCTAGGTTACTGTAGGTAAGAACCCCTGAGACTTCCAGGTGTAGTTGCAGGGAGAAGTGCACTCAGAATGATAGCTGTGTCATAGACGTTTTAAATGTATGTACGTGATATTTTTGATGAAGTCATATTTGACTGAGAAAAATGTCCAGATACTCTTCTGGTGAGATTAAAAAATTTCACCAAATCACATTTAAAAGTTTTTGAAAACCTCATAGCAGTTGAAAAATTATTTCTTCAATAGCAAGAATGAAGCTGAACTCATCATATGCTGTCTTACGTCTGGTAGTTCCATATAATCGGGCCTAACCCTGGGGAAAAAGTGCTAATTTAGAGACCTTATAATTTCACACCAGATGGAAGCATGTGAAGTGTTGTTGTAAGGTCATGCTCACATTTTATATTTCCATCAGATATGAGCTTGTTCAATTCAGGAACCATGCTTATTCACCTCTGGAACTTCAAAAATGGACATGCTATTTTGTCCTGTGCATGCTGTAAGATTGCTCAAATTTACTTTGTCATTCTAAACTTTTACAATCTTGATTCTTCTACCCAGTTGTCCCTTCCAACTTTTTGTTACCTGAAAATGTGATTAGCCTATCTTCCATTTCTTCATCTAAATTGATAGTTATTGATATTTAAGTAAATAGTGGTAAATTTGTAAAATTCTGATAAACGTATCAGACTTGTTTTTGATGGTCTACAAATACAAATGATGAAACAGAAAGTACTAGAAAACAATCATTCAGATATTAGTTCACCAAACAGATATTTGTTGAGGATCAGGTATCATGAGCAAAAACAGATGTGACCCTACCTTCATGGAGTCTAAGAAGGGAGACCAACACAAATTGAAGGACAGACCAGATAAGTAAATGTAGTATTACAGCTACAACGGATGCAGCCAAGAGTAGGTGCCTGGTGTAATAGGGACATGGACCAAGTCAGGAACTTAGGGAAGATTCCCAAGGAAGTGATAATTAAACCAGCTTCTAAGGGAAAGAAGGCTTCATGGGGCAGGGTTTGTTGGAGGTGTAGTCAAAGGAGGCATAGCACAGGAGGAGAGCATTCCAGCATTCCAGCATTCCAAAGGAGGAGAGAAATGGAAAGAATGAGACTCTCCGGGTCCTTTTAGGGCACCCTGAAGATTTGGACCTTTATCCTAAGAACAATACAAGTGTTAGAAGGGCATAAAGGGATCAGATTTACATATGCAAAGGCCATGCTGTCCACTTGGAGAACAAATTGGAGGAGGCCATGGTGGATTTTGGATTTTGGGTATCACTGGGAAGCAGCTTGAGTGAGGACAGAGGAAATCAAGAGACAGAGAGTTGTGTTTATGAATTCTTTTTGGGGTAGAAATTCAGTTTAAGGTGTTTGAAACAAGTTCTCCTCTTTCACATTTTGACTTACACTGGCACGTTCTAAAATTCATCAGTCTAGCTCTAAAAGTGTAGACAGTTTAATTTTATAGAAGTAGCCAACTAGGAGTTGAAAAGATCCCTGGCACAGTTCAGCTGCTTTCTACCTATGTGATCTTGAATGAGTTATTTCATCTCCCTGGGCCTCAGTTTCCTCACCCAGTAAAAAAGAGAACCATTCCTCTCTAAGGCTCCTTTCAAACATAATACCCTCTTGTATTAGTTTGTTCTCATACTGCTATGAAGAAATACCCAAAACTGGGTAATTTATAAAGGAAAGGGGTTTAATTGACTCACAGTTCCACATGGCTGGGGAGTCCTTAGGAAACTTACAATCATGGTGGAAGAGAAAGCAAACATGTCCTTCTTCACATGGTGGCAAGACAGAGTAGTGCCGAGCAAAGGGGGAAAAGTCCCTTATAAAGCCATCAGATCTCATGAGAACTCACTATCATAAGAACGGCAAGAGGGTAACCACCCCCAGGATTCAATTACATCCCTCCAGGTCTCTCCCATGACACGTGGGGATTATGGGAACTACAATTCAAGATGAGGTTTGGGTGGAGGCACAGCCAAACCATATCACCTTGGATGGATTACATGGTCTCTTTTTGCACTTTTTCAAATTACTCAGACTTTCTGACTTCCTTTCAGATGTTCTTTATCCCATGCTAGGGGCTAAGTATTCAGGCAGTTTTTCACGTTTTCACCTTTTGGCTTTGAAAATATAACAACCTTGCCTGTAAGACCATTAAAAACAGGTCATCAGTGGCAATTTGGTCATAACCTGAAGTGCTATGTGAACTTCAGCTTCACCAGACACTGGACAGAGTTTTATTGGACAGAAATTTAAAACAAAGACACATTATAAACTCATATGCACCAAAGGACATGTACAAGAATGTTCATAGGAGAAGTATTTGTAAGTGTCAAAACTTAGATCAATAGCAGAATGTATAAATGAATTGGGGCATAATCCATGCAATGGAATACTATCCAAAAATGAGAATGAATGAATTACTGCTACAAGTCACATCATTGACAAAGCTCACAAATAATGTTGAGTAAAAGAAGCCCAATACAAAAGGGTACATTCTGGATGATTCTATTTCTATGAAGTTCAAAGACCAGGGGAGCTGATGTGTGGTCACCCATCAGGATAGTGGTTACATGAAGGAGAGAAGACCAGTGCCAGGTGGGGCCAAGTGAAGGTCCTGGTGTACTGGGATGTCCATCTTCTGATCTGGCATGGGGGTTACATAGATATATTCACTTTGAGAAAATTTGCTGAGATATAAACTTATGATTTTTGCACTGTTCTATGTGTGCATGTACTTCAACAAAAACATTTTCTTTTCTTTCTTCTCTTCTCTTTTCTTTCCTCTTCTTTTGTTTCCTTTTCTTTTGGAGACCAGGTCTCATTCTGTCACCCAGGCTAAAGCAGTGATACAATCACAGCTCACTGTAGCTTCAAATTCCTGGGCACAAGCGATCCCCCTGCCTCAGCCTCTACAGTAGCTGGGACTACAGGCATGTGCCAGCATGCCCGGCTAAATTTTTGTAGAGACAATGTCTTGCTATGTTACTCAGGCTGATCTTGAACTCCTGGACTCAAGAGATCTGCCCACTTTGGACTCCCGAAGTGTTAGGATTAGGACATTTTCTTAAAAACGCAGAAGTGGTAGATTCATTTCTCCCCAGTGCCTAACCAAAACAAGAGTTCTCTCAATCTTGATAGGGTTCTCTCCATACTTAACATACAGCATACACAGTTATTAAACACACCATAGACACGTGTCAGAAACTTCATTAAGAGTTATATCATGACATTTCTCTAGTTTTTGTGCTATTTCTAGCATTTTTCACCTTTTCTACATTCATAATATATACCAATATCTTTACTTGCTTCAGGTAAATAGTCACTCATATCAATGTCTTAGCCTAAATGAAAAGGAAAACAGAATATATTGCATATAACTGGATATCTAATTACCCAAATCACCACACCTACAGATTGTATTGCAATCAAAGCAGGCTGAAAAGTACAGCCATCTCTTAGCTGAGAGGCCTCAGAGCACTTTGTGCATGTTGGGGTTATCACGTTCTTTCAACTGGGTCCTCATTTCATCCCCCATGGTTGTATGACCATGGCAAGCATAGCCCTGCCAAAAGGTGTCACTCAAGAATGATTGCCATCCTACTCACGGTTTTGCAGTTTCTAAACTGCGAATCCCTGACAAGCTATTGTAAAGAGGTATACAATGTCTCAGAAGTATTTGAGGCATTTCTGCAAAAGGGAATACTACTCAAGCTCCGTGAAAGAGCAGTGGTTCTCAGTCTCAGCTGCACATTAGAATTGCCTCAGGAGTTTCAATCACAGGAATCCCTGGGTCCTACCCATAGAAAGTCCAACTTCGTTGGTTGGAGTGTGGCCTGGGCACTTTTTTTAAGCCCAGCAGTTGATGCTGATATGCAGCCAGGGTTGAGAACCACTGTTCTAGCCAGTTTTCCTTCTGTTTCTCCTCTTGTGCTGAAGACACCTGCCTACCCTTCACTTACCCAGCCCTAGAGAACGTTTTCCCAACTCTGGTTCAGTGACATCACCTTGGTAACTTGAACTCAGCATGGTGGGAGTACTTACATCATGGGAATCCACGGACCCTACAAACCAGAGCTTCCCCTCTGCCCTTCCCACCGAGAACTGGTTGTTAAACATTTACATTGACTGCTCCTTATTTTAACCTGATGGATGTTTTAAGGGGTGTAGAGATGAAATTCACTTCTTGTTTCCAAATGTGAGGATGTCCACATAAAGCTGCCAAGTGAAACTGAGGTTGCGTCTCGGAGTTCCTCATTACTGACCTTTGTAAATCATTTAGCAAGCAAGGGTGATTCGTAAGTTGGTTTTTCAATATACAATAGAAACAGGAAACGGTTTCCTCAGTTATACAGGTATTGATAAACTTTCTTTTTCCTCTTCTTTCTTTCCCTTTAGTTTTTCAACTTTTTTTCTAAAAAGGTGAAAGAGAAACTATTTATAGAACATATTTTCTGTTTTCCTTATGTAGGGGACAAAGGAATCATGATCCAGGAGGTCAAAGGGCATTCAGACGCTGTGTTTTTCCAGGAGGTTGTACTGTATGTGTAATTTACATTCTACAAAGTTCAACTATCCTGCTCTTCAAAGGGGGACCCCAGGGGCCAGCATTGTACTAAATTCAGGAGGCTTTGTGGACCTAAGAGGCAAAGAGATGGTCCCAGGGCTGCTCCAGGGCCACAAGATAGGGAACCTTTCCTTCCCCAGTCATCATTAGCTTTAGCCAAAGCAGGACAGGTGGCGGTGGTGACAGAACAGAGTTGTCCTCTTCTCTGTGGAGTTTGCAGCTATACCTAAGGGCAGCCTTGCTCTTTTCATCTTGCTAGTCCTTTAAAGGGAAGACCCTGTGTTTGAAAAAGCCTATGAATGCTACCAGGGGAGGAAAAAGCCCTGAAGAAGACACCCGTGGCCCAGAGATTCCTGTAGCTTCAGAAGTACCTGCAGAGACCACTTCCAACTACTCAAAATCTAGAGGTGGTGGTGACAGGCAGGAGAAGTCAACTAGCAAGAGTTTGCCCTTTGTACAGACTGTCCTGTGTTCCACCAGTGGGGAGCTTCTCCATCTAGTTCACACCATAGATTGATGGTTGCCTTCTTGTGTCTTAACACATGAAGTTTTAACAGTATGTACTTATGCCGAAGACTGAATTTATCATAGTTAGGTGACTAGCCAGGCTGGCTTGCCTGGGACTCGGAGTTCTCAGGACATGCAAATTTCAGTGCTCAAACCAGGAAAGTTCAACATACACCCCGATAGGTTGGTCACCCCATAGTCAAATTTGAAGTTAGAGAGTTATTTAGAATGGGAATTGCAATCCTTTGATTACATCACTTAATCACCACCACTCTATCTTGGCTATTGCTAAATTCTTTATCTGAGTTGTCTTGTAGCAAAGACCTTTTTGAAAGCTGAAAATTCCACATTGTGCTGTTTTCTTAACCAGTGGGGCATTTGAACTCAAAATGACATCAATGTGCTAGAATGCATACATCATGGCTTTGAAAAAAATAGGTCTGAGAACGAGGCAAAGTAAAACTAAGCAAACAGATAAGAATAGCAACCAAACCTGATCTTAGTCCAAAGGCCTAGAAGGGATGACAACAATTCTAAGTTTTTACATTGCCTACCTTGAAACCTATGATTGATAGTAATGGATTAGCGTGATGTATACTGTGTTCATTAAAGTGAAGGAGACCGGATAACTCACACAAGATAAATACTTTATTTATGAATGATTAAAATATTTTACAGCCATCTATCATCGTGAGCTCGAATGTAGTTAAAAATCAATTCGAAGTGAAAGTGAAAGGAGAGAGGCAGGAGAGGAAGACGTCTCCTCTCCCTGCTTCTGCCTTTGGCCTCAGGGTTATAATGGTCCTGCCTGAATGCTTGCATTGCTTGGTTCTTTGCTCAAGCAGCCTGGTTTAGTTGGGGTTCAAGGCCAAGCTGTGCAATAACAAACCCTGACAGGCTTTAATAAAGAGATATACAGCGTCTCGGATGTATTTGAGGGAACGCTGATGCTTGTGGTTTTGTATATGGTTATGGTAAATAACTAGCCCGCTAATTCTTGTGGTCGGCCTTTGCTGGGAGCGCTGGACCACTGGAGACCCATTTAACCCGAATCCCCCGCACCTACAGAGAGCCTTGCATTGCAGTCACAACAAGCAGGGCAGAGGCAGGGGCTGCCGGCCTGCGGCTCATCTCCGGGCTGAGTTCTGCTCACTTTTCCTCCCGCAGGAGCAGGATGGGCTGTGAGGCTGACAAGCCTGACCAAGGCGGCAGAGAACTTTCTACGTGTTGTGTTGTCACTCCGCGTTTCCCCTTTCCCCATGACTGATTCCTGGAGATGCTCTCTGTAAATGAGCCCAAGTGGGAGGAGAGGCTGACTGCTGAGTCCTCAGCAGTGCTGGAGGCCCCCGGGGGGGACAGCAGCTTCACATCCTGACAGGAGGCACTCAACCCGAACCGGAGCTGCAGGCGCCTAGGGTCCCTGACTCAAATTAGGGCGGGTGCGCCAGGCTCCGGACCTAAACCTACATCTTTCTTTTTCAACCCTTTTCAACTGCTTAGCATTTTATCTTTCTAACTGTGCATAGAAGAACTTAAGAGGGAAGTGGCATTTTGGACAGCAGCAGCCACAGAAAGGAAAGTTGCAAAACTGCAATATATCATTTTGGAGCAAATGCCTACCTACAGCTCATGGTCTTGGCTCATTTTTAGGAGAATGAAAGGGTTTGATACTGTTTGACTTCATCTCACCCAGCAACTTGAGACTAGGGTTCATCTAATGCCACCCCCACCCCATGCATATTTAAAGGTCTATGACTCAAAACCGTCTATCCTTTATCAAATGAAATGTGGAGATGATGACATGACTGTACTCCCACTCCCCTCTGAATGTGCAATTCTTAGATTTAAAAAGGCAAGAGAGGCATTGTTTCCCAGACCCTCCTTCCCTCCCCACAGTGTCCACTGAGAGAGATTCCTTTCCCAACATCACAGGAGACTCATGGCATCTTCTGTGCTGACCTCATGAGCTTCTCAGGGCATTTTGTTGCCCATTCTCCTGCCATTGGATCCTGAATTGGAGACGGGAGTACAAGGAAGGTTCTATAGAATCACCAGGCTTTCCTTTCCCCTGGTGTGTCTAACTTTTGACAGATACCCATTCTTCCACACATCCACAGGGAACTACGAGAGAAGTTGTGAGTTACTGATGTGCACTGAGTGTTTGTGGTCCCCTCCCTGAATTTCTCTGTTGAAGTCCTAATCCCTAAAGTGATGGTATTTGGAGATGGGGTTTTGGGGGTGATAGGTCATGCGGGTGGAGCCCTCATGAATGGGATTAGCACTCTTAGGAGAAGACACAGGAGAGAGATGATTGCTCTCTTCCTTATGTAAGGATTCAGAGAGTAGCCAGTCATCTGCAAACCAGCAAGAGGACTCTCACCAGGAACAGAATTGGCTGCCACCTTGATTTTTGACTTACAGCCTCCAAAACTGAGAAAGTCATGCCTGGTGTGTAAGCTGCCCCATCTTTGGTATCCTGAATGGCAGCCTGATGTGACTGCAATAGTGATGAGCTCACCATGCACCTGCTGCTGGAAGTTCTTGTTAGTTTCCTGCTGCTTCTGCCCAAGGATAAGAAAGAAGATGATGTCTCTAAAGACCAGGGCCCCTCCACCCTGTATATTTTACCATTATTGTTTCCCCTGTTCCAGCAATACTACTTCTCTCAGTCCTGTTTGGGTTGCTCTAATGAAAATACCATAGACTGGGCGGCTTTCACACAAAAGAAATTTATTTCTCTCAGTTTTGGAGGATGGGAAGTCCAAGATCAAGGCACTGGCAGATTTAGTGTCTGCTGAGGGCCCAGTCCTAAGAGATGGCTGTTTTCTCCCTGTGCCCCCACAGGGTAGAAGGGGCAAACAATCTCTCTGGGATCCCTTTTATAAAAGCAGCAATACCATTCTTGAAGTCTCCTCCCTCATGACCTAATCACCTCCCAGAGGTCCCACCTCCTAATACTATTACCTTAGGGTTTAGTAGGACTGGTTTCCCAGAAGCCCCTCTCCGTGGCAATGTATGAATTTTGGGAAGACATAAACATATAGTCCATTGCACCACTTTATATACATAATATATATATATGTTATATGTATGTGTATAGATATATGTTTTGTGTGTGTGTGTGTGTGTGTGTGTATATATATATCTATATCTATATATCTCCCCTCTGGACTGTAGTCCAGTTGTAGCAAAACTTTAAAACATATACACACACATACACACACACACCCCCAGTGTGTGTGTGTGTGTGTGTGTGTGTATATAATATATCTTCTATATATCATCTGTCCTGTATATAGTGTGATATATATAATATATTATATATTATATATATATATCTCCCCTCTGGACTGTAGTCCAGTTGTAGCAAAACTTTAAAACACACACACACACACACACACACACACACACACATATATAACTTTCTAACTTTCCCTTGGTCAACAAGCCTCAGAGGAATAACATAGACTCAACTCAGAGAATCTTGTCTCTACCCTGACTCACATTTAAGGCACTAAAATATCATCGTACCTCCCAGCTTCCCAAGCACAGCCTTTTCTAATTTGTTTTCAAGGCTGATCACTATGATTGGTCATTTTGGTCTTCAGAGAGGAAAAGCCTTTTGCTTGATGTTTGGTGATATCCATACAAATCTGCAGCTTTCTGGCTCAGCTACTCATTGGGTGTTCCCGGGCATTACTCTCAAAAGTCTAATTTTCTCCCTAATGTCTCCCACACCCTGAGTCCCAGTTTTGGATTCAAAACCGATGTCCTGGGATATAAGCTCATTGGGAAACTGTGTCCTTAGATCTAGACACTTGTCCTTTACCTGGGCACTCTTGACGTGCTTCCTGCCCATGCTCAGCTATTTAGAATGTGACACCTCCCCTGAACAGAGGCACCAGAGCAATTGCCCCAAAGGAAGGTCCTGTCCTCTGCCTTCACCCATGTTGGTAGGTGGTTCTTCCAAGATCGAGGTGTCAGCAGAGCTGGAGGGGACTATAGGTGGAATAAGGTCATTGTATGTCTGTAGGTTGTCTGTGATTGGCTGGCTCTCAGAACAATGGCTTATTGTTCTTCCCCACCTGGGGCTCTCTCCCAAATGAGATTCATCTTATCTTAATCTTAATCTTAATCTTACTCTTATCAGGACCCCACAGGTTTATTGGAAATCAAGTGTGAGGATGGACCAGGGAAGACACACTGACAAAGTCCAGCATGTTCTAGGGTCTGTTACAGGTAGGAAGGCTTTTAGAGGAATGTTGAGAAGGAAGGGAGCCACTCCTTCTATAGAGTTATCCTTTTGGTTAAGGTGCAATACAGAGGTTTTAATCATTGCTTCAGCTTGCAACATACAGGCTAAAATGTGGACATGTAAGACAATCAATAAAACTTTATGATTCAGAGACAAATCAGCAAAACTTCATGATTCAGAAACAAATCAGTGTCCTTTTCAATGTCAGTAGGTCGTGCATTAATCAGTACATCAACAATTTGAGGAACTCACAGTAAGGTTCTTTACTTGGGGACAGGATGTGGCCATGAATCACAAGACCTCCCTGATGGAAGCCTGTCAAATGTGACCTGTAGGTTATCAACGATGAGAACTGTGTCTTACAGATCTTTGAGTCTCCAACACTGGTCACAGACTCAGGTACCCAGGGAGGTTCAAAATGTTTAGCTGGATGCTCAATAGATCTACAGGTGACAGACAATCCAGGTGCCAAAGCTAAGCCAGAATCCCCATTATTTTCATTTCCTTCTGTATTCATCAGCTTGGGCTGCGACAACATAATACCATAGACTGGCTCACTTAAATGACTGAAACTTATTTTCTCCCAGGTCTGAAGGCTGGAAGTCCAAGATCAAGGTGCTAGCCAATTTGGTTCCTGGTCAGGGCTCTCTTCCTGGCTTGTGGACTGCTGCCTTCCTGCTATGTCCTCACATGGTGAAGAGAGTGCTTGAGCACTCTCCTGTCTCTTCTTATAAGGACACTGATCCTATTGGATCAAGCCCTGCCCTTATGAGTCCACTTAACCTTAATTACCTCTGTAAGGGCCCTTTCTCCTAGTACAGTCACTTTGAGGGTTAGTGCTTCAACATGTGAATTTTGGGGGGACACAAACATTTGGTACATAACCGCTTCTTCAACAAAGATATTTTTTATAGATTAAGAAAGAAAATCACAGAGATGAACACGAAGATCAAAATTGACTACTCTTATGGGCTCTTACCTGTCTAAGGGCCTCCTTACCAGGAAGATGGCATGAAGGATAATAATCAGGATACAATAATCAATAACAATAATATCCTCTGCCTCACCTGCCAAACACCAGCTGCTTCTCAACTTTTGTGGTACTTCCAGTATCTCTGGGTGAGGGGCTGGGAGCCTTCGGTGGCTGCCCCATGCTGAGTACAGAGCAGGGGGATGCAGACACTGCAAAGGTTTCCACCATTTCTGAAGTCAATGAACAAGCTCATTCAAAAAGTATTTTCCTTTCCATTTGCCTCATACACAGGAAAACAAACAGGTATTAAAAAGTAGTCATTTATCAGAGGATAGTATTTCAAACACATGATAGACTATGATATTTTTATGATATTTACCATAGCCTCAAACACTCTCTCGACCACATGAGGACACTTATTTGACTGCTACTGCCATAATTACTGGTAATATCCAGGCAGATTTGAATTTGCAGATGAATATGTTTAACTTTGGCACATAATTAACACAATGACAGCAAAACAATTTAATCACATCATATGTGACCATTACCTAAAGTGTCTGTCTTTATATAATCAGTAGAAAAATTGCAGCCATCTATTTTTAATATTGCTAATATCGACATTTGAATGGAATTCAATGAATATCTAGAAATAAAATGGATACTGAGCAATAATTAAGCACTTGTATGTTTGCAATTGTAAGCTTCGATACTATTTTCAAAACAAATGGGGCCGGGGTATAATGTTCTGGGAGTTTCTGTTGGACTTGACTTTTCCTGGGTCAAATCTCAAGAGCTGTTTACTTGAGGAGGGGGTGGCGGGGCATGGAGCTGAGAATGTGAAGGAAGGGGCAGCCCCCCAGGGAGAATTCCAATCAGTGATCCAGTCATAGGTTTGGAGGGGATACTGCACCTGGCCATGTGCCAACAACATGGAAACTGGGGCATCTTAGGGGAAAGAAGACTCCAAGAAGTCCTGATAGTAATTCACTGAACTTGAGCACACCAGGTACAATGTTTTATGTGGTCCCTTGGGAAATTAAAACAGGCCTACTCTATGGGACTTCTGATATACCTAGAACAGCAGGGTTAAATTAATATAAGACAATAGAGATCTCATTGGAGGGCAAGGGTCCTCTGGAAGGTGTCTGTGTTTGGTGGAAGGGGTGGTAAGTACAAGTTCTTAGAGTAGCATTTAGGAACACATTGCCTTAAGCTAAATAACAAATTAAAGTCTAAGTTGCACACAGACAGACATAGACATGCAAAGATCTGTTACTATTTTGCTTTATTTAATCTATTGGGAGATTTTTTACTTATAATGGATCATTTAAGTGCTGGTACATTTTAATTAAAAGGCAAAAGAATTCCTAGCATCTTACAATATGAATGCATCCAAAAAATCATGAAGATGAGCTGCATCTGTTCTCTGCAGCATTTTCTAATAGAGACACATCAGAATTAGCCTAAATAGCCAACAAAACTAGTTCTTTAAATCTGATAACCTACATACTTAGCATGGCATATTACACATCTATAAAAAGGATGTCCAAAATTTATGTAATTACATGAAAAATTGTTCCAAGCATACATAAAAAGTAAGCTTAAACAATGGATGTTGTATAAATCAGTTTCATAAATAAGTCCATTCATAGAAAAGGCTACAAATGTCTGCAGACATTAATTGATTATCTAGCAGATAATTTTAATCTTCTTGCCATTGTTCCTACAAAGAGCCATTAAAAATAGACTTAAAAATCACTGAAAAAAAAATTTCAGGCTCTTGAATGCTTCTTTGTTTTTTTGTTTGTTTTTGAAACTGAGTTTCGCTCTCATCGCCCAGGCTGGAGTGCAATGGTGCGATCTTGGCTCACTGCAACCTCCACCTCCCGGGTTCAAGCAATTCTCCTGCCTCAGCCTCCTGAGTAGCTGGGATTACAGGCATGTGCCACGACACCCTGCTAATTTTGTATTTTTAGTAGGGATGGGGTTTTACCATGTTGGCCAGGCTGGTCACGAACTCTTGACCTCAGGGGATCCACCCCACCTTGGCTTCCCAAAGTGTTGGGATTACAGGCATGAGCCACCGTGCCTGGTTTCTTGAATACTTTTTGATAGTGGCTACTGTCAATGTCAAATCAAATGGGCAGATGCAGTGTAGCACAGCCATGCTCAAAGAGACTGGTATGGCCCCCAAGGTGAGATCCTAGCTACTGTGAAGGTGTGTGGCCTTCCTAAGGACCATTATACATAACCAGATACACAGTGTAACATATCAAAATTTCAAGGAGGTGGAGAAGCAATCAGAAAAATGCCCAAAAGGTGTTTTTTTTTTTTTTATGGGAGTGATCATGGAAAAAAGGACAAAAATGTTTGCTTGTATGGCCTAACATTTTTAGGAATATGGTTGCTAAATTGAAGTACAGCTATGCTTTTAAAAAAATGAATTAAAGTAATTAGAAGACCAAGTCTTTTTATAGACTCCCTCGTACCAGTCATCCCAAGTTGAGCAAGTGGTGGCATGTCATCCCCTGGTTCCCGGAGCACACAGGTGTGAACAGTCTGTTGTCTTCCCTGCAGCTGACAGAGGCAGTACCAGGGCTGCAAGCCCCTGACAATCTCCTTTTCAAAAAGGCTCTTATAAATTTGAAGCAGACAGTTCAGATGGCTCCTCATCCACCCTCCCAGGACACACAGACGTGCGTTACAAAGAATGTCCTGTGCTCTCTTGGAAACATGGAGTGGAAGCATCTCCCTGACCTGTATCTCCAAGCAGTGTGCCGTCCTGGGCCGTGCCCACGGCGCCTGCCTGTCTCAGTTCCAAGGCAGCAATTGAGTGATAATTGCAGGATCTTATTTTGAACAACACTACAGCAAAGCCTGATAAAGTTTGTAACTATTTAGATCGAAATCTGAGAACTCTAAACAGTTTATTTACAAAGAAAGACATAGATAGGTTTTAATGTGTCTCATAAATCCTCTCTCCTTGACCGCAAAGAGAGCAGATACACAGTTCTTGGGGGAATCAATTAGCCCTGGACAGGGATTCCTCTCTCCAATCGCTTCCCCGGGTATAAGGCTTTCATAGGCCGAGAGGTTCCAGGCACTAAGGCTGAACAAGGCAAACCCTGGGGCTTCACTTTAAGAGTTGGGTTGAGGTTCCTTGGGAATAGTCAAGATGGGCCGGGAAACATCCTGAGCAGATAGACTGAATAAATACCAGAATAGGTCCTTAGACCAGGGTTTCTCCGTAGACCACAGCTTCTCAACCTTTCTCAGTCTCTCCATCTCAATGTCTGCCAACTGGGGCTGGCTCATTCTTTGCTGCGGGAGGCTGCCTTATGCATTAACATCCCCTCTACCTTGTACCCACTAGAGGCCAGTAGCACCCCTACCTCCCACCCCCAGTTGTACTGTTGCCAGGTGTCCTCTGGGAAGGCGTAAGAATCATCACTCTCCCCCCACCCCCATTTAGAGAACCACCTTAGACAATGACATTTCTCCCTTTTCAGAGGTTAATTTTTTTTCTAAGCACAGATTGCTATTTGGATATCATTGCCTTCTCTCCTCTCAGCCCTTTCTGAGTGCCCCGCTATACAATTACATATTGGCTAATTCTTCCATCTTTAACCTGAAGCTTTGAAAGGAAACAGCTTTTATCTTCTCTGTTACATTGAGGGTGGGGGGCGGGTAGGAAGGGTTTGAATATCTATTGCTTTGCATGCAAATTTTAATCCTTTAATCACCTCCCCACAGTTTCAGGGGGAGCTTGCCTGAGAATCCACCAGCCCACCCTGGTCTTTACCATAGGCCTGCAAACAGACTGGAGGAAACCTGAAAAGGTCATTTCCTTCCCTTAGCCATAATACCCAGGTTTTGGATGCAGATAACTTCAGGCCTTTTAGCTCAGAGAAAAGGGAGACTGCTCCCATCTGTACCTCTGTCTGTCCTGCTGGGCCCAGGGTATGAATGATCTTTTTCACTTATTAAGAATTTGCATATTGTTCTCCATCTGATTGAATTACTTCTTTGTCCTGAAAAAGATAAGTTTGTGAGAAACTTCCTTTGGTGCCAATTTTCCTTATTTTTTAGGCTTGGTGAAATAAAAAGTATTCTAGCAAATTCAACAGAATTTGCAGTATTCTAGCAAATTCAACAATAGAACAAAACAAAAGTATTCTTTTATTTTGAGTAGCAGTCATTAAAAAGAACTGGGATATTTGCTTTTCCTCTGCGAGCTCTTTATTAGTTAATGACACAAGAGAATGTGGTCCCCATCCATGTGCCACTGCTACGTCTGTGATTTGCGCAGGGCCAGTTTCCAAAGCAACTCCTTATCTGGCGGAGTCGGCTTTGCGTGTTGACTATGCTCGCTGTTAACATGGTGCCATAAATTATATGGCTCTGGTTTTTTCTTGTAGTCTAATCATTTCTCTGGGAAAACAGTGTCCCACTGGGTCTTGCCCTTCACAGGATGTGTGAAAACACAACTCCAGCAAGATAGGAGGACAGGAAGCTTTTTCATTCATCACAGATGAAACACGCTCCATCACTCCAAAGATGCCTTCCAATGTTAAATCTCTAAACAAAAGATTTCTACACACGTTAGAATGTGAACTCAAAATAGGCAGATATAGGAAATGCAAAACTGCAGTCACTGAAAATAACACTCTGCTGGAAAGAAAATGACGACAACACTTCTCTGCCTTTAAATGTGAAGGATAACCAGGACCATAAGGAATTACTTATCCACCTGATTTGCTTCTCCGATCAAGAAGCTGACACTGAAAGAAGAGAAGGAAATTGTTCCACGTGAAGCAGCTGGTGAATGGCAGGGTTGGGACAAGAACGTACCCAACTCTGACTCCCAAGTTCTCTGATAGCAGTTTGCTGCCTGTGCCCAGTGGGGAGACCAACCACTGCGTGTTCCCACCCAGGGCCTCTGCACGGGCTGTTTCCTATGTCTGCAATGATCTCCCCCCAGATACTGGCTTCACTCTTCCCCCGACTTTATTCAGGTCTCTGCTCTGATGTCCTCTCCTCACTGACCACCGTGTTGACAACAGCAGCTCCAGCTTCTCCCTTTTCTGCTATTTTGCCTTTTATCACAGCACTTACCACCACCTGGAATTATATTTATTTGCCACGTGGGCCACCAAAAGCATCCGCCAAAAGTAAATCGCTGATATTCATGTCAGAAAAGAAAGGCCCTACTCCATGCTTCAAGGCTGTAGTTATAAAGAACTTAGAAATGGGTAATCATTAAGAAAAAGTAGGGAATCCCACACCTGATTAAATAAATATAAATAAAATGATAAGATGCCACAAGTTAGGTTAAGCTCACCAGTGGACTATATTTGCCAAGTCAGTTCTCCCTTGCCCCAAAGCTCTTTGACTTCTGCCTTCCTGGGACACCTCACACTCCTGGTGTATTTGTCAGTGTTCTCCAGAGAAGCAGAATCAACAGGATGTGTGTGTGTGTGTGTGTGTGTGTGTGTGTGTGGTAGAGAGAGAGAGAAACAGAGAGAAAGAGAGGGAGATTTTTAATGAATTGCCTCATGTGATTGTAGAGGCTGGTAAGTCCAAGATCTTCAGGGTGGGCTGGCAGGCTGGAGACCCAGAGAAGAGCTGATGCTACAGTTCAAAGTCCAGAGGTCTCAGCTGCAGAATTCCTTCCTGCCCAGGGGAGATCAGTCTTTGTTCTATTCAGACTTTCAACTGATTAAATGAGGCCCACCCACCTTAGGGAAAGCAATTAGTTTTATTCGAAGTCTATTGATTCAAATGTTAATTTTCATCCGAAAACACCCTCACAGAAACATCCAGAATAATGTTTGACCAAATATCTGGACACTGTGGCCCAGCCAAGTTGACAAATAAAACTAACCATTCATTGCACCTGTTTTTCTTCCAGTTATACAAATGCTCCATTTGATTCTTCTTAACCAAATCCTCCTCCACCAGGATTATTGGAATGTCCCACGCAGGGATTCCAGATACAGCAAATAAAAACACAGGGCCTCCGGTCAAATTTTAATTTCAGATAAACAATAATTTTTTAACATAAGTATGTTCCAAATATTGCACGAGAAATACTTATTCTAAGAAATTATACCTGGTTGATTCATTCAAATTTAATGGATTTTTCTGTATTTTATCTGCCCATGCTGTGTGAGGGGCTCTGGGCAAAGCCATTTTCTCTGCCCTCCTTGAGATTCTGCTTCCTCTGCTAAGATTCCAGATTATAGAGATGACTCTTACATCTACATTTTCAGCATGGGTCCCCATTTATTCCATTGCTGCAATAGAAATATTAATGTTCCTGGCCCCATTCAGTCTTTCCCATCAGTGGCGGAGGTCAGTAACCTCAGCCTCTGTTTCCTATAAGCCAGTTTCCATCAATTACTTCCAAAATGTATCCTGCATCTGACAACTTCTCCGCATCTTAATGAGTCAATCCTACACCTTCATCACTTTTCTGGACTGTGTTGCAACCTCCCAGCAGGCTCCCGGGCTCCATTCGTGCCCTGACTGTCTATTTTCTCCTTCATAAGTAGGCTTATTTTTATAAATGGAATCTCCTTTAGTCCTCACTGTCTATTTTCTCCTTCATAAGTAGGCTTATTTTTATAAATGGAATCTCCTTTAGTCCTCGCCTTATCCCTCTGTTAAACAAAATTCTCCCAACGTGGCTCCTTGTAATTAAAATCTAAGCTCTCCACAAGTCCCTGTGCGTCTGCTCCCTGCACTGGGGCCTCACAGGCATTCTTTATCTCAGGCTCACCAACTCGTACTGGCCTTAGGCTTTGGCATTGGTGCTTCCCCTGCTGAAGAAGTTCTTCCCTGAGATAAGGCTCCCCACTCCGGCCTGGGCTCAGATGTTATATTCCCAGAGAGGTCCTGCCTAGCCACCTCTGAAGGTCAGCCTTTGTCTTCTTACTTTGGCTTCTTCAAGGCATCTGCAGTACCAACGTTTCCTCCAAATGGGATATAAACTTCTGGAAGGCACAGAGTCTGCACCCTTCGATCTTTCTTATACCCACTCCCACATATTCGTCTCTTTAAATGTTATTTTTCAAATATAATATGATCAGAAAAAAAATTCAATCATGTTATCAAAAATCAAGTGAAATGGGCACTTTGACAAACTGTTGGTAAGAACTTTAACTGGGAAGGATGTCTCAAAAACACTTTGCCAGTATATTTTAAGAATCCTGTCCAGGTGCGGTGGCTCACACCTGTAATCCCAGCACTTTGGGAAGTTGAGGTGGGAGGATCACCTGAGGTCAGGAGTTTGAGACTAGCCTGGCCAACATGGTGAAATCCCATCTCTACTAAAAATACAAAACTGGCTGGGTGTGCTGGCATGTGCCTGTAATCCTAGCTACTCGGGAGGCTGAAGCAAGAGAATCGCTTGAACCCGGAAGGAGGAGGTTGCAGTGAGCTGAGATCGCATCATTGCACTGCAGCCTGGGCAAAAAGAGTAAAACTCCATCTCAAAAAGAAAAAAAAAAGCAATCATGTCTTTTTCTCACTAATTACAAAGTTAGAAATCTGTTCTCAGGACATACTCTGCAGTGTGGGCAAGACTTTGTTTGTAGCGATGTTCTTTGTAGAGAAAATATATAAAGAAAGTGAAGTGTAGCAATAGGGGAATAAATAAAAATCACAGGGTATGTCTGTGTGGTGGAATGTGATGCAGCTTTTACAAATGGCATTTTTCTTTTTTTTTTATTATACTTTAAGTTTTAGGGTACATGTGCACAACGTGCAGGTTTGTTACATATATATACATGTGCCATGTTGGTGTGCTGTACCCATTAACTCGTCATTTAACATCAGGCATATCTCCTAATGCTATCCCTCCCCACTCCCCCCACCCCACAACAGGCCCTGGTGTGTGATGTTCCCCTTCCTGTGTCCGTGTGTTCTCACTGTTCAATTCCCACCTATGAGTGAGGACATGCGGTGTTTGGTTTTTTGTCCTTGCGAAAGTTTGCTGAGAATGATGGTTTCCAGCTTCATCCATGTCCCTACAAAGGACATGAACTCGGGCTGCATAGTATTCCATGGTGTATATGTGCCACATTTTCTTAATCCAGTCTATCGTTTTGGACATTTGGGTTGGTTCCAAGTCTTTGCTATTGTGAATAGTGCCGCAATAAACATACGTGTGCATGTGTCTTTATAGCAGCATGATTTATAATCCTTTGGGTATATATCCAGTAATGGGATGGCTGGGTCAAATGGTATTTCTAGTTCTAGATCCTGAGGAATCACCACACTGACTTCCACAATGGTTGAACTAGTTTACAGTCCCACCAACAGTGTAAAAGCATTCCTATTTCTCCATCTCCTCTCCAGCACTTGTTGTTTCCTGACTTTTTAATGATCGCCATTCTAACTGGTGTGAGATGGTATCTCATTGTGGTTTTGATTTGCATTTCTCTGATGGCCAGTGATGAACATTTTTTCATGTGTCTTTTGGCTGCATAAATGTCTTCTTTTGAGAAGTGTCTGTTCATATCCTTTACCCACTTTTTGATGGGGTTGTTTTTTTCTTGTAAATTTGTTTGAGTTCTTTGTAGATTCTGGATATTAGCCCTTTGTCAGATGAGTAGATTGCAAAAATTTTCTCCCATTCTGTAGGTTGCCTGTTCACTCTGATGGTGGTTTCTTTTGCTGTGCAGAAGCTCTTTAGTTTAATTAGATCCCATTTGTCAATTTTGGCTTTTGTTGCCCTTGCTTTTGGTGTTTTAGACATGAAGTCCTTGCCCATGCCTATGTCCTGAATGGTATTGCCTAGGTTTTCTTCTAGGGTTTTTATGGTTTTAGGTCTAACATTTAAATCTTTAATCCATCTTGAATTAATTTTAGTATAAGATGTAAGGAAGGGATCCAGTTTCAGCTTTCTACATATGGCTAGCCAGTTTTCCCAGCACCATTTATTAAATAAGGAATCTCCCCCATTTCTTGTTTTTGTCAGGTTTGTCAAAGATCAGATAGTTGTAGATATGTGGCATTATTTCTGAGGGCTCTGTTCTGTTCCATTGGTCTATATCTCTGACAAACAGCATTTTTCTTCTCTGAGTTGATGGCAGGCCTTCTGTACTTTCCTCCTGCGACATTAAAGTACTTATTAAAATCCAAAAAGTTGTGCAAAGAGGATGTCAACAAGACTAAAAAGTAGGACTATGTATGAATGGTTGCCAGACCTAAGGAGGAATATTCACATGCCTATAAAGAAATGGAGGTGAGAGACTGCACCTGCTATCACGGCTCTACCTCCTGCAGGGTCTCAGGGCCTTCATGGGACAAAGGAGGTACCAATGCATCCTAACTGACTGTTGCATTTTGAGATATTCTGAACAGTTAGTTATGTCACACCCAGAGAGACATACCCTTCCAAACATCTCCAAATTTTAATGAGACTGCAGGTCCTGGGAATGCATCCAGCCTGGCGCAGAAATGAAAAGTGGTGTGAGTTGTATAGGGAGGGGTGAAGTTGGGAAAACAAATGGTCTGGGAAGGAAAACATCTTGGAAGCCACCTATTCTGAAGGTTGTAATGTTCATGTATTGCATTAGAAAGGGAATAACAACACATTGAACCAAAATATTTAAGAATATCGGCATTTTCAGGTCATCAGGCCCCAGGGTAGAGGCGAAGAATGTTCTCAATGAAGCATAGCCATAACAGATCAAGTGACTGCTGGATGCTGGATGTGAGTGTGGAGCAGGAGACATGGACATCAGTTCATCCTTGTCTTTAGATCAGAGAGGGGACATTCCTTATACCTAGTAGACAGTAAAACAACAACAGCAATAACAAAATCTAGCCTAGTTTACTGACACAATCACTGCTACCTGGGACAGAACCATGACGGTCAATAATGAGCACCAACCAAGTAAAACACCAGGTACATAAATTTCAAAACATAAAAGATGACACAGGGTATATTGCTAGGACTGCCTTAACAAAGTACCACAAACTGAGTGGCTTAAATAACAGACATATTTATTGCCTTGTAGTTGGATGTAGTCCAGAAACATCCAGGGCTTCAGGAGGTGTTAGAAGTCTGAGATTGAGGTGTCAGCAGGGCCATGTGCCCTTGGAAGGATCTAGAGAAGGGCCATTTCTGGAAGTTCCTTGGCTTGTGGCAGCCATCTTCAACTGACATTCTCCGTGTTTGTGTGTCTGTGTTCCAATTTCCCCTTTTTATAAGGACACTGGTCATACTGGATTAGGGATCCCTCTGATTCCAATGTGATCTCATCTTAACTAACTGTATCTGCAGCTCTGTCTCCAAAAAAGGTCACATTGTGAGTTACATTAGGACAGTAGGATTTCAACACATGAATTGGGTGGGAGGGGGGCATAGTTCAACACATAGCACAGAAATAAAGCATATTAAAGTAAAACATTTTATCACCAGCAGGAAAACTTTACAAAGCATCTGTTTTGTGTTCTCAATATAAGATATGACAATATGAATTTCATAACATAAAATTTAAAAGTGAAGTGAGAACGTAACAGACTAAAATGGAAAGGAATATCTGGTTAAGATGCAGGCCAATATGAAGTGAGAGGTGGGGAAAATGCAGCGGATTTGCAAGGAAACTAGAAGTTGCAAACGTTGGATTAAAACCCACTTTAGATAAAGTACAGAATCAACACTGTAGAAATCTGAATGATAATAAAAAGTTCTAGACACCTTTTTAGATTATTGTGGAAATATAGAGATGAAATAATGAAATAGATATAGATGAATGGAAAGATAAATATAGAATATTGGCTCATAGACATTAAAGAATTAGATATCAGTGGAAGATGGTAAGTAGATAGGTAAGAGATAGATAGATAGATGGGTCAATAGGGAAGGTAGATAGATACAAAATAGAGAATATATAAAGCAATGTGAAAGAGAAGTTAATAGAAATACAGGAAAGTGGGGGAGATGTGGAAGAGGTAGAGATGGATGGATACTGAAAATACAAATTTTCCATGTTTCCAGTTCAAGAAGGGAAAATGATTATTATTTGAACAGAGGATGATGTAGTCACCAGAACCAGTTCTAAGCCCTCCCTGACCAACCTTGGATGGTACTATCTGAGCACATGTGCTATAAAGATCAACCAATGAATGACAGTCTCATAGTTCTGAAATCCAGGCAGCAACAGTCACACTTCTCCAACACTGCTTTTGTGGCTAATGGAAATTCTGGTTTCTGAAATTCTTAAACTCAAAAGTGTTTCTCAAAACACTCCATGAAACCATTTTCAAAAATGGCATAAGAAAATAGAAGTGAATATCTCGTGAACAGATTAGGAAAGACTTTTCTAAGCATAAGTTAATAGAAAAAAATCACCCAAAAGCTATTAGATAATAAAAATCAAAGACATTTGAGTGTCACAAATACTATAAACATTACTAGGCAAATGAACTAGAAAAATTATTTGCTTCAAATATAACAGATAGATTGTGGTTAGCAATCATCCTTATGTAAAGAATTCCTACCAATTCACAAGAAAGGCATGGAAATTCCAGGAGCAAAATAGGTACAAGCTATGAAGACAAGTCACAGGAGAAACTCAAATAGCAGTAAGCAAACGGGAAAACATGTTTCTCAAGCAAATCCCAAGTAAATCAAAATCAAAATCAAATCACATTAAAGAATGCAAATTTAGGTCGGGCGCGGTGGCTCACGCCTGTAATCCCAGCACTTTGGGAGGCCGAGGCGGGCGGATCACAAGGTCAGGAGATTGAGACCATCCTGGCTAACACGGTGAAACCCCGTTTCTACTAAAAAATATAAAAACATTAGCCGGGCGTCGCGGCGGGCGCCTGTAGTCCCAGCTACTCGGGAGGCTGAGGCAGGAGAATGGCGTGAGCCCGGGAGGCGGAGCTTGCAGTGAGCCGAGATCGCGCTACTGCACTACAGCCTGGGGGACAGAGCGAGACTCCGTCTCAAAAAAAAAAAAAAAAAAAAAAAGAATGCAAATTTAAACCATAATGGCATTTTGTACATCAAACTAGCAAAGATCCATCCTGGTTAAGCCATTGTTAGCAAGGGTGTGCCCACGTAGACTTGCTCTGTCATTGCTAAGGGAGGTGGAAATTGAAATGATTTTTCTGAAACGTAAATGGTCTTGCATAGTAAAAATCTTATAAAAAAGTTGATACTCTTCACTCAGAGTTCCCCTACTAGGTATCTATTCCTTGGAAGTATAATAACAAGAAGCTAAAACCAAGCTGTCAGCATAGATATTTATTACTGAGATGTTTATAATTATGCAACAACCATACACACAATGACATAAATTCTGGTACATCCTCTTGCTGGAATATTTTGCAGTCATTTTAATGGAGTGAGTAAGAAATTTGTAGTCACATGCAAAATCAAAAGCAGGAGTAGAGTTGGATAAGCTTTATGATTCAACTTTTATTAAAATGTGTATAGAAAAATACAATTGAAAATACATCCTTTTTTCAGGGATTATCCTGAAATAATTTGGTCATGACTATTATTTTCTACATTCTGAATATTTTATCCCATTGGCTGTTTCTAAAGTCCTTATTTATTCAGAAGACTTCTAGCCCTTGCAGATCATGTTCTTTGCTTTCCTTTCATCTTTTCCTTAAAATTATACTTTTTCCTGTATAACAGAACCATACCTACCATAAGCACACCAGGAATACTGCATTTTAGCTATACTTCAGGCATTTCAGCTTCCTAGTGGGCTACATGGCTTTTCCAGAGCTCGCTCTCTCTCTTTTTTTTTTTTTTTTTGTAGCAAGGGCTCAATGACCCACAGGTCTATATTCATGCCCCATCTCAGAGCTGGTGTGGGAACTCAGATGGTGCGTCTTTGCTGATTGCATTTATGTAGCCCTTAAAACACTTGCCACGTGGCTTCACCAAGAAAGGTTTTCCCAAGTCCCATTTTATAATTGTTCCTATCCTGGGAGCTGGCCCTTCCTCTTGGCCATCATGGGTTTGGGCAATTATAGGTGCTTCATTACTTGTCATGAAACAAGAAGACCTCCAGGCAAAGTATATCATTTTTATAATCACACACACAAAAACCGCAGATAACATTACAAACAAAAGTTATAGTGACAAGAGAAAACTGTCATAATAAAATGATAGGAAAAGAAAAGAACCTAAAAGTTATATCAATAATGGGAGCTTAGCTGTAAAATTTTTTTTAGACTGGAAGTATACCTAAGAAAATTTTACTGGTGTTTCCTTTGGATTGTGGGAGTATAGGTTTTTGTTTTCTTCTTCATAGTTTCCTGTATGTCTCAAGTTTTCTATCATGAGTCAGAAAAAGAAAGTCTATTATTTGCAGAATTGGGCGGACTGGGTGGGGCAGGGTGACAACAGCAAAGAGAATTACAGAGTAAAGTTGATCCTGGAGAAAAAAATCCCCTAAATGAAGACTGATTTATATATGACATACTCTGGAGGCCAAGCCCACCCACACCCTCTATCAATCAACAACTGTGCCCTGAAGTAAGTATTATCAGTCCCACTTTACAAACGTGAAAAACTAAGACTTAGGTAGATCATGCAAATTTCCTGCAGCCACACATCTGGTACGAGGCAGGGTGAAACATTGCTATTATCTATTCTTTGTAGATCTCCTGGGGGAGGTAAAGAGACCACCACTGGGCGTACTAAGTTGATCGAGAAACAACGTGCTGGAGCACTTTCAGAAAATTTCCCAGGGGCTCAATTCAGAAGCAGCATTCCTGGGGATCATAGAGACTTACATTTTTCCTGCCCTGGTAAATGAATGGAACCTACCTACCATGCATGACAAAACCTTCTCAACATTTTTGTTCTTTTTTGGCCACATGCAATCATACATTTATTTGGGGTATTTTTTCCTTGTCCTCAAAGTTGTCATACATTCTCATTCCTCCTGCGACTCTTTCTTCTTTCTCTACAGGCCAGGGTGCTGAGAGAGGAGTAGAATGATCTGGGAGGAGTGATGTCATGTGACTTGGTTGATATTTATACCATCTACATCATTCCCCAAAACCATGCTCACCGAGGTCCTGTTTTCTGGACAGACAGAGAGCTTGCCTGACAGCCCCATTGTGGGTCCTGTCCCAGTGCCCCTGGGTGGGACTGCTGGATAGCACATTCCACAAACCCCTGCATCTTTTATTCTCCTGGAGAATTTACCTCATTGGTACTCAAAGGAATATGATAGGAAATCTTGTGTCATGGGAAGCTTAGGAATGCTATTTCATTTGGCTTTGGAGTTCATCGTTGTACTGTGAATGAGCTGCTTCTCTGGGGTGATGGCTTTCGTCTCCTTTTGCATTTCCTACTTCACATAGGTGGCATAGGATGCCATAAGCCTGTCTACACTTGCAAGGTTCTACTTTATGTGATTCATGCTAAGGTGTTCCCTTTGCCTGAAATTTGAGGATTCCATTCAGTTTGTGCTTGAATTACCTAGGAATTTGCTTCATTTCTTCAGTGTGCATCTCAGAAGAACCACACAGTTTGATATTTGGGGAAAAGTGCAGATATTTTCATTAATAATGTAACTAAGTTGACTGCTTTGTTCAAAGGGGGCAACCAAAACATGGAAAAGCCTTGCCTGAGTGAAGCTGGCTCATGAACAAGTCCTGGGAATGCTATTGGACTAGTGCCACGACAGACCGAATGTAGTTTAGAAACTGAATTGGGACACATATGGTTAATACCTCTTCGAATAAAGTATGCATTTATGCAACTATAAAAATGCAGGCTTTATGCAGAATGCCAGGTAACTACCTTCTAATTTAATATGGACTTTTCCCCGGGAAATCCAAAGTATTGGAGATTTATCATAAGCTGAAAATTACTAAAGAGAGAGCCATGCCTCTTCATGTACAACTCTTTCTGCTCATGTTTGCTTTGACATCAGGAAGAAGGAATTGTGGGTTTGAAATATGACCACCTGCATCTGTGTCTTTCTAAGGTACCAGGCACAGTTTCTTTTGTGTTATCTCATTCATTCTCACAACAACCCTGTGCAGCAGAAGGTATTTTCTCTGTTCTATCGATGAGGAAATCCATGCTCAGAAACTTTAATTGGACTCGGCGATGTTTCACAGTACAAGGTGGCAGAGGTTGGATTGGAACTCAGGACTGAAGATCCAAAAAACCATGACCTTTCTAATTGCTACCCTGCCTTTTGAGTTTTATGAATGCGGTTAAGGGAATTCTAGTTTCAGTATCTCATAAAACACCATCCAGGGCTAATTTTTCACTTCTGAAGAAAGTGAGAGAACAGATGGGAGCCGTCATGCCACCAGCCCTTACAAATGCCCCTTCTTGACTGCCCAACCCTGGTTTCATCCTCTATGTGACTTACAGCATGTCAATGGCATGCAGTGCTGGAGACAGCCTTAATATGGATGCTGGAAGTACTTTTTGATTTTGTAAAGCAGGCTTAAGGAAATACACCCATGCAGTGTGTGCATGCACACACACACACGTGTACATACATACCACACACATGCATGTGCACATACACATGCACACACACATGCTGCTCATATGTAATTTCTACTTCCTGTTAGGTCTTTACCAGGACTCTTGAACTACTCCTAGAGGGGTAGACATGGCTTAGTTATCAGTAAGTTCTGCAGTGTTGAGGGGAAGGGGAAGTTGGGTATGACGCAAGTGCAGGGGGGAGAATGGGAAAATTGTGTCTGACGATGGTTTACTTTTTGTAGCAGCTGAGAAAGTCACTGATGTTGCTGCCTCCTGTTGTTAAGTTAGAGCCCTCTCAAAATAGATCTTTTGATTTCTATTGCCTTTCAGGGTCCCCATACCTTGATTGGTGCTCAGTAGCCTGAAGACTTGTGTTTGAACAATGGATTCCTTAGTTGAGGGTTGGGAAAAACCTTAACAGCTATGGAGGCCAGCCCCTACCCACACCTTAATTTCAAGCCCCCTCTGAAAGTCCATACCAGATGGTAGAGCAGCCTAGGCTTGCAAATGTCCTGTAACTGGTCCTCACTACCTCCTGAGTCAACCAACATCATCTTTGACAGCTTCCTGTTTCAAAAATGTTTTCTTCATATTGAGTTGAAATGTGCCTCATTGCTTAACTTCCAACCAGGCATATATATTCTTTGGGCTGCAGTTTCTTGCCTTATAAAATGAGTCGGCTGGCCTCAGGACTGACCTATCCAGATGCACACGTTGTGCACTGCACAGCTCCAGGGGGCACCATTCATCTAGACTTTGAGGAGTCTGGCCTCTGGCTAGAATTGTGCAATGCCACGGCCCTGGTTTGCCACAATGACCTTTGTGTTTCTTTGTGACTCTCAAATTTGATGTCGGCCTCCAGATGGGGATATACGCTGCAAAGTAGTTCAGTTAGCACTAACAAGCTTTCAACGTCCTTGTTTGAGAAGAGCTGCCTGTTGTCACTAGAGCAGGCCACCCCTTGTTATTCACACCTTGTGGAGCTTAATTTCATTCAAGCGCCTACATGCAAATTAGATTTTTACCCTGAAGGCAAGGCGTCATCTGTTGTTTGGCCAACAACAGATGCTAAATGAAGAGGAAAGGAGAATGTGTACTTTTCTTTGAGAATCTATTATATTTCAGACTGTAATTATGTTTTTTTAAGAATTTTTTAAGTATCAGTTTTTAAGTATTAATAAAAATGTCATCTGAGTTATTTTTTCAGAATTGAAGGACATTGAAGGAGAATGATATTGGCAGATGTTTCCTTTCTGACCAATTATTAATTTTATAATAAAATACTATTATTTCCTAAGTCACTAATATATAGTTTGCATCATCTGCTCAAAGGGTAAGACTTGGGCAAACAAAATCAGGCACATATCCAGAAGATGTTCAACTTAATTTCTCATACCTCTTAAAACAACCTATCTGTATTACGTGACCATTATAAGTTCTTATCTTTTTTGTGAAAGGAAATTTGTTAGAAACTGAATTGGGACACATATGGTTAACACCTCTTTGAATAAAGTATGCATTTATGTAACTATAAAAATGTAGCCTGTATGCAAAATGCTATATAATTACCTTCTAATTTAATATTGACTTTCCCCCGGGAAATCCAAAGTATTGAAGGTTTATCATAAGCTGAAAATTATAGATTCCTGAGGAAGGTGATTGTTGCTAGAAATAGAATAATTTGGCCTTACGGTGGTTGGCATGAACAGTGCATCCTCTGCCCAGTTGGGTTTTTGGCGAAGTGGCAGTTTAAATTAAGCACTTGGGCACTGTGATGATGGACAGGCCCAGATGAAAAGATAGCTCTGGTTTTATGCTCAAGGCTTCATGTTTCCCACAAGATGAGGTATTTATTAACTAAGAGTCGCACCCACTTCACTTTTATTATTAAATGTTTGTAGAGCCTTCCTGAAAAGAATAATGCGGGTAGAATTTATACTGGGAAGGTTTCAACATCCCATAAAACTGACACTCTAGCACTTTGTAGAAAAGATGGGCCTGGGGAATGCAAGGAGGGAGAGGAAACTCTCCAAGATATAGATCTTGCTTAAAAGGGAGTTTCACCTCTGATAATTTAGGAGGTCAGAGGGCAGGTCTAAGTTCTCAGCCTCTGGATGTAAGAAGTGACCAGGAACAATAATGGGCAAAAGTGTGTGTGTGTGTGTGTGTGTGTGTGTGTGTGTGTGTGTGTGTGTGTGATACATTTAAAACACATTTACTCTCCCTTGTTTTCAAACACTTAAAAACATATTTTACTTTGCTGGCAAGAACAGATAGGGGATTTAAAGGCTTGGTAGTTTCTATGAATAGCAATGCTGAAATGTTAAAACAAAAGAATTCAAGGTGTTTCCCGTAACCCCCCTCTCCCCAGGGGCATCTTGGGTTAATAAATTAATCAAAACCAAGTGTGGGCTGCAGTGAAACTATATAAGGGTGGTATCTCCTTGGATCCAGCTGTACATACCGGTGTCAAAACAGCAAAAGCATCCAAAAATGATCTCAAGCTAGGATGAAGCCTTGATCCATCATTTTTCACCAAAACTAGTGAAACAAGTGAATAATGATTTGGGGACACTCTGGAACAAGAGTTATTAAGGACTGACACAGGCACATGTTACTCTAAGAGATAAAAATGAATGAAGCAGTTGCTCATCTTCAGGATGCCTCCTCCCTCCACCCTATACGCAGAGACTATTATCCTTCTCCCCAATACACCACATACTCTTTTTGTTTTTCCCTTGGAGACCCAATGACAAGCCACAGGATATCTATTAGCATACATTAAAATAAGAACCATCGCTTGCAATCTCTACTTTGGTTGGGACCAGTCCAACATCCTAGCAAAAATCTGCCAAGTTTCTCTCTCCTGGAATTCAGACATTTAATCAATGACACTTGCTTTGCCAAGGTTGTAAAAATAAAACAACTCTCAAAGTGCTAAACCTCCATTTCGTTCTGCAAATGCTTCAGTTAATGATGGAAACATACAGAACCAGAGGCTAATAGAGTAGAAAAGAATTGCACGTGTGTGTGTGGGCACATAGCAAATGTTAGCATGGCAAAACATGAAAAATAGGCACAACGAAAAAGATGTTAACACAGAGTCCCAGCTAAATTTACATAAATTTACATTCCTGATTATTTCAAAAGTGTTATCTTATATAAAACTTCTGATTCCAAATTACAAAAAGTAGCTGTTTCTTTTTGTTTATTTTATTTATTAATTATTTAATTTTGAGACAGGGTCTCACTCTGGGGCCCAGGCTGGAGTGCAGTGGTGTGATCTTGGCTCACTGCAGCCTTGACCTTCTGGGCTTAAATGATCCTTTCTCTTCAGCTTCCAGAGTGGCTGGGACTACAAGCGTGTACCACCACACCTGGCTAATTGTTTTTATAGAGAGGGGGTTTCGTCATGTTGCCCAGGCTGGTCTCGAACCCCTACGCTCAAGCGATCCACCCGCCTTGGCCTCCTGAAGTGCTGGGATTACAGGAGTCAGTCACCACATCCAGCCAAGAGTAGCTGTTTTTTCTATATGTTGAACTTACACTAATTAAAATATGTTGATATATGACATATGTATGTACCTTATGAAGTCTTTTTTATGTGGCCATCGTACTGTTTTGTATCCCAGCATAAACATGTTATTTAACATAAAGGCATAGCACATAGTGACACACAAGATGTGCTCCCAGAAATGAAAAACACTATAGTTTCTAACATTCAAAAGCCAGCTATCATCATAATTTGCTCTTGATGGACAGAAATAACAATTTGCCTATATTTCGTGCTCAATGTGCACGAGTGCAGAGGGACTTAGCTTATGGGACATCGAATCATAACAGACTGGGCAGACTTCTCGTCATGATCTTTCAGCATGTGGGATAGGCTGTTTGTTCCTTTTATTAGGAATACAGCTTTATTAAAACAGAGAAAGGGAGATGTAACCCCGGGATACACAGGCTGTGTCAGTTTCAAAGTAGGTTCTGCAGCTCCCTAGGTATAGGAACCATCCATGGCAAGCCAGACATCCGGAAGGGTTGAGCCCTTGGTGCTACAGTCTCCCGGGGCTTGAGCAGGATTGCTGGTTAACTGGCTCTGCGGTGCACAGCACCTGTGGGGCTTGTGGGTCCCTCAGCCCCAGGTTCCAGCCTCCGGAGCCAGGGATGCAGCTGGACACAGTAATGCACTTCTAGCTCTCACTGATTGAGATTAAATAAAAGCAGGAGGTGGGGATGCATTATTCATGATTTTCTTTGTAATGGAATCCAGAGCACTTTTGAAGGCTCTATACTTTGATACTTGCTCCTGGCAAAAAAAAAAAAAAAAGAAAAAAAAATTAAGTTAGGGAGAAGAGGAGGAATAGATGTTGTTAGATATGTACTGCTTGCCTGGCTTACTGCAAGAATTCTTTCTGTCTGAGACCACCAGACAGTGGCTTGCCTCCAAAGAAGCCTTGTTGTGGCTTATAAAAGGTATGGAGACCTGTTTTAAAAATCAGGAGAATTTTTCCAGGTACAGAAAGGTACAAATTTTAACTCTAATATAAAGGATAGGCTTCTTTTTGACGTCTACTGATAAAAATAAGTAAATAAATTTTTCAGTTTATTATACACTTCAGAGGAACACTTAGGGCAGTTCCTTCACAAGAGAAGAGAGAACTGAAATGCATAGTCCCTGAGCTTTTTCTCCAAATTTACACACACTTCGCTTCAGCAGAAGCCAGCTGCAGATCCCACCCAGGTTCCTACGCTTCTAGCACTGACATACTCTGTACAGCGGTGTCACTTGCAAATTAGTCTTAGATTGACACCTTAAATGTGCAATGTCATC